>NC_000002.12:230519921-230822951 GCF_000001405.40 Homo sapiens | reverse complement strand
CTACCTAGAAAAAATAATAAAAATTTAACAAATTGCAAAGGATGAAATCTTCTGCATAGAAACCAGGGGGTCTGGCTGGGGGTGGTGGCTCATGCCTGTAATCCCAGCACTTTGGGAGGCCGAGGCGGGCAGATCACGAGGTCAGGAGATCGAGACCAGCCTGGCTAACACGGTGAAACCCTGTCTCTATTAAAAAATACAAAAAATTAGCAGGCACCTGTAGTCCCAGCTACTCAGGGGGCTGAGGTAGGAGAATGGTGTGAACCCGAGGTGGAGCTTGCAGTGAGCCGAGATCGCGCCACTGCACTCCAGCCTGGGCGACAGAGCAAGATTCCGTCTCAAAAAAAAAAAATAAAAAAATAAAAAAAGAAAAGAAACCAGGGGGTCACGGTCCTTGGAGATTTAGCTCCCGGCGGACGTGCCCTCAGGTGGAACCTACCCCACCTTCCAGCCACAGTGGGGACGGACACTTGGCTGCCAGTTCTCAGACATGAGCAAGGTTTTAGAGGACACTGTAAGGGCACACACAACATGAAGGCCTCATATAGCTGTGCAGTGACACAGCCTTGTGCAACCACCACCATCCTCTTCAGTCAGCGTGAATGCTGGTGGCAGGATTCCTGGAGGTTCGAAAGCTTAAGATCCTTATTAGGCACTTCTTGGGTCTAAAGTGCTCGGTGGCGGAGGTGTGCTGGTTGACCGCAAGCAGACTGTCAACGGGTGAAAGCGGATGGTATTCGTAGAGAAAAGCTCCAGTGGGTCTTTCTGCAGTACTGAGATTGCTGACTGGGGAGAATCTTACCCTGTCCTTCATGTCTTCTGGAAACCAGATGGTCAGTGAGGACACAGCCATGGCCAGGGAGAAGATTCCTGACACATCCGGGAGTACCTGAAGGGCGGTGTGTGCTGGGCTGCCCGCTCTTCCCCTAAAGGACAACTTTGGCACGTTGGCAGGTGGGCTTTCTCATGACCGTGAGTGGCTCTAACCTCCAGCATGAACAAGGTATTGGGCACTGACTGCAGCCTCAGAGCACTTCCCGATCAGGACCTTGTTGGAGCCTAACTAGGAAGGCTGGGTGAGAACTGCACTACTCCTGAGCTGCCTGAAGTGCAACGTTCTGGAGCTTCTTTGGCAAGGGGAGGAGGGCATTTGATGGGGGATTGTGGTAGGAAGTGGAATTTGAGCTGAAGCGTGAATCCAGTCCTCAGCCTGGTGATCCTTATAAGTGGCCAAGTCACAAGTTATGACTTAATGGGCCCTTGTCACCTTTGGGGAACTACAACGTACAAGTAGACTGAACTACTTGACAGAAATAACAAATAGGACATTGTTATTCGGATGAAGTGTTTTTGGCAAGAGCATGTCCCTTGCCTTCACTCCAGAGAATAAGATTTCATTTACTGACAGGGGTTAAAGTCGAGGGCAGGGCTGTGAACTAAGGATTACGAGGCACCCTGGAAGGCAGACGAGGGACATTCTTTACGGTGCCAGAGTTCTTGTGCCTGCTTCCACGGTCCCCTCGCCTTCATGATCATTTCACATCAGTAACCTGTGAATACTCCGGGCCGAGTGTTCTAGTTTAGCCTCGCGGTGTTGCTAACAGCGCAAGAGAGGATCTACTCCTCAAACGTTAGGGTCTAAGAAATGGTACCATTAAAAGGTGTGATTTTACTCAGGAAGGGTAAGGAAAACATGAGCACGGGGGCGGTGGGGGGGAAGTGAAGCCCCTGAACAGGGAAAAAGGCAGACAGGAATGGGTGTTAACTGTCCCTCCACTTTCAGTTGGTGATAAAATTCGGGCTTGTGTGTCTCCTGATGAAGCTGTTCACAGTAACACAAATGCAACTGTCTATAACACATCATAAAGACAGACAATGCTGTTTCTCCAAAATTTTATTTTAATTTAAATTACAGGGCCAGCCAGATATTCTGATAAGAAATTCACTTTTCCTTAGGAGAAAGAAAATGCTTTCATGGCATTGTTAACAAATGTATACATCTCCACTTTTTTAAGGGTTAAAAATCACATTAAGTAACTGCCTTATGTAAAATTAAACCTTTATAACACAAAAACCACTTCCAGTATAATAGTCTTGGTAATATGAATATATTAAATGATCATAACTTCAAATGCAACATTTCAAACTTAAATGTTTTCACATTGTTTTGCTTAAAAACAAAACCCACGAAGTCTGAACTACCTTCAGATTCCAATGTAAGAGTAACATGAATGTTGTGTCTGACACGCTGCACCCTCACTTCTTCCACCTAAAAGGCTACGACCTCACTGCCAAAGTGGAAGCTGTTCTAGATGTGTAAGTTCTAAGAATGAGCTTGGCAAGAAGACGTTTCTTCCACTTGGTGTAATCCATGTTTTTACACTAACTCCATACACACAGCACTACACCACAAAGCCAGGACACCACATCACGGCCAAGTCTTCCTTCCTAAACATCCAAGAGATTTTTTTTTCAAGGAGACTAGATTGCCTTATTTCACACAGATTCTGGTAAAGACAGTCTTGAGAAATGCCAATTATGATGTAGACTGCCATTTTAATAAAAATAAAATATATCTATATTTTCTGGAGCTATTTTCCTAACTGGTGTTCCTGAAGGTTTAAAACCTGCTGAAACAGCAATTGGGAGGCCCATTTTACTGGCCAGTATATAATTCCATTAGTAAGAGAGGCTAGCAAAGAATAATCATATCAATTTCTTAATCAGCTGCAGCCATGCTGAATTTGAACTGGCAAACTCTGATTTGTCAGTTGTTAGTTGTGATCTTCATATCACTAAAATGAACAGATACCATTCTAATAACTTTACATAGATATAGTCTAGAAGACATTGTTCTGCCGTGGTCACAGTAACAAAAAAGTGGTGCAAAATCAGTTACTTTATAAATACTGATAATTTGCAGCATTAAGGAACAGGACATTAAAAAAAATAAATTTCCCCATAGGACACCTATGACTAGGAAGTCGTCTTTTCCTAAGAGAAGCCAAAGTTTTAATTATTCAGTTCACAACTATTGTACTGGGTTACTTAGTCTAAGAAAGAAAAGGTGCTCTACAGAGATTTCCCACACACACAAAGAATCAGCATTAATTTAGCATAATCTCTATCATTCACAGATCTGGCAGATTCATTAACTCATTTAAAATGAATAAGGCCAATAGGATGCAGGAAGGTGTGGCTGACTGAGCTCCAGGGCTGTATCGCAGCTTATTGATGGCACCCCATTAGGTAACTGAATACAAAGGACTGGTTTACTTTCTTTTTCTTTTAATGCTGTGATACTTAAATGTTAAATCAGCATTTTCATGTGATCTGAAGTATTTCAATTACATATGAGCATTCATTGTTTTTTGCAAAAACTCAGTATTAGGTAATAGTTACATACTACTACAATAACATTCCTCTGCTGTACAAATTAAACCATTTAAAAGAAATGAGCATTCTAAGAATTATATACAAAAGAAACCTTGAAGCAGTGTTGAAATGAAATGCAAGGTGTCATTGCTAGCTCTACTGTTTTAAAGTATCTTTGAAAAGTAAAATTAACAAATACCCTTCAACATATCCAGGTTTACAAGTCTCAAGAAAATCAAATGTCAAAAAATTCTAGAAAGCTGTGAAAAGCATATATACATTTTCCTTATGATCTTATGAGGCTTCTTTACACTTTTAAGAAGTTGCTAAGTTTCAGTATCAATTTATTCGCATGTCAACTTTAGCTGCCCCCAAACTCCCATTTTGGATAGCTCCCCTCTGATTTCAGATAAAGCTCTGCGTCATCTTCCTTCAGCGAAGGTGCGCGACCTGAAGGTGCGCGATCTGACGCAGGGATGCCAGGTGTGCACTTGCCACACTGCACTCAGATCGCCAACAAAGATGGGTGCAAACACATAGGTCTAATCTGATATCAGTGCCCTCTTTCCTAAACCACACTCTCATCCATACATTTGCCTTCATGAACCCAGCCATGTTCAGAACTCCCGTAGCACAGTCTTTGAATTCTGAAATGACACAAAGATCAAGAGAAAGCCCACATGTGCCCTAGTGTGCAAGCAGCAGCAGCTACGATCTCCAACCTGGACTGAAAAACAAAAGGGTAAAATGAAAAACCGTTCACTTAACAGCAGATTAGCAGTAATGTTCCTCATGAATCAATAAGAGTGCCTGATGCTGAATAGCTAACAGCAAATGCTGAATTTGGATTTAACATAGATGTTTATTGGAGATTAAGCTTCTTGCTGAGCTGGTCTCTTCAAATCCCTGATCTGTTTAACTAAATAGGTCTTCTCGTCGTTAAACTGCTCATCCTCCGTCCTGTCGTTCTGAAACTTGCTGAGGAACTCTATGAGTTTGGCCTGGTTCTTGAGGAGGATGTCTAGGATGGGCTGCGTCTTGTTAGGATTGGCTACAAACACCTGCGTGGAGAGAAACGCACATGAGGCACAGAGAAAGGACAAAACGCAGCCACACCTGAGCTGCGGCCACAGTGCAGAAAAGCAGAGCTGTGCTCTCCTGGGATGGCGCTGAAGTCAGGGTCATTAGGTTTTGCTTTAGAAGGCGTTATTTTACAATTTGGAAAAAAAAATAATAATTACATGTTTTAACACAAATACGACTGATAAACTCATTCTGCCAGCCCTGCAACACAGTGTTTAGTATTAAATACAGACTTTGATTTTAGAATAAAATGGGCAGAAATTATTTCTCAGCACAAGAGGTCAGATGGGATTTTAAGAATGAAACCTCCACAGAAAGCATTAAGAAATGCTTTTGTTTTGCAGTTACTAATCTTCTAGGCCAAAGATAAATGACACTCTTCTATGAACAAACCTTCTCGTTCCCAGATCCAAACAGTAACCCGTTTCCAGGTCTACCTTTCTGTTTAAAAGTCATAGCACACAAATATGAAAAGTGACTGAATTTAATTAAGTCACCTGGATTACCAGAGTGAGGCTAATAATTTCCGTTATTTGCGAATGAAAGACGACGAACAATTCCAGTGGACAGTATCACTGATGCTTCTAGTACTCTACCTTAAAAACGTGAAAGGCCTCAAACTGGATGTTGCGACTTTTGTCTCGCAGCAGGTTCATCATTAATTTGAGGTTCTCAGGTTTACTGATGTATTTTGTCATAATTGTGAAGTTGTGTCTATCTAGTAGTAGTTCACCGAGAAGCTGAGAAGACATTTAAACAATTACCTTGTTATTAAAACTTAAAGAAAAATCAAAGTTTAAAAAAACAATTTATTTTATAATCATCAAGTATAGAGTATTAGTAGGCACTCAAAAGACCGAAGAACTGAACTGAATTACAACCTAAAAGCTACGAAGGGCCTTCTCTCTGCCACCTGAATGCCTTCCTCCCTTTCCCTGAGAGATGAAGTCTACGGGAGGCCTGACGCTTCTCTCTGCAGAGGATGTTCAAGATGCCCCCTTGGCCCCAGTGGGAGACTCTCAAAGCCTCCCCTTTAAGCGTGCATTTGTGTTAGCTCACTAAAAAGAAACTATTCAAGAAAATGGTCAAAAGTTATTGATTATTCCTGTTAACTAACCACAAACCTTAGCTTAATTTAAAACAACTATTTTTAAATTTTATTTAGCGGGACTTTCCAAGATAAAGGGTTTTGTGTCCAAAGTTTTCCATTTGTGTACCCTGCACATGCCACAGTTATCGTTTTATCACAGCTAATTCAGAAAGGTTTACACAAGTGAGTATTTTTCTGCTCCTTCTTAGGTCTCCTGAAGATAATCCAGTGTTTTCTTACTGACCCCTCACCATCACTAATTATACCAATTAATGCTAAAAAAACATCTGTTTACTTCAAGGGTTTACTAATTTCTGGAGAGTTGGTTATATCATATAAACTCATAACTTTTAAACTGTCACGGCTTACTCTTTCCTAAAACCAGCAGTCACTTCTTCAGGTTGTCAACATGCCAACAACCTGGCCAAGGCTGAGTGTGCAGAGCCGGCAGTGGGGCAGGTGCCAAGCTGCGGTCCTTGTGGGCGGTGGCAGAGCTGTGGAGAGCTTGGTCCCTGGTGCCAGCCTGCCTGGGTTCCAATCCTGGCTCCCTACTTCTTGTGAGCTCTGTAATCTTGAGCACGTTACTGAACTCCTCTGTGTCTCGGTTCCATCATCTGTATAATGGAACAGTGCCTCTCTCTCAGGAGAGTGCAGTGAGAAACGAGCATCAGTGTGCAAAGCACGTATCAGGCCTGTATCTGCAGAGATGTGAGTGAGTGAGGGCTAAGGGAAGAAAAGGCGCAAATAGCGGCTCTGTGGCTTTGCTTTAATTGCTTTTGTTGCTTCCTTTCTGGGTTTCTGGCTATGTTCTAGATACTTGAAGTTTCCAGGTAACTGATCTCTGGATAAGTAACTTGTCATCATATTAAATAAAAAATGAGCTGATGTACAAGAAAACAAATCTATTTTACTTAGGCTTTATAAGGAACTCATAGGAAAAACTGAAAGGAGTAGGCTTCATATCAATGTGAATCACAAAATCTATTCTTACGGTGAGAAGCAACCAGTATCTTACAAAGACTGAAAAGTTAGTATTATGTGATTTATAGCTTTCGTGTTCTTTTTCTATCACAGAAACCAAAGAAAATCTGAAGGAAGATGACTTCAAATATGTAATTCTTTTTTTATTTTTTGAGATAGTCTCACTCTGTCACAAAGGCTGGAGTGCAGTGGCACAATCTTGGCTCACTGCAACCTCCACCTCCCGAGCTCAAGTGATTCTCATGCCTCAGCCTCCCAAGTAGCTGGGACTACAGGCTTGTGCCACCACACCTGGCTAATTAATTTTTGGGGCTAGAGACAGGGTTTCACCATGTTGGCCAGGCTGGTCTTGAACTCCTGACCTCCATCCATCCACCCACCTTGGCCTCCCAAAGTGCTGGGATTACAGGCGTGAGCCACCATACTCAGCCCAAACATGTAATACTTTACTAAAAAACTTGGGAGTCTTGCATAGGGAATATAAATTTGCTGGCGACATAAATATGGGAATAAATAAATGCCAATGTGGCTACGAAAAAGAGAGTACAAATTAAAATCCATCTTTAAAGTACGGCTGGTGCTGAAGCCGCTCCATGTGTTCATGGGGCACTCACAGGCCCACCGCTAACATAAACTGCAGGAGCCAGCAACTTGCTTTATATCCATTCCTAAGGGCTTGGAAATGGTGGTCTCAGCCTTTCTTTTCATGTTGGTAATTCTGAATGGCAGAAGGGTCTTGAAGGCCTTTCTCCTTATCCAAACAGCCCAAGAATCCAACATTTGGTCAAAGTTTATGGATTTGCCAATAACCTCCACCCTGCACCCCCGGCCCCAGCTTCCTCCCACAATGGCCCTAGAAGCTACTAACCTAGGCTATCCTGTCTGGCCTTTGTGGCCTTAGAAGATACTGACTCCAGTGAACTGTGTGCATCTGTATAACTGCTGGCAAGAGTAGTATACCTCAGCCCTTTGAGGATCACAGAGCAGGAGAGGCCCCAGGAACCTCCACTCTCTCACACACTGATGTCCAGGGAGGAGAAACTCCTCCCACAGCTGCCAGGAAGTTCTGTCCAACCCCCCAAAGATGAAAGGACAGCAAATGATCCTCTAAGCCAGGGAAGGTGGGGCCCAAGCAACAGCAATGAATGGAAAGCAAGGGGCCTGGCTGGACTGTGCCTGTTCCCCAGCTGTGGCTGTCACGGATGCCCTGCTGCAGGAATTACAGCCTTACACGGAAAAAAGGCATATGCTGTTCTGAAAGAAAGTGCTGATTGAAAATGTGGACGGTGGAGTGTTCCTATCAAAGGACACAAAGTATTCCAGATGCTCCTAGTGTCCTTTAGTCTTTTCCACAGAAAGATAAGGTCTTCAAGGGAGATTTCCCCACGGTAGGAAGGGGATGAGTGGATGGAATCTTGGTCATTATCGGTCCAGACACCCATGAGGGGAAGAACTCTGGGCAGAGTCAAATTTTAAATGGACCTGGCAAAAAACTGAATGGAATTATGATTTTCCCCTCAAATCCTTTGTGATTTCATCTATATCTCCTGTTGGGACTGCTTACTGACAGAGTGGAGGGTATGCACTTCTTAACTGCTATAAGAACTTTCTACAGCAGGGGTCAGCAAACTATCAAGGGCCAAACAGTAAATATTTTAGACTTTGCAGAACATAGGGTCTCTGAGGCATCTACTTAATTCTGCTGCTGGAGCTCAAAACAGCCACAGACAATATGTAAATAAATGAGCACGTCTTTATTCCAGTAAAACTTTACTTACAAACACAGGCAGCTGGCTGGATTTAGCCCATGGGTTGTAGTTTGCCAACCCTTGTTCTACAGTTTAAATCTTAAATTTAACATTCTAACTTGCAAAGGATATCCTGCTTTGATACAAAGCAGCCAAGCCTGTCTACGGTCCACAGCCTCACACGCACATCGCCTCCCTCCACCCTCACACACCTGCCTGTGCCACCCAGGCCACAGCCCAGGAGCACAGCACCTGGAGTGCCTTCATCTAGCTGATATGACTATGGCTCAAAATCGCAAAGAATGCACTGCTAGGAGATGAAGTCTTCTTCAAACTCCCGTTCATTCCCTTTCTGTGTCTCCACCTTACTAGGAAGCAGGAAAGTGCTCCACATGGATCACTGTCCAACTCCATTCCTTTCCGCAAAAATCTTGACCCTCGGCAAAGGTATTTATTTCCCCCAAAGGTCTATGACCCATCCTGCACATCTCCCTTTCCCCAAATCCACATTTCAAACACAAGGTACAGAGAAATAAGCTATACAAAATGGTCTGTCATACCTTCAGTGACTGTCTTTTTGTCACATAATTTTCTGAATGAAGTAACTTCTCATATTCACTGAAAAACTAAAAGATAAGAGAACATAAATCAGGGTTATTGCCAAAAAAAAAAAAAAAAAAAAAAAAAAAAAAAAAAGACTGGTAGGTAACATTGTAAATTAGCTTAAGGACACATTTCTCACACCATGAAGGCCAACAGCTGCCCTGGCTCCCCTGCCACTCTCTTTCATGTCTTCCTCTGACATGTTTGCTCTGAGACTCTCAGGTGATCCCACCAATCCCTTCCATGAAGAGGGCTCCTGGGACTGAGCCCCTTCCCAGTTCCAGCCAGGCCTGCAGACAGAGCTTAAATCCAGGCCTCTCTGTCACCCCAAGCTCCCTATGCACAAAACCTAACTCCCATACCCCTCACACTTTTGCTTGTTGAGTCTGCTCTCATATCTTGATGTTAGATTGAAAAACTCGTATTTTATATAAACAAGAATTCAATTTGTTCAAAGCACAACCACAAAGAGAAAAGTTATCTGCTCTTTCAATGTATCAGGCAAAGAGAAAAAGTAATTCGGAATAGAAATTAAGAGAGGAGAAATTCAGCATTGTGTTAACCAGGCCGACAACGAAGGTGGGGCTTAGTCTCAGACCTGTCGGATGGGAGGGATTTCACTCAGAAATGGAGGGGAGAAAAGAGAATCTGGGCAGATAAAAAAGGAAGGACATAGTATGAATGAAGCCCCGGGGAGAACAAAATGCCACAAATTTAAGAACTGACAGGTCCACTAGACCTTCAAAACAGCGGTCACTGACAAGAGTGGCACTGCTGGATGGTGAAGGCTAGAAGCCCATTAAAGCAGAGTTACAAAACCGAAATGACAGGCACTTGGGGGCCAAGGCTATCCTTCAAAAACCTAGTAGACAAGGCCAGTTAGCCTTAAGATTTTATTTTTTGTCTGTCTGTTTAAACCACAGATAGGTTTAAAACATTCTGAAAGTCTGCAGCACTAGTATGACTGTTGGATCTTCGTGCTTTCCTGAGACTTTCCTTTGGTCATCGCGAGTGCCGGGGGATGCCTGCTTTGTCATCTGTCCATGAGAGAACTACTGGTGTCCATGCTTTATGATGGGTCCTCATTAGCCATTCATCTGTGGTCTAGAGCAAGGGATGGCAAACTATGGCCTGCTGCCTGTTTGTGAAAAGTTTTTCTGGAACACATCCCATGCTCGTTTGTTTACTGAACATGAATTCACTGAAAAGTTTATGTATTATTTACAGCTGCTTTCATAGAACAACAGACAGGAGAGTCAACAGAGACCACATGGCTTACAAAGCCTCAAAAATTTGCTTTCTGGCCTTCTTGGTTTAGAGCTAACACAGAATTATACATTATTTCTTCTGCCTGCCTCTTGGCAGAGGTGAGCTGGCCATCTATTTGGTATGTATTTGAGTTAGATTTCTCTCTTTTCAGAAAAAGCTGTTAAGTCTACCTTCTCAAATTATCATCAAACTGATGATCAAAACAACTGGACCTGCTTTTAATCAGTAACAAAATATATACATCTCAAGTTCTTATATATACAGAAAATGCAAGTTAAGATTTTCTGCTGCATCTTTGGATAAGCTTGGTTGCAAGAAACTTTTCATGGAGAACTGCCTGAAAAGTATGTATGTGGCCCCTGTTTCCTTCAGGTTATGTTAGATTTTTTCTTCTCTGTATTAGGACAGACAAAGAGTAAGTAACAAACCTAGATACCTGTCCTCCCACCCACTTCTGGGTTCCTCAAAGACTTGCTTTCAGGGAACTGCATCGGAGTTGAGCATTTTATTTACTGCAATGCCACGGCAATGACTGTCCACTACATGATACTGTAACTTGACTCTCCTTTAAGAACGCCAAGGAGAGAAACCGGTTTCAGGTCCCAGTGCTAGGAAAGGCTACGTTTCTTTTGAGCAGCCAGCATGAATTTTACTCTACAAATACTGTCATCTTTTAATTGTTTTATTTCTTTCTACGCTTTGGTTATTAGAAAGCTCAGAGCCAAACTGGATCAGAATTTAGAGCATGTTATTTTGGTGTAATAACCTCACCTGTGGCTTTAAATTACCCACATCCCCCACTGCTTCTCCCTCTATAAGATCTGACTGCTTTCTATAGATTTGTTGCCTCACATATGTTCTTCTAAAATCCTGTTAACTGATGTCATCTATTAACAACATGTAGGAAGCTATTTTACTGCAAGATTAAACAGATTTCACTGTAGCAAATGTCTTGGAAATCAGCTAGTCTGTGTCTTTGGTAGGCCTTAAATTACTAGTATGTTGAAAAATCTTTGTGGTGATGATAAATGAACTAACGTTTATTAAGTGCTTCCTGTGTTCCAGGCACTGTGCCATGCACGTCACATACACGTTCTTATCTAATCCTCATGATGATCCCAGTAGACAGGTACTATATGAAGAGCTTTCTTCAGGGTGGAAGATCCTGAAGGCACAGAGGGTGCATGAAGGCAGTTGCTGAAGTCCTACCAGCCCATGGTAGGGCTGAGACTTGCAGCCAGAATCCAGGCAGTCCAAGGCTCAAGTCCATGCTTCTATCTACTGTAAAAAGGCCCTGATGATGACAGAACTGCCATTTTAAAGCAATGAACATACAAGAAACGCACCCATATCCAAATACACATGAGCTGAAATAAAAATAAAGGACCAGCAATTTTTAAGCCATTTATGAGGCTACTTATGAAGGACTTGTGTGCTCAGTGTTGTGTTATGTTCTTACTGGGAGTGGAGGGCAGGGGGAAAAGACAGGGAAAAAAACCCACAAAAGAACAAGCAAGCATAGATTTTTGCCTCTAAGAATCTCAGAATGTATTTGAACAGCAAAGTGAATAATGAAGTATTAATAATACTCAGGATTTCAAAAATTTAAATGAGTAGTGGAAAAATTAAAATCTAAACCAAATTTTGCAGGATAGACAGGAGTTTTAAGTGGATTGTCATTCTTCTAACCTCTTTACGGGTACCTATCAGAATCTTCGACGATGTGTAGTTAAACCAGTACATCACAACAGTGCTTGTGGGTATTGTGGAAGATCCTCCTGAGGCTGGCAGAACTGGCAGTGGTGGAAGAGATCATTTCACATGGCAGCCCTAGAGGCAGTTGTGCGGGTCTAGGGAAATCAAGCTATCAAGCACTCTGGAAATCATTGACAAATCTCTGGGGGACACTATTACCAGGAACATCTGACATTGACTCAGTGCTGGAAGGGACCTTACCGACAAGCTAGTCCAATGTCCTCATTTTACAATAAGGACGGACTTCTAAGTCCCCAAGCGGTTAACTGCCTTGGCCATGGCCACAAAGGAGTGAGCAGTAGAGCAGGAGCAGAGCCGGGCTCCCGTCCCCTCTGGCCAGTGCTGCTCTCATCCTATCAGCTGCTGCCTCCCTTTCTCTCTATTTGTATGCAGCAGAAATGTGGGGCAACTGATGGAAAAGGAAGGAAAAGTTAAAAAGTCAGATAATTTTCCTACTATCTTTACTATCATTTTAGCAGCAAAATGCTCTATTTTCCTCTTTTAAAGCAATAAAAGCTTCAAAGGGCAGTATGTCAATCAAAAAGATCTACTTCTGACCAAGTAATATTCTATAAGTTGTTTAAGTAGAGAAATAACTACGGCACCATTTATAAACATTACATATGCAAAATAAATATTCTAGTACAAAAACCTAATGTAAGTCTTTCATTTCTGGTAACAAAAGTTACAATTTATTATTTAAAAATAGTATTTCATATACTTACTCTATCATAATGCTGTTCCAAAAATTCTGCACTGAGCAATTTATGTCTTGTAAGTAAATCCTACAAAAAGAAAAAAAAATTGTTTACAGTTGTTCTCCAAGTTTTCAAAAAAGCGAATCCTAAATTCCACACCATTTTACCTAATAAAAACTGTTGTTAAAAATCACCATACTTAACATTTTAGCATGAATTGTATTAAAACACTGATTCTATAAGAGCAAAATAAAATCATTAATTATTTGGAACTGCAATTTTAATGATTATGATGAGTCATGGATCTACAGCTCTTAGAAAAAATGATAAAGGCAATGGAAATATAAACTAAAGGAAAAGAATAAGGAATTGTAGTGAAATTAAAGTTAACACTCCCCAAGTGGGCTGGTTATTTAAAAACAAAAACACAAAAACAAAGCTAACAGTAGTGGTAAACTGTCAAACAATTCCACGCCCACTTAGCGCTCCCGGTGGAGAAAGAGGAAATTTCTTTTATTAGAAAAAGGATTAGAGGCTCTATTTTCTTCCTCCTAAGTTCAATCACATTCAGGTTCATAGCTAACGCAAATTTTTTAGAGGTAGAGTGTGTTTTAGGTAAGCAGAATGTTGGTACGATAACGTAGAATTAACAACGACTGTGAACCTCCAGTCTGATTTTGTATTACCATGAAACAGAACCCTATGCCTCACCCTATAGCTTTCCCAAGGATCATTCATTCAGAAATATTTACTAAGTGCCAGGTAAAACTCTAGGTGCTAGGGCTTCAAAGACAAAAAGATATGATCCCTGCCTTCAAGGACCTAGAAGTTAGCAAAGGACTAGCCTTGGTCTCACTGGGTGGGAAAGAGAATGGGAACAAGTGACAGCAGGAAGGCCTGGCCAGTAGCTGGTAAACTAATGGATTGAGGTCCTTCGTACCACTGCTAAAGAAGATAGCGCCAATCATCGCCTTTCTCCCAACCACCTTTCCTAGTTTTCGTTCCTGTTTATGTTTGAAGGTTGCCCAGGTTACAAAGAACTAGTGTTTCTTGAAGTATGCTGAAATGAAACACTGGTTCTGAGAAACGCTTTAAGAAATGTCCCATGGTCAAGCAAACGAGGGAAGTGCCACAGCTCACTCCAGATGTCAGGTCCTAGACTGCACAGGGAGCTCTTTTGTCACCTACTTTCTGTGAAAGCCCTTCCCGAAAGGGCCTCTGTACAGGCTTTCCCCACTGCGTGGTTACCTACTGTTCGTCTTTCGGACCTCAACTCCTCCTGATTGGTCACCAGCACAAAAGCACTGGACATAGCTGTGACTCTACACTGGTTTGTGGGATTATTTGATTCAAGTCTCTCTTATGCTACACTGTAAGTTCCATAAATACCAGGATCGTGTCTGTTTTCATTAACCTTTGAATCCCCAGCACCTATGCAGTGCCCAGTGCATAGTAAGTGCTTAATATTTAATAAATCAATGAATGAACCAATAAAATCAGGGAACATGTCTGGAAAAACATCACATTCAGCAATCTTCAAAGTATGCTTTTGAGAAGGTTTCTAACCCCACCCCAAAGATTTACAGTTGTTCAAACTGCTGGATAGGGTATGTGTTATATTTCCTGATCATAACAGGGATGGCCAGGAAGGACCTACCCAATTTTTCCCAAATCCTCCTTGAGGATTCAACAGGCCATATTAAAAACCTGAAGTTTATTCTGAGTACACTCAAGAGTTTGGCAAGAAGTGCTACAACGTTTCCCCTCCAGGGGAAGGAGAAGAAGAAAGTGGTAAGAGAATTTCCATTATCTTCGTACCGTGGTCCATGGGGTCACAGATGCAGAGAGAGGAACATGAGGACCTGAAGGGGAATGTTATCAAGTACGGACAGCACCATTTAACATGCTATTGTGGTGTGTTTATGGCTGATGTCCCGCTATGGAGGTGCCACAGGGCAAGTTTTGTCTGTAGGGTTCACTGCTGAATCCCCCACCCCTAAAGAATAGTGCCTGGCCGAGGTGGGTGGATCACCTGAGGTCAGGAGTTCGAGACCAGTCTAACATGGTGAAACCCTGTCTCTACTAAATACAAAAACCTAGCTGGGTGTGGTGATGCATGCCTGTAATCCCAGCTACTCAGGAGGCTGAGGCAGGAGAATCGCTTGAACCCAGGAGGTGGAAGTTGCACTGAGCTGAAATCGCACCACTGCACTCCAGCCTGGGCAACAATAGTGAAACTTCACCTCAAAAATAAAAAAAATTAAAAAAAAAAAGAAAAGAAAAGAAAAGAAAAGAAAAAAAGTGCCTGGCACAGAGCAGGCACTGACAATCTTGGTGAATAACAAATGAATATGTTAACTTAGGAATTCAAGTGTCAGGATCCCTGTCAGACAGTGTTGCTTCTAACTTTTTGCGACTAAATCGTTCTGGAGGCCAGTGTGAGGAAGTACAGCAGAAGGAACTTGCTGCTCACTGTTCTGTCATAACCTCACGAAGAGAGTGCCAAGCAGGAGGGTCCTGAGAGACACTGGCTCTCAACTGAGGTTGGATTCTTAGGAACAGGCAGGAACAAAGTATCTACTCTATAAAGCAAAGGCCCTCTAGGTGTTAACATGTTGCACAACAGATTTTTACTGAAGGTTTGAGAGAAGCGAGTATTCACTCTGTAAGGTATCTCAAAAGCAGCCAGAGGCTCACAGATGGGCCACACAAAGGGGGACCTCTAACATCTTCCCATGTAGGGGAGATTCTATGTGTTACCATCTGGAAACTCAGGAAACTGCTGCCAACCAGAAATCAAATCTCAATGGCTTTGGGGTAAGAGCGATTGAAAGGGGCACTCAGAGTCTGCCCAAGGAGCAGGTGGACCCAGTACGTAACAGGATGAAAACCCTTTGTTAAAAAGGGTCATTCAAAGGCCTGGGGTGGGGGGTTGGGGGGGTAAAACACTAGTAGGAAAAGAGCAACTGTTAAGCGCCAGCTCAGAGAAAAAGGTGAATACTAAGCTGGGAAAAGGAGGAGATGAGGACAATCAGCAGAGCCTCTATCTACTGAGAGATGAGAAGGAACCTTAGCCTAGTGACTGCAGCCAAAAACTTCGGACAGCTCAAACTGGGGTGAGTGTGGGTGGGAGGGGGGTGTGTGTAGACCAACAGAATAGAACATAATGGGCAAAGGGCATGCAGACCTGCAAAGTTTAGGGTGCATGTGACCCCAGACCAGCAGAGTTGCTAGGTCAGTCAGCAGAGGGGAGAATAAAAGGATTCCTCATCTTCCATCTATCTGAATTCCAGTCTATGCCAGGCCCTCATATAATGGAAGAAAGACTAGGGATCATTTCCCAAGTCCAGCAGACTAAGCAGCCAACTTTTAGGGTAGGCTGAATTTAAAAGCTTCCTAAAAGCTTGAGTTTGGGCTGAAACATCATGTGACTAAGACAGCCCTGGGATCCCTGAAGAAATCCTGCTAACCCAGGGGGCTTATTTTCACATTCATCTTGGCAAACCATTTGGCCCCATTTCCTACTTGATGTTTGATTATGTCTAAGGACAAGAAACTCAATTTTTCCAGTTGTGTGGTTCACCTCTGGAGTTCTTACAGTGAGAAAGTTCTCCCTGTGCTAGGGTCAGACCTATCCCCAAATACTATGCCAGGAACCATCAGAGCTGACAGATCCATGTTTTGTCCATTTTCTATGGGACCCCACTTCAAATACAAGTAGTGCTCTCATGGCAGGTCCCTACCGAGGCTTCTCTTCTCCAGGCTAAATACTTCCAGTTCCTTTAACCACTCCTCGAATGACAGGGTTCTGAGTCCCCCTCACCATCTACTGTCTTCTGAAAGTCATCTATTTGTCTATGTGCCTCTTAAAGTGTAGCGCCTGGAATGGAACACATTTATGTGTTGTTACCTGATAAGCTCATAGTGGAGTGAGACTATCAGTTAGCTCCTTAGGTTACATACTACGTGGTCACATGGAGCTCTGGGGAACACATTATCATACTGCTTAATTGTATTGGGGGTATTCAAAATTGTTTACTCAAAGTGGGCTCTGGTAGCCTGCCTGCCTGGGTCCGCAGTCTGACTTCCCCATTTATTGTCTGATTTCAATCAAAATCTCTAGGCTTCACTTTCCTCATCTGTAAAGTCAGTAATAACAACACTGCCTTCCTAGGGTTGAGTATGATATGAAATTATCTACATCCTAGTAATTATTATACTTAGTATCTCATTTTGTATTTATTATTATTGTGTTATTCCTCCATCCCATATTTTATACAGCTGGGTCCTCAAGTGGAAGACCTCAGTTATCTGTATTTAACTTCATCCTGCTATATTCTGGTCTCTCTGACCTTTCTAAGTTTTAGGATCCTCTGTTATCTGCTGTCCTTCCCTTCCTGGCTAACATCTACACATTTGATAAGTATGCCTTGTCACCTTTTATTTCAGTCACTAATAAAAACGTTCAGCTGGGTGGGGAAAGCCCCGTGGAAATTCGCTAGAAGTTTCTCTGCAGGGTGACGGCAATTTACGTGCCAATAGCATATGGATATAACATACAACTGGTTGTGAATTACTATACTGAAACTCCATCTAGCTCAGTTTTACTGTTTCCATGAAAACAGATTTGTAGAATTATACAACATCTAGCATATCCTTGTTGTGATGAAGGAGTAATTCTAACAGCTAATGTTTACTGCATAGACACTGTGTGAAGGCACAACAACTGATATGGTCATGTTATTACCTGAATCTGAACAGATGAAGAGATTGGAGGTGAGATCAGCAGCAGAGCTGGTGTGAACCTAGGCAGCCATGCCCTTTTACTCCCCCAATCCACCAGTACCTATGAGATCAATATGACTGAACTTCCTCTTAGTGAATCCATGATGGCTGTGGGTACAGTTTCCAAACTGCTCAGAAGCCATTTTTTTTTGTATTTTTTTTTTAATTATACTTTAAGTTCTAGGGTACATGTACACAACATGCAGGTTTGTTACATATGTATACATGTGCCATGTTGGTTTGCTGCACCCATTAACCCATCATTTACATTAGGTATTTCTCTTAATGCTATCCCTCCCCCACCCCGCCACCCCATGACAGGCCCCGGTGTTTGATGTTCCCCGCCCTGTGTCCAAGGGTTCTCATCATTGTTCAATTCGCACCTATGAGTGAGAACATGCGGTGTTTGGTTTTCTGTCCTTGCAACAGTTTGCTCAGAATGATGGTTTCAAGCTTCATCCATGTCGCTACAAAGGACACGAATGCATCCTTTTTTAAGGCTGCATAGTATTCCATGGTGTATATGTGCCACATTTTCTCAATCCAGTCTGTCACTGATGGACATTTGGGTTGGTTCCAAGTCTTTGCTATTGTGAATAGTGCAACAGTAAATATACGTGTGCATGTGTCTTCATAGTAGTATGATTTGTAATCCTTTGGGGATATACCCAGTAATGGGATCACTGGGTCAAATGGTATTTCTATTTCTAGAGCCTTCAGGAATCGCCACACTGTCTTCCACAATGGTTGAACTAGTTTACACGCCCACCAACAGTGTAAAAGTGTCCCTATTTCTCCACATCCTCTCCAGCACCTGTTGTTTCCTGACTTTTTAATGATCGCCATTCTAACTGGTGTGAGATGGTATCTCATTGTGGTTTTGATTTGCATTTCTCTGATGACCAGAGATGATGAGCATTTTTTCATGTGTCTGTTGGCTGCATAAATGTCTTCTTTTGAAAAGTGTCTGTTCATATCATTTGCCCACTTTTTGATGGGGTTGTTTGATTTTTTTCTTGTAAATTTGTTTAAGTTCTTTGTAGATTCTGGATATTAGCCCTTTGTCAGATGGGTAGATTGCAAACATTTTCTCCCATTCTGTAGGGTGCCTGTTCACTCTGATGGTAGTTTCTTTTGCTGTGCAGAAGCTCTTTATTTAGATCCCATTTATCTATTTTGGCTTTTGTTGCCATTGCTTTTGGTATTTTAGTCATGAAGTCCTTGCCCATGCCTATGTCCTGAATGGTAGTGCCTAGGTTGTCTTCTAGGGTTTTTATGGTTTTAGGTCTAACATTTAAGTCTTTAATCCATCTTGAATTAAGTTTTGTATAAGGTGTAAGGAAGGTGTCCAGTTTCAGCTTTCTACACATGGCTAGCCAGTTTTCCCAGCACCATTTATTAAATAGGGAATCCTTTCCCCCATTTCTTGTTTTTGTCAGGTTTGTCAAAGATCAGATGGTTGTAGGTGTGCGGTGTTATTTCTGAGGCCTCTGTTCTGTTCCATTGGTCTATATCTCTGTTTTGGTACCAGTGCCATGCTGTTTTGGTTACTGTAGCCTTGTAGTAGAGTTTGAAGTCAGGTAGTGTGATGCCTCCAGCTTTGTTCTTTGTGCTTACGATTGTCTTGGCAATGCGGGCTCTTTTTTGGTTCCATATGAACTTTAAAGTAGATTTTTCCAATTCTGTGAAGAAAGTCAGTGGTAGCTTGATGGGAATGGCATTGAATCTATAAATTACCTTGGGCAGTATGGCCATTTTCATGATATTGATTCTTCCTATCCATGAGCATGGAATGTTCTTCCGTTTGTGTCCTCTTCTATTTCGTTGAGCAGTGGTTTGTAGTTCTCCTTGAAGAGGTCCTTCACATCCCTTGTAAGTTGCACTCCTAGGTATTTTATTCTCTTTGTAGCAATTGTGAATGGGAATTCAGTCATGATTTGGCTCTCTGTCTGTTATTGGTGTATAAGAATGCTTGTGATTTTTGCACCTTGATTTTGTATCCTGAGACTTTGCTGAAGTTGCTTATCAGCTTAAGGAGATTTTGGGCTGAGATGATGGGGTTTTCTAAATATACAATCATGTCATCTGCAAACAGGGACAATTTGACTTCCTCTTTTCCTAATTGAATACCCTTTATTTCCTTCTCTTGCCTGATTGCCCTGGCCAGAACTTCCAACACTATGTTGAATAGGAGTGGTGAGAGAGGGCATCCCTGTCTTGTGCAACTTTTCAAAGGGAATGCTTCCGGTTTTTGCCCATTCAGTATGATATTGGCTGTGGGTTTGTCATAAATAGCTCTGATTATTTTGAGATACGTTCCATCAATACCTAGTTTATTGAGAGTTTTTAGCACGAAAGGCTGTTGAATTTTGTCAAAGGCCTTTTCTGCATCTATTGAGATAATCACATGGTTTTTGTCTTTGGTTCTGTTTATGTGACGGATTATGTTTATTGATTTTCGTATGTTGAACCAGCATTGCATCGAAGGGATGAAGCCCACTTGATCGTGGTGGATACTCTTTTTGATGTGCTGCTGGATTCAGTTCGCCAGTATTTCATTGAGGATTTTCGCATTGATGTTCATCAGGGATATTGGTCTAAAGTTTTTTTTTGTTGTGTCTCTACCAGGCTTTGGTATCAGGATGATGCTGGCCTCATAAAATGAGTTAGGGAAGATTCCCTCTTTTTCTGTTGATTGGAATAGTTTCAGAAGGAATGGTACCAGCTTCTCCTTGTACCTCTGGCAGAATTTGGCTGTGAATCCGTCTGGTCCTGGAGTTTTTTTGGTTGACAGTCTTTTAATGATTGCCTCAATTTCAGAGCCTGTTATTGGTCTATTCAGCGATTCAACTTCTTCCTGGTTTAGTCTTGGGAAGGTGTATGTGTCCAGGAATTTATCCATTTCTTCTAGATTTTCTAGTTTATTTGCATAGAGGTGTTTATGGTATTCTCTGATGGTAGTTTGTATTTCTGTGGGATCGGTGGTGATCTCCCCTTTATCATTTTTTATTGCGTCTATTTGATTCTTCTCTCTTCTTTTTTATTAGTCTTGCTAGCGGTCTATCAATTTTGTTGATCTTTTCAAAAAACCAGCTCCTGGATTCACTGATTTTTTGAAAAGTTTTCTGTGTCTCTATCTCCTTCAGTTCTGCTCTGATCTTAGTTATTTCTTGCCTTCTGCTAGCTTTTGGATGTGTTTGCTCTTGCTTCTCTAGTTCTTTTGTGATATTTGGGTGTCAATTTTAGATCTTTCCTGCTTTCTCTTGTGGGCATTTAGTGCTATAAATTTCCCTCTACACACTGTTTTAAATGTGTCCCAGAGATTGCGGTAGGTTGTGTCTTTGTTCTCATTGGTTTCAAAGAACGTATTTATTTCTGCCTTCATTTCGTTATTTACCCAGTAGTCATTCAGGAGCAGGTTGTTCAGTTTCCATGTAGTTGTGTGGTTTTGAGTGGCAGAAACCATCTCTTTAGACATACTTTCTAGAACCTTACACAGGCACAGTCTGGTGAGGCTACCTTCTTTTATTCTAGAACATTGGAAACATTTTTGGCTTTCTAATGCCCCTCTCCATCTCCTTAATTCCTCAAAAAAGAAAAAAAAATTTACAAATATTTGGCCATCTGGTTTACTATCTGAGCATCCATTTATTCAAGCTATGAATTTTGGACATATTTAGAGCATTTTTTTTTTTTTAAACAGAGTCCCACTCCGTCGCCCAGGGTGGAGTGCAGTGGAGTGATCTCGGCTCACTGCAACCTCTGCCTCCCAGGTTCAAGGGATTCTTATGCCTCAGCCTCCTGAGTAGCTGAGACTATAGGCGCATGTCACCACAACTAATTTTTTGTATTTTCAGTAGAGACGGGGTTTCATCATGTTGGCCAGGCTGGTCTCAAACTCCTGACCTCAGGTGATCCACCCACCTCAGCCTCCCAAAGTGGTGGGATTACAGGCGTGAGCCACCATGCCTGGCCTAGAGCAGTTCTAATTTCCTTTAAAGACTCAGCACCTGTTCCAGGGCTATGGATGAGCCACATGTTTGGAAATTTTTGTGTGCAGAGCACGTTTTCTGGGAGGGCGCTCTTGCCACATTCTCAAAGGAAAGCATGAACCATAGATCTATTCTTCTTTTCCATTATAAGAATATGCTCTGCAAACAGGAGACTAGCAGCAAGACAGGAGAGGAGCAGCAACGTGTCCCTCCTTGTCAGCGCCTCTGGTGTGCAGCTGTAAGGCTGTTCCTGCTGGTCTTCCTTTCTTCCCTGACTGGAGTTTCTTTCAGGGAGGAGTAGGAAGGTGACTTCCACCTGTCTGCTAGTTTAGCTACCCTGAAATTATGATGGGAGGTCTGTCCTCTCTTTCACATGTTGTCTTGGCTGTAGACTCTGCTTAATTTTGTTTCTTGGAGAACCCTCTTTTGGGGGGCCTCTCCTCTCAGCTCCTTCCTTTCCATGCAATAAGGAGCACCTGAGATGCACAGTCCAGGCCAGCTCCCCAGTGCTCTCTCTTCCAGAGCTCACCCTTAGGACACTACCTTGTTTTATGAAGCTTCCTCTTTATCAAGTAGGGGTGACCTGCCTGGCTGCCCAGTCTCCCTCTCTGGCCACCATGACCTGATAGGGCTGCTTTACCCATAGCGATCCATCACTGCCATTTTCTCCTTGGTGAGAATTATCAAAAGAAGTAACCCTAACTGAAATGAAATTATCAGCCAGGCCAGACGAGACTCACTGCAAATCCCATTTCCAGCACATAGTCAGTACATCTCTCTCACCTCTGAGCCACCTTTGCCATCTGTGCCAGAAGCATGTCAACCACATCCTGACGGGGTCAGGGGTCTTGCTGCATTCTCCCACACCACTGCTGCTCAATCCTCTTCCTTCACCCTCATGTGGCCAGAGTACTGCCACCCTCAGGCTCCTGGCTGTCCTTCCACACAGGGGAATCTCTCTTTGACACATGGTGCTGCTACACCGCCCTTCATGGCAGGTCTGCTACTTCTGAATGGGACATACCCTTCCACCGATGCATTATAAGCATGAGTCCTAGCCCACCAACTGTGGTGACACCTAAGACATCATATTGATCACTCTATGTTATAATCTCAAATTCATTTTGTTTTGCTTTGTACACCTACATACAAATATCTGGGTCCTCACCTGAGGCTTTCAACTCCCTCTTTAAGAGTTTTGGGAAATAAATTCCTGGGGAGCTCTCATACTATGACCTGATTCTCATTCAATAAATCCCTGGGGGCCTTATGACCTGATTCTCATTCAAGGTAAAACCCTAATGATCAGGTCCCCAGGTTTCATCCTATCTTTAGGGCATTCATTCACTCTGAGGTGGGACATATTTCACCCAGAGACCAAAGTGTGTGCTCATTATTTCAGGGGCTTTTCATAATCATGAAAATGAACCCTCAGAAGAAAGGTGGCCACTTCTCACTGTGATAGTGTTCATGGTTTCTGAGCATGGTCGTCTGCATATCAGTATGCTAAATACTGGTGTGTATATATGTATTTTCTTTGGGCTGTGTGTGTGTGTGCGTGTATACATTTTTTTTTTTTTTGAGATGGAGTTTCGCTTTTGTTGCCCAGGCTGGAGTGCAATGGTGTGATTCTCGGGTTACCACAACCTCCGTCTCCTGGGTTCAAGCGATTCTCCTGCCTCAGCCTCCCGAGTAGCTGTGATTACAGGCATGCGCCACTACGCCCGGCTGATTTTATATTTTTAGTAGAGACGGGGTTTCTCCATGTTGGTGAGGCTGGTCTCGAACTCCCGACCTCAGGTCATCCGCCCGCCTCAGCCTCTTAAAGTGCTGGGATTACAGGCACGAGCCACTGCGCCTGGCAAGTATTGGTTTATATTAAAACAGTTCTAAATATTTATTCATAAGGTTAGGCAATTTATATAAGGGAATGTAACCTACAAACGCTTGCTCTCATTGTAAAAGACTCCTGCTTTATTCATAGATTGTAAACAGCATAGAACCTTGTAACTCAAAACAAGAATCTGCACGTTGTACAGTGCTGTCACATCATGTATGTATTTAATTTATACAAATATACACCAAGGGAGGAAAGGTAGATGGGGGAGCGGGGAAGATACATTATGATTTGAATAGTGTGGGTGATTCTGTCCACGCTCTACATTTAATCGACATGATCCAGTGTGAGCAGAGATGGGAGAGGTGAATCCACTGTTTCCTCGGGCCTGTCCACAATGTGAGTATCTCTGTCCTGAATGTGGTCCTAATATTTCATGAAGTGTATATTCCAAATTAACATAAACCTGAACAGAAGCCAACTACTTCATCTGGTGCTTAACCAAAGAAACTGCTACACAATGTTTCAAACACAGGAGAAAACCTGGTTGTTACATATGCTGTACAGTATACCATACTTAATTATAATTTAACAGCAAAGTAGAATTTTGACCACACAGGACTTTTGTCTTTTAGATAGACTTTAGAATCTAACTTTTCCACCCTTTTAAAGCTGTGACTTTACTGCATATACCTCTATCACACAAACATATACAAAATGTATCTTTCTCTTCCCACTAGAGGGCAGCCACGTGTAGATTTAGGAGGGCAATGAAGGTTTAGAAAAACAGCACACCTCTGACTTTCAAGGATATTTAGAATTCTACAGTTTTTGTTACCTTGAATGTGGCAAATGCATCTGAAGCTATGTCAAATGTTGACATTTCGACATATCTGAAGAAATCATAAAACTGTTCCGACCACAAAATGATTTTTGCAAGTGGTTCATGTCTGATGCATTCTCTTAACATTATTCCACAATTTAGAGCTATTTCTGGAGATTCATACCTGCAAAAACAAAAAACCAAACAAACAAACCAAACATGATTGCTTTTTCAAAACTCCAACACTGAACAGTTCAAACTTTCAGGCCAAAGACAGTTTTCAGACATGTATCCTAACTAAATGACCATCGCAGATTACAGAAGGTATTTCAGTCGGAGCAGAGCATGTGCTCAGGTAAACTGACTCCAGAGTGCAAACACACACTGGTTGGTGATGACCGCCTTAAACCAAAGAAAAATAGCCATACGAGTGACTGTGTGACTAAAGGTTCATTATTTAAGCTGAAAGATTTCAAGAGAAGTATTTCGGGTCATACCACTCCATACAGGGGTTAGCTTTTACAGATGGTGCTCTTGACACTCAGAAAAACCAAAAGCTAAATCAAAAAACAGAAAACAAAATATTTCCCCAAATTCAGAATATCTAAATAGGTCTACAAACATATAGAATTTATACCTTGTTGTTTCAATTCAATACTCAAGATAGTACTTGGAGACTCTCAGCCACATGTAAACACTACCAAGCTGATAAGCCTCCTCCTGAGGACTTCACAAAGTGTCCCCATCAGAGAGCCCAGGGGCCACAGAGCAGGCAGACCCCCCTCATCAGCTCTCTGCACACAGCCTTCCCTATGCTCATCTCCATGTCTCTGGCTTCTTCCTTCCCCGCCATTAGAGAGACACCTCTCAGCCAAGCAAGAGGCATTTCCCCTTCAGATGTGCACAAGCCCTCTGACTGGACTCTTCCGCCCCCTCAAACACATCGCTCTCTTCTACTTCCTCTCAAGCTGCATGCACTGGCTTTCTTTCCACCTCACATTCTCCTCTAGTCATATTCCATTTCCCAACACACTAGTGAAATAACGGGCCAGCAAAGATTCCCTCTTGGCTAAATAGAGTCTTCTACTCAAGTGTCCTGACAGTGCTGTAAAAAACCAAAATAAAACCTTTCATGTTCTCCTTTCTATCTCTCTGACTGTTCCCATTTCTTGCCTGGCTGAGGTCTTCACCTGTTGCCTACAGCCTGCTAATGAAAGCCCATACAATCTCATGGCTCCCACCATGACTACTAACCCCACCTCCATGTCTACTCCTGAATTAGTTAGGCATTTTCTGTTGCCTCTGGACAACTTCCGTTAAAGGGCTACCATAAACTCAACGTGTCTCAAATCAAATCTCATCCCCCTCCATAAAATCACCCCCACCCCCCTGCTTCCTCATTTCTATAATTTGGCATCATTATTTTGTTTCAGTTACCCAGTTCTAAACCAGGTCTAACAGAAATTTCCATGTTCTGTATCTGTGCTGTTCATTATGGTGAGATTGGCCACATATAGCTACTGAGCACCTGAAATTTGTCTAGTGTGACTGTGGGGTTGAATCATAAATATTATTTAATTTCAATTAATTACATGTGGTTAGTAGCTACTATATTGGACAGCCCAGTTCTAAACCTTTCCTTCTTTACTCCAAATCTTCCCAACTTCAATGTCAGGCTTCAAAAGCCTTCAAAGGCTTTTAAAAATATTTTTCTGATTATCTTAGTTTCATTTCCTTTTATTCATTCCCACTGCTACATTAATTCATACCTGGACAATTGGAAATGATTCCTAGCCAGCACCTTTGTTCAAGCTCTGTCATAATAAATCTACCCAACACACAAGTGTATCAACAGCATTTCCAGCTTGGGAGCTTAAAATGATTTCTTCTAGCTAATCAAATAAAGACAAACTTCTGGACTTAACTATCCAGTCTTCCTCTTATTAGATCTCCTGTTCTAGCACAATGTCACCTCCCAACCTGCCACACAACTTTCAAATTCTCTCCTTATTGCTGCCAATCATGTTATGTTCATTCCTGCCCCTGTACCTTTGTTCCCAGTCATATGCCATTAGGATGCCTTCTCTCTTTTCTGCCTGTGTAAATTCTAAACTACTAGGAACTCCCATCTTAAGTCCTATTCCTTTTATCAACCCTTGCCTTATTAACCCAAACCACATTTTATCCTCTGAAATCCTGTAGTACTCATTTGTTATCTAGTAGTGGTGTCCTCTTACACATCACAGATCCTCAACAAGATAAAACCACACTCCTTGGCATCAGTGGAGGCATGCAGCTAGAATGCTGACCGGCTCTTACTTGATGGAAATATCTGCTCACAAAATGGCTGATCATACAATTCATCTTTGCTGAGCTTTAGAAGGCAGGAAAGACAAGGGTAAGACAGTTTGGTACAAGTTGAACAGGTTTTGATGGAGGCTTGTCAAGCTTGTCTAAACGATTAAACCATAAACCAGTAAATACAAGGCAAACAGTTATGCTGTATAACCTGTGAGCACTAGAGTGAACAGCATACTAACATGTAAATTGCCAGTAAAAAAAAAATCGCCTCCAAATGTAGTCTAACACTAGCAATACGACTTCAAATGCATGCTAGTATTAGCAGCATGGCCCCGCAAATAAATATCTAACAGAAGTACTCACAGCCTAAGAAGATAATCACACTGTATGGAAGCAGTCTAAATTAATTAACAAAAGTACAAAAATCTTAAAATGCAGTTCACAGCGCTCCTTCAAGAAACAGCTGTTTCCAGGTCTGGCAGGACTCGTACAAAATGAGCAAGATGGTCATCCTACGCCAGAAAGCAAGGAAGCAATCACAGACTGATGGGGTCTTGCCAAAACAACACAGAAGGCAACTTGAAGGAGTTCCCAAGGGCCAAAGATGGGGCAACTTGGACACAAGAAAGTAATGACTGGAATGGATTGAGACATATCAAATATAATTTTTAAAAAGACAAAAACGTGAGTTTATAATGATCCTTAAAACAACTCAATACTTATCTAAGGAAGTGGCCAGGTCATCAACTGATTATACTAAAAAAAAAATACCTGATTATACTAAAAAATGAGACTATTTTGGGATAACTAAGTCATCAAGGAAGAAGGGTTCTTCTTTATAGAAACAATTTAATTATATGAAGAAGAAATAACAGAATCAGGAAACTGCCATTCTGAATCTAGGCAATGATTCTCAATGGAAACTAAAACCAGGAGGTGAAAGGTCAATGAGAATTTTGTAATGGACAGATTACAGACTGAGGACACCTGCATCCACCGGTCAATCCGAACATCACCAGAAATGGGATAACCAGTGCCACCCAATATGAAGCACACAGCACCATCCATGAACTTTTGCCCCCCTCAAAGTGAATCCGAATCTAATAAAAAAAAGCCAGATCTAACTATCTACCAGTTAAATCACTAGCAGATAGTGGAACATGTTACAGAAGCAACAGGAATGCCAAGTCTAAAATATATGATTTTTCTACAAAACAAACAATCCAGGCTTCAACAAAGAGATGGCATAATATTAACTATTATAGATTAAAAGAGAGCTCAGAGTATTAACCAAATTCAGTTTGTGGGCCTTGTTTGGAACTTTTTTTTTTTTTTGGAAATCAAGTCTTGCTCTGTCACCCAGGCTAAAGTGCAGTGGCGCAATCTCGGCTCACTGCAACCTCCATCTCCTGGGTTCAAGCTATTCTTGTGCCTCAGCCTCCCGAATAGCTGGGATTACAGGTGTGTGCCACCACACCCGGCTAATTTTTGTATTTTTAGTAGAGGCGGGGTTTCACCATATTGCCCAGGCTGGTCTCAAACTCCTGGACTCAAGTGATCCACCCGCCTTGGCCTCCCAAATGCTGGTATTACAGGCGTGAGCCACCATGTCCAGCCTGGAAGTAATATTAAATAAACGAACTGTAAAATGCCATTTTTGTGAAAATTGAGGAAATCTGTAGATTGGGCATTAGACATTAGGTTTGCAAATGGTAACGTAACTGTGTTATACTGTGTTTTGTAATGCGTACTAGGGATGCATACTGAGTGATGTCATGTGTCAGAGGAAAAAGGGGGCAAGGACTAGAGGAACAAGAATGACAGAACATTCGTAACTGTTGAAGCTGGGTTTAGGGTAGGAACCGGTATGTTACATATTCCCTCTAGTTGTACGTATATTTTTCACAACAAAGGAGGTGGGCGGGGCTTCCGGTGGGCCCACCAGTTGCATTCTCCATGCTACTTCCTGGCTGGAAGTGTCTGCTCTGGCCAGCACAGGTGAGAGCTCTAAACTGTAAATTGTATCTCAAAAGTCTTTCTTGACATGCCATTTAACAACATTCATATCATGCCTCTGATTACTCTGAAGTGAAAAATGTCAGCAGAGTTAACTAATGTATTGATTTTAATAATCCTTGGTTTCTATGGAAAAGGAAATATGGGCTTTAAAAACACACAAAGGCACCTGAAAGCTGCTCTAAGATCACCACAATTTCACACTGCTCACTACATGTTTTTACATACAACTCTGAATTGATACAACACAAAATTAGATGCCAAAAGTTCTGTATCCCAAAATCTGAAGAAGTAACACAGATGGTTAGAAATAGAAAGAGGGAAACAGAACGCTGGCGTGCAACACAGGCACTGACTCACACTTTGTCTAAACAAGCTTGAACTTGGGGGAAGTGTTAAACCGCAGAGACGTGAATCAGACTGAGGCAAGCTATAAAGCCAGGAGGAGTAGAGCAAGCTGATTCACACCAACAGTCATGCCAGGAACATGCCTGCCCACCAACTTAATAGAACAGACCACCACCAATGTTGGGACAAACAGATGCACACCATACCCGGGGCTGGCACACAACTCTGGTGTGAAACAGCAGGAGGTTACCTTGCCAGTCAATGAGGCTCAGGGATGAGGGAGAAGGGCATTTGGTTCTATGGTTCGGTTTTCAGGCTTTTTTAAACTGACAAGACTACCCAAACATTAATGCCTGCTTAGACCAGTAGTAATTTCAGGAAGATGCACTGTGAATTACCAAATTATATGGATTAGTAAGTGGACACAGAGAGGTAAAAATCAAAGGACACTACTTCATAAACATGTACTTTGCTGACTCAACAAAGTAAAGCTGTAGAGAATCCATGCTCCATTTAAGAGGCAGCTTTTACTGCCTTACAGCGTGCGTATTATGTCCAAAGGAGATGTCTTTCAATATATAACTTAACTGATACTTCAATGAAATTCAACTTTTTTAAATCCTAGAGAACAGAAATAAGACCACAGAGAATTATTATTTTTTCCTTCAGTCATGCTGGATTTGTGAATTTAAAAGCTCAGAATTCACCTAATTTTAAATTCCCACCTGTAGGGCATTTTCAAATTCAATTTAGCTCACAAGTTGAATTTCAAGGAGGGAAATGTGTTCAAAATCTATGGAAAAATTATCTAACTACAGAGAAAATGCTTCCCACATTCAGCATCCTGTTTTTTTTCCCAAGGCAATCCTTCCTTTATGTTCAACTGAGAATACAAATTTTATTACATTGTACATACCCTTTCAATAACATGAACAAAATATTCTGTTGGGTGCAGATGTATTCAACAGTAGGAGTTCTCGTACCAATTTGTCTTCTGAGAATATTGTTGAAAATTTGAGCCACGTCTTTTTTGCCCTATTAGGAATACAATCATTAACACATTTTCCTGACCAAACATCAAAATGCTCATTCACCCTCCCAAATGAACTCGAATAAGGCCATTGTACTTATTGTTATGACTGAATATCTGACTTTAACACATTCATAGACATTAAATTATCTCTTCATTTGTAATTCCAAATTGTAAGTTTACTAGTGTACTATTTTTAACATGAACAATGTGTTGACAAAAACAACAATGGGTTGACTATATTCCACATATAATTTCCACCATTTCTAAGTCTCAGGATCACGCTGACTCTGATATGAGAAACAAAACCCTGCAATATGTTAACAATCTAAGGGATCTGAATTCCACCCAAATGGAACAAGCAGCTTCAAATAAGATGCTTACATTGGGAACACTATATGTGCTTTCCTTTCATAGTGATGGAAGGAGAGGAAAATATACTCTGCTGCTATATTAAAAATGGAATAATTCTGTATGAAGCTGGGCTTTAATGGAAAGTAGACCTATCTTCCAATTAAACTAGGCCTGTTTAGGGAAGACTTTATATAGATTAATAATGAAGGTACTAAGTATCACATGATACAGTAGTTCAGAGATCAGAACTTCATTACACTACTGTACAAAACAGACGGATCTTTCCAGTGAATCTTACAATCGGAAAGCTGCACAAGAAATCAACAAATGGAGAACTGGACTCCAAGTGGCATTTCTGAACAGCCACTTGTTACAAGGCTAACAAGCCCATAGGAGAGGGAGTGAAATGCTAGCTTTCCAGGGTATACCTAAACCACAGACAGAGAGATCATCCTGGGCCCCGCACTAGCTCAGGAGCAGAAATGGCAATCTCTAAGAACCAGCCTTAAGGGCACACTTTTCTTTTAAGTTGATGTCTTTGAAGTTCCACATAAATATTAAATTCAGTGTCCAGGTCGGGTGGAGGCAGACAAAGGAGAAGGAACCTAGATGTTCCACTACATCCCCAACTTTGCAGAGGAAATACAAATTGTTGCTGTTGGAATTTGATACATTATTAAAAATACATGAAATCAGCTATGAAATGAAAACATTGCAGTTCTATCTGCTCTACAGTAGGACAGAAATAAAATTTTACTTTATTTTATTAACAGTATTATACTCAACTTATGAACCATACCCTCTCATCCTTTTCCAAAATTTAATCTGGCTATACGTCTGTCATTTTCTCCTCTGGAACATGTACCTGTCTTTCAAGCACCTGTACAGACATCCACTCACTCAGGCTGACAAACACTGGGGCTTAAAACAAAGCACACTGATGACAAAGAGTTAAAGAGGCATGGCCATGCCACAGCGCTTCATTAGCTTCATTACCATATATGCATCGCAAATATTCAGATGGTATCCAGGATCATTATTCTCACTGTTAAATCCACTAAATATTTAACATAGCATGATCCAACTGTATTAACTCGGGCAACAATGTCAAATGCCTACCAGGGCTGGGCAGGAGATGCAAATGGGCCCTGAGACAGGAGGAGCAAGCTGTGCCACCTACAGCAAACCCAGGTGTAGACGCCCTGTGATGCTACTCTGCTCTAGCTGAAGGGCCAAGCAGGACTATATACCCAATATTGCTAGAATCAAGTTTTTCAAGAGAAGCCAGAAATTCAGACCGTGTATAAATGTCCTGTCACTTAAATGTTACACTAATTTAAAATTTAAAAGCAGTGCTAAGCAAACAAAACACATATGGTCTCTGGTTGTAATGAATTAACAGGTAACGAAGACATAACTGGATGTTCTCTTAAGATTGTATCTTCCTCTGAAATTCTAACATTCTATAGCTGTCTTTAGATTGTTTATTCCTTGAAAGTCAAGGGCCAGTGAATTATTAGAGTACTAGAGTGCTCTAATGAGCAGTTGTTTTTTAAAACAACCTAAATGAAATGGCATAATGAATATCTAAGAAACTCCATGTCCAATGTGATGAAACAGGGAAGAACCCTGTCCCAAGCCTGAAACACCCCTGGGTTCCTGCCTTTGCTCTGCTAATCAGGCAGGCAGCCCAGGCATGCTGACAGAGGTCAGTAACCCTGAGCCAAGAGCCCAAAAGGAATCTTACAATGTTCCAAAAGAGAGAACGTATGGAAAAGAATTATGCACAGGGTACTGTTTTTTAAAAATAAGAAATTGATTTCTTACCTCAAAGTCAATGAGCTGTAAATCAGCTACCAGGGTGCTAAGGAGCCCACTATTATAGAGTTCTTGAGCAAGTTGAGCTACTGCTTCTGTCTGAGGCTCTTTTTCATTTGTGCCATACAGAATTTCTTTCATGGCAACCAGATTTTTGGAAACTTCTTCTGTAGCCTAATTTTAGAGAGAGGAGTTGGGAAGAGGAGAAAAAACAATTCATTTTAACAAACATATAACACGTCAAAATTTGTCAAATCACCTCTCTATATTACAGACCCATGGACCTATGAACAAGAAGCAAAGTGGGCAAGCTCCATCCTTGCCCTCAGGAGCTGGGCGCTATGTCTGCGTGCACATGGGGACCAACATGCATACACCACAGGAAGGCCAGCATGTGCACAACACAGACACCCAAACACTGAAAACCATGTTTATCTATGGCAGAAACAAAACAGGGAGAAAGGTTCACTTCCTCAAGTGGGAGGGAAACATCACCAAAGAGGCAACTGGGCTGATCCCTAAGAATGAAGAGATTCTGACAAGCAAGTATGGAGGATAAGGAATGGCATGAGCTAGGGATGAGGGAGAAGGGAAAGTACAAGTCTTATCACAGAAAAGGTGTGGAGGAAATAAGGGAAGAGAGCAGAAAATGGGTGAGTGCAAAGCTAAGGTGTTAGTGATAGATATAAAGTCACTAAAGAGCTTCTACTTCTGCTCAAGATAGAGAAGGGCCAGATTTACCTTTCCCCATGAAAAAGACTAATGAGTAGGATAAGATACATAAAACGACATTTTTTTTTTTTGAGACAGGGTCTCGTGCTGTCGCCCAGGCCTGGAGTGCAGTGGTGAGATCACAGCTCACTGCCGACTCAACTTCCTGGACTTAATCGATCCTCCTGGGTAGCTAAGATCCTCCTTAGCCTCCTGGGTAGCTGGGTTTCCCACAGGTGTGTGCCACCATGCCAGGCCGATTTTTGTATTTTTAGTAGAGATGGGGTTTTGCCATCTTGCTCAGGCTGGTCTCAAACTCCTGGGCTCAAGCGATCTGCCCAACTTGTGCTGGGATTACAGGTGTGAGCCACCGTGCCTGGCCAAAACAATGACTTTGAAACAGTGGACTTCAGGCAGTACAGGACAGTGATCCCTGAGAGAAGGAAACAAATGAGGGAAACTTCATAATTACCCTACCTTCTTGCTAGGCCACAGCACCAGGACGGGGGAGCCAGCCAGAAGAGGTGTTCTCCATTAGTTGAAGAGGCAGACCTGGCAACCCAGGGAGGCCAAGAAGACTAGAGTTTACAACAGGGCAGAGTGGCAGAGAGGAAAGAGCTGCCCAGAAAGAGCATGGCAGAGACCTGCAGAGCCCACTCATGTCTTCAACTGAGTACTGATAACCACACATGGGTAAGGAAAGTAGCCAAGGCTAGGAACCAGAACCTTGGAGCTCACATGGGGCTGGAAATAGCTCCTGTTTCCTACCAGCCTAATGGAAAACCTCATATTCACTAGTCATCAAGCAAAGTACTCAGGGGGTTTTGCCTCAGTAGGCATACAAAATTAATCCTAGGCCAAACTCTGATCTGGTCCTGCCCAACAAAGCTTAACAGCAATCCTGGAAAGGACCAAAACCGGAAAACACGACTAATAAGAAGAAGAACTAATCAACAGAAACAGCTGTGGAAATGGCACAGATGGCAGAATTACTCAACAAGGACATTAAAATACTCAATAAGGACATTAAAATAGTTACTACAACTACAAATAGTTATCTATCACTAACATGTACCATGTTAAGTAGAGGAATGAAAGGCATAAAAAAACACCTGAATGAAACACTTAGAAATAAAACTACAAGGTCTAAGATAAAAATTATACCAGATGGGATTAACAGCAGATTAGATAGTAGATAAGAATAGGTTAGTAAACACAAAGAGAGAGCCTAAAAACTATCTAAAATGAAACTTAGGGGGGAAAAAGGGACATCTCATTAGTGAGCTAGGGGATAACTTTAAGCAACCTCACAGATGTGTAACTGCAGCCCCCAAAAGAGGTGGAAGGGCAGACAAACTATTTGAAGACATAATGGACGAATGTTTTCCAAATTTAATAAAAATTGTAATTCCATAGAGCCAAAACATTGAAAAATCCCAAGCATGAGAAACAAGAAGACAATACCAAGGCACAGAATAATCAAATTGCTTAAATTCAGTGATAAAGAATCTTAAAAGTAGCCAGAGGGAAAAAATACTATGGACAAAGAATCAAAGAATGACAACAGACTTCTTGACAGGAATGATGCAAGTCAAAAGATAGTGGAGGAACATTGTTAAAATACTGAAAAACACAACCAAATTGTCATTCTAAAATTTTACACCACAGCAAAAATACCTTTGAAAAACAAAGGCGGAATAGAGTTTTTGAGACACAGAAAAGTAGAAATATTTCATCACCAGAAGACTTGTACTTCGTGAAATATTTAAGGAAGTCCTACTGGCTGAAGAAAAATGATTCTTCACAAAGAAATGAAAAGCAATGAAGACAGTATTAAACAAAATTTTCCCTTTTATTTAAAAGAGAATTGGCTCTTTAAAGCAAAAATAACAACGTATTCTGGGGTTATAACATATGTAGAACAAAAAATACGGCAACAATAGCTCAAAGAGGTGTAATGGAGGTACACAGGTATAATGTTGTCAGGTTCTTATAATAACTGAAGTAGTATATTTCCTGAAGATAGACTATAGTAAGTTAAAGGTGTATACTATAAGCCCTAAAGCAACCACTTAAAAAAAAAAAAAACCGAAAAACAAAATCAAAGATTTATAGCTAATAAACCAACAAAGGAGACCCAAGTAGAGTATTAAAGAGACATAACATAAAGGCTATAAAAACTTATATAAAGTGAAGCATTTATGATCAGAAATATACTTCAAGATTACTTTGCACAGATTCACAAAACCTCAGCGTTAAGCAGTACTTAGAGGATCATATAGTCTCATGGTATTCAGTTATGTAACCTTCTAAGCTTCCTATCAAATCACATGACTTTACCTTAAATATTTCCAGTGTCCAGTAATGCAGGATGAGCTGAATTCAGAATCAGATAGTTGTTAGACAAATTTACGAGACAAACATTGCTTCACTACACTGTCTACTGGCCCTGGGTTTGTACTGCAGATCAGGCAATATTTTAACTTCTCTTCCACATAAATCTCTTGAGGGCAGCCTGCCTATCTTCCCTAAATTGTCATCTTCTCCAGAAAACCTCCCCTCAGGTTCTTTGATTAACCTCCTAAGAAAGGCAGAGCTAACATTCAGCCCTATCCAGAATGGTACAATGCAGAAGACACCAGACCACCACTCCTCCATTACAAATGTTAGTGCAGCCCAAGGCTACCTTCTAAGAATTTTTGCAATTATATTGTATAATTGAGTCAGAGAGAGCTTACAGTGAACAAAATGTCTTTGGCTTTCACAGGTACTGCTTGGTAAAGACAGGTCTTTCCAAATGTTATTCTTAAACTGGGGCGAATGACACTGCAATGAAGACTTCAATTTTTCTATTTAATTTAATCTCATCAGCCCATCATTCAAGATTATGGCAGTAACTCTGGATTCTGATGGACATCCAATGTATTAGCTAAACGCTCTCACATACATATGAAAATCTCATATGTATGTCTCCCATGACCTGCCTCAATCATTGACTAAAATGCTGGAAAGGAATGACGCATGAATAGAGCCCATCATATCTTTGAATCATCATGCTCCTTTCAGTAATGATCTACTACAAATCTTGGAGCAGGGCTGCTCAGTCATGTATATATGCAACTATTTCCAAGTTATATTCCAAAGGTTTTTTTGGTCAAATACCTTGATAAAATTAAATTATACTATTTCTTCCCTATTTCCTGACCATGAGAAAATGCAGTTATTTGGTCTGACCTTTTTACTACACCTACACTAATATCTACTGACTATGACATTCTTTTCTAAATGCTTGTAAGTCATCCTCCTAATAATCCCCCTCAGTATCAATGCTAAGCCGAGTCTACCTTTTCCAGCCTGCTGTTACTACACTTCATTATCGGTAATGCCTTGGAGATCTGATGGTAGTTCATCATCCCATATGCAAATTCAGTAACCCAGAATGTAATTTTTCTGGGCCAAGAGAAAATCATTTAGCAATAGTAGGTGTTCTCTTACAATCTATCTGCATGTATTGGGTTTTCTACTCCATTTTACTATCTCTATTCTTCAGATAATTCTCTTTGACAGGAAGAATCTGATACCTAATAGGTTTTGTGAATGCATTATCTATTGATTCTACACCAGTGACCATAAGTAGGAGGCCTCAGCCTCCTTTGCTTCTCTGGTTAGATCAAAGTTTTAAAGCTCTTAACAATTCTTCATGTACCTCAGTTTATACTTTATTATATGATTTTCAAATTTGAATTCAGACCATATTCTATTCTGACAGCAAAAGATGAGTAAGAAAGAAGGGAGGTGAATAACTAAAGGGTACAGGTTTGTGAGGTGACAAAATGTCCTAAAATTAACTGTGGTTATGGTTACACATATTTGTGAATAAATTAAAAACCACTGAATTGTACCCTTCAAATGGGTGAACTATACGGCATGTAAATTATATCTCAATAAAGCTGTTCCCCCCATCCCCACCCCACCCCCCAAAAAAAGGAAGGAAAGAGAGAGACAGGAACATAATTAGAAAGCTATTTATGGCTGGGTGTGGTGGCTCACGCCTGTGATCCTAGCACTCTGGGAGGCTGCAGCAGATAGATCACTTGAGCCTAGGAGTTTGAGACCAGCCTGGGCAACATGGTGAGACTCCATCTCTTTTTTTTTTTTTTTTTTTTTTTTTGAGACAGAGTCTTGCTCTGTCACCCAGGCTGGAGTGCAGTGGCGCAATCTTGGCTCACTGCAAGTTCCACCTCCCGGGTTCATGCCATTCTCCTGCCTCAGCCTCCCCAGTAGCTGGGACTACAGGCACCCGCCACAACACCCGGCTAATTTTTTGTACTTTTAGTAGAGACGGGGTTTCACCGTGTTAGCCAGGATGGTCTCGCTCTCCTGACCTTGTGATCCGCCTGCCTCGGCCTCCCAAAGTGCTGGGATTACAGGTGTGAGCCACCGCGCCCGGCCAAGACTCCATCTCTTAAAAAAAAAACACAAAAGTTAGCTGAGTGTGGTGGCATGCACCTATAGTCTCAGCTACTCAGGAAGCTGAGGCTGAGATCAGGAGGTTGAGGCTGCAGTGAGCTATGATTGCACCACTGCACTCCAGCTTGGGTGACAGAGCAAGACCCTGTCTCAAAAAAAAGAGAGAGAAAGCTATTTGTTGTACTTCTGAATTGAATGGCATTGTGGACTCTGTATAAAGCCCCCTTCTCTTTCAGAAGGAATTCCCTCACCAGCTGATACTGCACCCGCCACCTACATTAATCCTCATCTGCTTTTGGATCTCCCCACCCCCATGCGTTCTTAGGAACTCACCCTGCCTGTTACCTCACCTCCTCCTCACAGAGTCAATCTCCCCTCACCTAATTTCTTCCTATCAGTTTTAAACCTGATTAAGACTCCATTTGACAAAATCGAATAGGCCCTCCTTAGATTCCACAACCGCCCCCTGCCCCCCTGCCCCCCTGCCCACGCGCCCCTGCCCAGCTACTACCCACACCTCATAATTAAACCTCTCAAAACATTTGCCTGTATTTACCATAGTCCAAGTCTTTTTCCTCACTCACTCTTCAGCCCAATCCTTTTGGCTAGTCACTGACCTGCATGTCATTAAATACAATTGTGTGTCTTTATTACTGTGAGAAATGGGGAAGTTCTTTTTCAAAGATTATGAAAAGTCACAATTTCTTACTATAAGATTGCTGTGCACTATTAGTGTGTATATGTATGTATTCCAAATCAGCTCTCCTAGCTTGCTCCAGCATGCCTGGACAGAATTAGGCACACCGGAGCCCACAGTGCATGCCATTCCTTATTTGGAGATGCTTCCTTAACTAGTCCTGGACAACTTCCTTTTCTTTGTTCTGTTCCCCTTACCTATTTAAGAAAGTTTTAAACTAATAGCCAATAGGATAAAGTGTAAAATGTGAGGTCCTATCCCAGCCAATGGAAACTGGACACAGCAGTAGGGTAAACACGTCAGGTTATAAATAACTCTGTCTCCTTTGTTCGGTGTGCTCTCGTGGCCAGACAACTATTGAGTAGCACCCTTTCTGCAGAAAGTAAAGCTCTCTCTGCTGAGAGATCATTTCTTCCCGCGTTAATTCTTTTTTTCTCTTTTTCCCGACACCAAAAACTTCATTCCCAACAATTACACCTGAACTTTCCACAGGATTCGGAATTGCTGATTACACCCGCCTCTGAAAACCATTCTTCTGGTCCTCCGTGACTCACCACCATCCTTATTTTCCCTCCTAACTCTCTGGTTGCTCCTTCTCTGTCTCCTTTTTGCCTCATTCACCTTGGCTAGGCCATTTAAACACAGGGAATCCCGCAAGGCAGGGTACTAGGGCTTCCTCTTCTTATTCTCTAGACTCTTAAGTGATCTCATCCACACCCACTGCTTTAATTAACAGTTAAATGCAGATGCCTCATAGATTCCTATCTCTAATCCAGTTCTTTTCTCCCAGGCCTTATCAGTACCACTGGGCAGCCTTCTCAAAATGTCTCCACTCGTAATGTCTCAAGGTACCTCAAATCGAATACATCTAAAATAGAACTCAAGATCTCGCCCTAGTGCCTGATATCCTGCCTTGTTCCGTTTCATGTAATGATACCACTGATGATGTTACTACACGTCAGAAATTTAGGAGTCATCTTCAACTCTCCCCTCTTCACCTCGCCCCAATAGCTAACTCATCACTGACTCCCAAATCCATCCATTTATCCCCGTCTACCATCACCACCCAAATCAAAGTTCCCATAACTCTTGCCTAGATTAATATATCGTGTACTGACTGGTTTCTTTGGATTGCAGGGGGCCTAATGGGGATGCATTCTCCACATCACACCTAGAATTATCTTTTCATAACATAAATATGACTAAGACATTGCTGTTGCTTAAAATGCTTCATACATTATTGATGAATGGCTGAAAATCAGCATTCCTGATCACAGGGTTTAAAATTCAGATTACAAATGGATGTAGAGAAATGTGATGTTATCATACCATGAAGTCAAGGGATTCCTTAAAAGTGTTTAATTGAGGCAGGCCACAGTGGCTCATGCCTGTAATCCCAGCACTTTGGGAGGCCAAGGCAGATGGATGGCTTGAGCTCAGGAGTTCGAGACCAGCCTGAAAAACATGGTGAGAGACCCTATCTCTCCTAAAAATACAAAAAATTAGCTGGGCATAGTGGTGCATGCCTATGGTCCCAGCTACTTGGGAGGCTGAGGTGGGAGGATTGCTTGAGCCTGGGGGGTGGGGGTGGGGAGTGGTGCAGAGGTTGAACTGAGCCGAGATGGTGCCACTGCACTTCATCCACTGCCTGGATGGCAGAGCGAGAGCAAGACCCTGTCTCAAAACAAACAAAACAAAACAAAACAAAACAAAACAAAACAAAACTAGACAAGAACAGACTTCCCTCTAAGAACGGGCAACGAAATAAATCACCTGAGATGTGAAAAAATAACTGCAGTTCAAAGGAAGGGAGCCAGCTAAAGAATTACAAGCAGATGTCTTCCTAACAAAGAGTTACAGCACTGAACAAGGAAAGAGACTGGCTGAGTGATTCAATGCTGGCCATTTCACTTAATGAGCATATGTCCAGAGCTTGGGTCTCAGTGTGCACACACAGCTCATAGTGTGGACAAGTCCCCAAGCTGAGCCCAATGAAAGCCAACTACTGCATCTGGTGCTCCACTAAAGAAAGAGCAGTCTGGGCCGGGCGCAGTGGCTCACGCCTGTAATCCCAACACCTTGGAGGCCGAGGCGGGCGAATCACGAGGTCAGGAGATCGAGACCATCCTGGCTAACATGGTGAAACCCCGTCTCTACTAAAAACAAAAACAAAAACAAAAACAAAAAATTAGCCAGGCGTGGTGGTCAGCGCCTGTAGTGCCAGCTACTCAGGAGGCTGAGGCAGGAGAATGGCGTGAACCCAGGAGGCGGAGCTTGCAGTGAGCCACCACTGCACTCCAGCCTGGGCGACAGAGAGGGAGACTCCCTTCTTCTCAAAAAAAAAAAAAAAAAAAGAAAGAAAGAAAGAAAGAAAGAAACAGCAGTCTGTTTCAATGTTGGAGGAAATACTTGCGGTGTTGGAAATCTTGAGTCACAGTACGGCCACACTGTTTACTGCTCTGTATGGACAATTAAAGGGTTTTCAAAGGTTAAGTTTGGTTGTGATTTGCCTTGTGCTCAATTTACAACGTAATTCCCTATGGTCTCACAGAGAAAATACTCTGGGAGAATACACATCAAACTCAGTATGGTCGTCTACCTGTGGGGTGGAGTAAGAAGAGTATTTGCTCCATTTCAGACTTGCTTGAATATTTTTTCTCACAATTCACATTCTACTTTTATTTAAAAAAGAAAAAAAAAGATGAGGTAAATTATATAGATCAAAATGATCATTATGTTGGTACTCATTGATTTCTTCTTCCATTTCTCCTTTTTCAGCCCTCCCCACGAGACATCCCCCCTCCCACATTTTAAAGATTTCTAACAAATAACCAAATAACCATGGACAATTATAAGCTGATTAAACAAAAAGCTTGAAAAATATATCCAAATATTACCAAAAGATGATCAGAAAATTTTAATAAGTGTTTCACAAGAGAAGGCAATTTAGCAAGTATTTACTAACTGAAGATGACACACACACAACAGATAAACTTGGTTGTGGCCGGGAGTGGTGGCTCATGCCTGTAATCCTAGCACTTTCAGAGGCCGAGCCGGGCGGACCACCTGAGGTCAGGAGTTCGAGACCAACCTGGCCAACTTGGTGAAACCCCGTCTCTACTAAAAAATGCAAAAATTAGCTGGGTGCAGTGGCATGAGCCTGTAGCCCTGGCTACTTGGGAGGCTGAGTCACGAGACTATCTTGAACCTTGGAGACAGAGGTTGCAGTGAGCCGAGATTGAGCCACTGCACTCCAGCCTGGGTGACAGAGCGAGACTGTGTTTCAAGAAGGAAAAAAACAAAACAAAACACAAAACCTTGGTTGTTCTTGTTTAGTTTTGACTTGGTTCCCTTCATAGCAGCTTGCATTAGGGACTATGCCTAGGGCCCCACCTCTGGCCTGCAGGCATTGTGTCAATATATTCTCTGCCCTTGTAACCACATCCTTCTCATCTCCTACCACCCCATTGGTCCCCTCACACCTACTGAGTAAGGTATTCACACTTACAGCTCCTCCAAACACTGTATCCTTTTCAAGCTGCTGAATCATCATGTCACCTAATCCACTGAACCCTTAATGACCACATTCCAGGTCCTGCCAAGCCTGCACATTTCAGTGCCACTCATGCGAGCAGCTCAAGGTCTCTTGGCTCCCCTACATAATCTTAAATGTGCTTTATTCAAATCTTTCTCTACTTGAGCTCCCAAATTTCTGAGCACTGTAGAAAAAGTGATGGAACTTGTGCACATTCGGTTCACCAATACACCATGTCATTCGACTTCAAAGCAGCTCAGAAACAATCCTTTAAACCGGGCTGATTTCCAACCAGTAACTCCCAGCAGCACATATTTCAAGACGGCTCCACTTTCCTCAAGAGCCATTAGTCTCTCTTTACTCCTTTATCTGAACATCTAGCTTCACTCCTCCTATATTAACATAAGACTTTCTAATTAAAACATTCTCAACTTCTTCACTACATCTTGATGTATTTCTGCATCCTATCTCAAACTTGTCAACACACTCAGAATCACCTGAGAAACTTTTAGAAGAGATGCTCAGTTCCCCCGAGATAATTTTTTTTTTTTTGAGATCAGGTCCAGCTCTGTTGCCCAGGTGGAATGCCGTGGTGCAATTATGTCTCACTGCAGCCTTGACCTCCCAGGCTCAAGTGATCCTCCCACCTCAGCCTCCCGAGTAGCTGGGACTACAGGTACACACCACCATGTCTGACCACGTTTTAAATTTTCTGTAGCAATGGGGTCTCATTATGTTGGTCAGGCTGGTCTCAAACTCCTGAGCTCGAGTTATCAGCCCCCTCAGCCTCTCAAAGTGTTGGGATTACAGGCATGAGCCACTGAGCCTGGCTCCAAGATACTTATTAATGACAAAAGGAAAAATAGTAATTTTCCAGTAGACACCACCTTAACCAAATGATGTTACTGACCATCATCAGTAATGAGACTATTGACATCACTGCCTCCTGAACTGATGCAATGAAAAGGGTACTTCACTTCTGTGGTATTCTTGCAAATGCATAATCGACATTGAATCATGAAGAAACATCAGGCAAACCTAAATCAAGGGACACTCTATAAAATAGCTGACTAGTATTTCTCAGAAGTACCAAGGGTCATAAAAGTCATAAGAAAGACTGAGGAACTGTTTCAGATTAAAGGAGACCTAGGGAGATGTTACGACTCCTTACATGTAACGTGTGATCCTGAATTAGATTTTGGTTCAGAAAAAGGACATGAGTAGGACAACTGATGAAACTTGAAAAAGGCCTGTGCATTAGTTAATAGTATTATACCAATGTTATTTTTTGGATTTTGATCATTGCCCTGTGGTTATAAAAGACGTTAACATTTAGGGAGGCTGGGTGAAAGGCACTCTTCTAAACCATTCTGTAAGTCTGATAAGTTCATCAATAATCTTTTTGCCTTTTCTTCACAGGTAAGGGGCATCCTACTTAGTTCCAAGGCTGATGGCTCTCTCTGTGCACTGGAGAAAGGGCTCCCAAACAAAAAGGAGGTTAGCTTTGACTCAGGTACCCCCTGTGCAATTGTGCCAGTTCTGTGGCCTCATGGAAACCTGTTGGGTCTTACTGGACCATCCGATAATTAAGGGAACTGGACCAGATGACCCCTAAGACCCATTCCATTTCTTTAAGATCTCAAACTCCAAATAAAGGTCTTCAATTCTCTTTTGCCCTGTCATCTACATTCCTTCTCTCACCCTGGACATCTCTGTCTCTACTCAAGCTAACATAAAAGCCTGAATGCTCACACTCCTTCTTTCCACTCTTAAGAGCTCCTGCATCCAGGAAGACTCTCCTCCCTCCCATGACTCTCTCCTCCTCTGATGCCTACAGCAGCTGTGACCTTATTTCAGTTGCTGACCTTGTAAGTGCTATAACCTTTCACACATACCTCTCATCTCCCTAACACATTCAAGGGCTTTGGAAAGCGCTTATGATGGCAATTTACACATGGAATGACCTGATGATTTTGTTAACTGACTGAATTGTCTGGGAAGTTTCCTCAGTTGAACATGGTGTTCCAAGACACAGATGCTACATTTCTATGTACCAGTTAGCCTCATATTACTTTTCATGGGCAGACTGCTTTATTAAAAGTAGCCAACTGTTTTATAGATCATGGTCAAGAAGAAAGGCATAAGAGAACAGCCCCCCTTTATAACAAGCCCACTCACTTGCCTAGAAAGAGATGCGGATCATCCCTTACTGCTGACTCGTCTGGGAGGGAGGTACAGAGTTTTGTTTCAGTTCTTAGCTGTTTCCTTATGGCTTCTGAGAAGTGCTTCATCCTGTGTGGCTGTACAGAGCAGCCGTATGTGGTGGGAGTGTGGAGGCTCCAAAAGAGCACAGCACAGAGGAAAGGGTCTGGGGCTTGGCAAAGCTTCTCAGATCAAGGCTCTGAGTTGAGAGGTGAAGTCCCTATGTCCCATGGGGCCAGGCATATTAATTCTAAACTATGGAGCCTGACTTCCACATATGATCAAATGATAACAACTTCATCTTTAATTACATTTAATAATTTTTTAAAGTTAAAATATTTAAGTGTTAGGATCAACTTAAGTAGTAACCAGTATCCCAAAGTTCACACCTAATGCTCACCTCACTAATAACAGTATCAGAAACTAAACTTTCCCTCCCAGGGTGAGGACATAGGTAACTATAGTCACGCACCACATAACGTCTTGGTCAACAGCAGACCACAGAGACAACTGTGGTCCCACAGATACAATACCATATTTTTGCTGTACCTTTTCTATGTTTAGATAAACAAATACTTGCCATTGTGTTCCAACTGCCTACAGTATTCGCTATAGTAACAAGCTACACAGATTTGTAGCCTAGGAGCAACAGGCTGGAAGAAATCGCCTAATGATGCATTTTTTGGAATGTATCCCTGTTGTTAAGTAACGTGTAACAGGACTTCAAATTTTTAAGGATAGAGTCCATAATAACCTCTTCAAGTAGCACTAAGGCTATGAGATTTTTCACTGCCTGCTTTCCCATTAAAAAATAAAACAGGGTGGGAAAATAAGCAATTAGTAAGCTAAACATTAGTACAAATGGCCTTTTCAGAGATCACCAAAACCTCAGGAGGTTTCGTATTAACTCTCTTGACTTAAATCCAATATTCCCACGGTACCTATCAGTGCACTATTTTACTGTCACTAGAGGCAATTGCTGATAAAAAGTAGTGATACAAAAGTACAATTTCAGAAGACTCGAGAAGACAGCTCACATACCCATTAGTGCTTCTATGCAATGTCCTTGAAGTACTCACAGCCCTTACCAACACTCCTCCTCTGGACTCAAGCACTCAGTAGATCCAAACCGGCCTTACGTTAGGAAACAAGGTGACAAGAAGGCTACTTCCACATGAAGGGACAGGACTTTACTTGGTGAGATACAAGACTGGGCTGCCCTCTTCACTGTCCCCAATTTTTAGTAGTTAGTAGCAATTCTAACCTCAATATAGAAAGCACACTTAAAGACAAACATAGTAACATGCTGAAGTATACAAATGGCTAAGTCAGACATTAAAAACCTTACAAAAGATTCTATTTCATAGTAATAGTAACAATCTTAAAAGGATAAAATATTCTTCCTTCTTATCAGAGGCAAAGGCTTTTAGATACGCCACTGGTAGGAAAATAAATTGGTACAACTTTACTGGAGGGCAATTTGGCAAAATGTTATTGAAGAGTTTTAAAAGGTGCAAGGCCTCTGACTCATTTCTGCAACTTCCTGTGAATTATACTTTCAGGAATTTACCCTATGGAAACAGACAAGTACACAAAGGTAAGTACATGCAGTGTTACTTACAACAGCAAAGAATTAGAAGTAAAAGTTATCCCACTGAACTAGTTTAATCATTACGTACCCATAAAATGGAAGAACCACGGCAGGCTTTAAAAATAATTGAGGGCCAGGGGTGGTGGCTCACACCTGTAATCCCAGCACTTTGGGAGGTGGTCAAGGTGGCGATCACTTGAGGTCAGGAGTTCAAGACCAGCCTGGCCAACATGGTGAAACCCCATCTCTATTAAAAATATGAAAATCAGCCAGGTACCTGTAATCCCAGCTACTTGGGAGGCTGAGGCACAAGAATTGCTTGAACCTGGGAGGCAGAAGTTGCAGTGAGCTGAGATTATGCCACTGCACTCCAGCCTGGGTGACAGAGCAAGACTCCATATTTAAAAAAAAAAAAACAAAATTGAGATCTATATGCACATGAAAAGATGTTAAAATTTAAAATTAAAAAAAAAAAAACAAAAAAAACACCAACAGGTTACAGAGCAGCATGACCCCATACTCATTTACTTATCTGCCCCAGAGAGAGGGAGAAAACAAGCTAGAATATGAATGAGAATCCCCACCAAGTTAACAGTAGTCATTTCACGTGGTACTGAATTAAGGATAAACTTAATTTTTTTCTTTATAGTCTTGTATTTTCTGCTTTTTGGGGGAATGAACATACATCATATACATCATTAGAACATGACTTTGTATAGATACAGAAATAAATTAGAATCTATGAAGGAAACAAAGATCTTTCTCGCACACACTCATACACACTTCCCTACTACACAATGTAGAATTCCAATATACTAGTTAGAATAAAGTAAAACTAAAAAAGTGGATGAAAGGCCAGGTGCGGTGGCTCAAGCCTGTAATCTCAGCACTTTAAGAGGCTGAGGCGGGCGGATCATGAGGTCAGGAGATCGAGACCATCCTGGCTAATACGGTGAAACCCCGTCTCAACTAAAAATACAAAAAATTAGCCGGGCGTGGCAGGCGCCTGTAGTCCCAGCTACTGGGGAGGCTGAGGCAGTAGAATGGCATGAACCCAGGAGGTGGAGCTTGCAGTGAGCCGAGATCGTGCCACCGCATGCCAGCCTGGGTGACAGAGCGAGACTCCATCTCGGGGGGGGAAGAAAAAAAGTGGATGAAGTGAGACAGAGCACCTGGAACCATGACCTACTTGTTTCTCCAGAGCAATGAACTAGTGACACTCACAACCACTTGTGTGGATCTCATGGGAATGATGCTGAGTGGAAGAAAGCCCATCTCAAAAGTTTACACACTATATGATTCTATTTATTTAACATTCTTGAAGTAATAAAATGTATAGACTTGGAGAACAGATAAGTGTGATGCAATTGCATAGAGCTATATGCATATCCACACAAACTGTAAAACTGGTGAAATCTGAACAAGCCCTGTGGATTATACCAATGTCAATGCTCTGGTTTTGATATTGTATATAGTTATGTGAGAGGTTACCACTGGGGATATGGGTGAAAGGTACATGGGTTCTCCTGTACTCATTTCAGCAACTTCCTGTGAATTAATTAATTTCAAAATAAACAAAACAAAGTAAGGCAACATAAGACTTCTATAGCGTAAGACCTCTTGCACTCCCCCTCAGTATACCCTTAGGTTGTCTATAAGGCCCTTTTCATTCTACCAAAGCTTGTTTCTCTAGTCTTACTTCCTACCATTCCTCTTTATCTCCACCTCTTAAAGTCACACTGAACTTGTCACTGTTTTCTGAACATGCCATAGGTTGTTTCAAATTCTGTTCCCTTTCACACTTTGCCTGCCAAAAACCTTAAAAATCAGCTTAAACGTCACTTCAAACCTGTCATCTCTGTATCTGTCTCTGACAGACGTAGGAACTGCTTTATCCTCTTGGTTCCCACAGAATTTTATCTGCGCCCCCAAGTCCCTCTATATTATATTATTTACATGTGTATCTCCTCTACTGGATTATATACTTTTTTAAGAACGGGGACAAGGTTTGACTCCTATGCCTATCTGCCCACACAGAGAGGCACTAAAATGTCTGTGGATTCAATCAAACTGGGGATCTCTTGCAAGAGATAATGATGCAAGTAAAGACAGTAGACAACAACAAAGGCAACCATGCATGAGGAAAACGTTAACTCCAATGCGCACCACTGTTAAGTCATCTTTTTAGAAATAATTTTGAAGGGATCTATTTAGCAAAATTTTCCATACCTGTGTTCATTAGTTTACATAACTGAATTGATTCTAACTTACATATAACTAGTTATTGTTAAGAAATGCCTCAAAGAGGCCAGGTGTGGTGGTTCATGCCTGTAATCCCAGCACTTTGGGAGGCCACAGTGGGAGGATCACCAGGTCAGGAGATCAAGACCATCCTGGTCAACATGGGGAAACCATGTCTCTACTAAAAACACAAAAATTAGCTGGGCATGGCAACGCATGCCTGTAATCCCAGCAACTCAGGAGGCTGAGGCAGGAGAACCAGTTGAACCCGGGAGGCGGAGGTTGCGGTGAGCCGAGATCACACCACTACACTCCAGCCTCGCAACAGAGCTAGAGTCTGTTTCAAAAAAAAAAAAAGAAAAAAGAAAAAAAGAAATGCCTTAAAGAGCTCAGATTTGGGGGGAATGATGAGGCTTAAATTATTATTTTTTGTTTTTTTTGAGTTTCTTTAAACCCAATCTTTAACAAAAGAATCATTTTAAACAAGAGTCCTCTAAATATTTACCCATTTATATTTACTGCCTGAAATATCAATTCATTCTACAAGAAGAGATTAAATGACCTTGTTGAAAAAAGAAAGTTCTATATCAAAGTAAATGAAGACCAAGATGTGAAATGGAATCTAAAAGTGAACTGACAGATACTGTTGGTGCCAAGTATTTGATAATAAGAACAATTCTATTATCACATTAATTCCAGTGATAAATGCTTTCTACCTCCCCCAACCCCCACCTCTTTACTAAAGAAAATGTCTGCATAGTCTAAGCTGAATGATCATGGACTAAGGAAAGTCTATTAATAACCTTCTGGTGTCCAAGATTACTGTAAACAAGTTTAGTAACCATGAGTCACTGTTAAATGGCCATGCTATGAAGAGGCTACTCCCTTTCCCCCCTCTTAAAATATGTCAGCAAACTTACTCCTCTCATGAAATGAGTGAATATAGCTATTCAACCCTGTGAACACAAGCATTCATCGTAAGGAAGGGAACCACCTATAAGCTGAGCAAGGCAGCCATACCTCCTTTATACAGCATGTGGTGGGCGAAGAGTGCGTAAATAGTCCCCACATACACCACATCTGTTTGGTTGTTGGCAGTGAAAGACTAAGTCCCACCCCACCCCTGCCCCTAGTTACCTAAAAATAAGGATGGTAACATTAACCGCTTTTTTAAAATGTAAGAAAATTAGTTTTGTATGAATTCTTTTAAAAGAATTAGTCTCCTAAGAGACTAATCTATTTGTATCATACACAATTCTTAATGTGGTAACTATGTACCATATAAAACAAATACAAATACCAACATATAACAAATAAAGGAATAAACACTCAAATGTTATATTTATCATTTTGTCTGTGAGATCACAAGAAATGGATGGAAAAAGCCCAGGGACATAATGAATAAAGTGGAAAAAGGCATAATTTTACCATGGATTTGGCAGAGCTAGGTGTGAATTCCGTCTTTGACTCTAATATAATGAGTCAAAGTAATAAGCCTAGTAAATAACAGCTTTCTTCATCTGGATCACGGGAAACCAGAATCAATTCTATCTCAAAATAAGATGGGGGACTCTATACAAAGGCACCTTGCAAAGTATGGTGGTATATCGATGTAAGGATATGTCAACAGTGCAAAGCTTGAATTCCTTCTAGAATACTTAACTAAGTGGTCACCTAGTCCATGTCAATACCTCTTCAGAAACAGAAAACTTGCTGTCTTCTGAAAAAGTCAGCTTCCACTTACTGTTTTTCCTAATATCAAGACAAAATTGGACTTCTTGTTTTATTTCCACTCATGGGTCTGAATTCTACCTCCTGCCACGATCAGTTCGAATCCTTTTGTTACATTATATGGTCTCCCAAATACATTTTACTAAGAGCAAATCCGCCCTACAACATTACTCTGCTCAAATCTTCTCCCTAGGCTGTACCTCACATCTTGAGGTCATTCAACTGTTCCTCACAGTAGAGTTTTGAATTTCTATGTCAGCCTGGTCACTCCTCTCTTGGCACACTGCAGTTTCTCTACATCCTCAAGTGTGGACTTGCCTATACAGAGTAGAAGATAATCGCTGAATTTCAATAGTGTATTTCAAGTATTGCAATCTAGCCTTCCAATGGCCTTTCTGGGTGCTTTATGGTTTCTAAGCCACATCTGCCCCAGTTGGTACATAAACAGTCTTTTTTTATTCACTACTGAGTTATAAATGACATACAATGAACTCCACATATTTAAAGTACCTAATGTAACACACACACACACACACACACACACACACACACATATATATATATATATACACATACACCCATGAAACCATCAAGATAGTGAACACCTCTGTAACCACCAAAACCGTAACCACCAAAAGCTTTATGCTCCTTTGTGGTTCCCTCCCTCTACCATGCAACCCTTCCCCTAAACATCTTTATCAAAGCTAAAGCAACCACTGATCTGCTTTCTGTAATTATGGATTAGCTTTGTTTTCTAGAGTTTTGTGCAAATAGAATCATATACTATGTGCTCTTTATAGTCTGGCTTCTTTTGTTCAACATAATCACTTTGAGATTCATCCATGCTGTTGTATACAGCAATAGTTTTTTTTTTTTTTTTTTTTTATTGCTGAGTAGTACTCTGTTACATGGATGTACTACAGTTGGTTTATCCACACGTCTGGGCCATTTACAAATAAGGCCGCTATGAACATTTAAGCAAAAGTCTTTTCATGAACATATATTTCTTGTTCTCTTGGGTAAATACTTAAATGGCTAGATCATATGGTTGGTTCGAGTTTGGTTTAAAAAGCTGCCAAACTAGGCCAGGCGTGGTGTCTCACGCCTGTAATCCCAGCACTTTGGGAGGCCGAAGCAGGCAGATCACGAGGTCAGGAGATCGACACCATCCTGGCTAACACGGTGAAACCCCGTCTCTACTAAAAAATACAAAAAATTAGCCAGGCGTCTTGGTGGGCACCTGTAGTCCCAGCTACTTGGGAGGCTGAGGCAGGAGAATGGTGTGAACCAGGGAGGTGGAGCTTGCAGTGAGCCGAGACTGTGCCACTGCACTCCAGCCTGGGCAACAGAGTGAGACTTCGTCTCAAAAAAAAAAAAAAACCTGCCAAACTATTTTCCAAAGTAGTCATACCATCTTATATTCCCACAAGCAGTTCCAGCTGCTCTGTATCCTTGCCAACATTTGGTATAGTCAATATTTTCCATTTTAGCCACTCTAATAGCTGTGTAGTGGAATCTCCTTATGGTTTTACTACACAATTTCCTAATGATTAACATCTTTTCAAGGGCTTATTTGACATCTGCCTATCTCCTTTGGTGAAATGCATATATGAGTATCTTGCCCACTCTTAACTGGATTGTTTCTAACTGTTAAATTCTGAGAATTCTTTATATATTCTAGATGCAGTCTTTTATCAGATATATGCTTTGCAGACTTTCTTCCAGTTTGTGGTTTGTCTTTTTCATTCTTCTAACAGTGTCTTCTGAAGAGCAGGTTTTAATTTTTATGAATTCCATTTATCATTTTTTTTAAAATGAATTGTGCTTTTTGCATAACATCCAAAAATTATTTGCCTAACCCAAGGTCACAAAGATTTTCTTCTGGCAACTTTATAATTTTAGGTCTTACATTTGGCTATGTGATCCATTTTGAGTTAATTTTTAAATATGGTATGAGGTCTGAGTCCTATCTTTCTGCCTACTAAATAGTTTCAGCACCAATTGTTGAAACAACTACCTTCTTTCTGCACAACTGCATTTATGCCTTTGTCAAAAATCAATGTTCCATACATGTGTAGGTCTATTTCTGCACCCCAATCTGTTCCATTAATATATCTATCTTTGCACTGACACCACACTGTTTTAACAACCGTAGCTTTTTAAGTCTAGAAATCAGACAGTGTGAGCCCTCCAACTTTGTTTTAATTAGTTATTTTGATTACTCCAGGTCTTTTGCACTTCCATTCAAATTTTAGAACAAACTCTTTGATTTAAAAATCCTGCTGGAATTGCACAGAATCTCTAGATACATCTGGAGAGAAGTGACATTTTAACAATATTGAGTTTCCCAACCCATGAACAACATGTATCTCCTGCTTATTTGGGCTAATTTCTCTTAGCAGTATCTTGCAGGTTTCAGTGTACAACTCTTTCACTTCCTTTGTCAGATTTATCCCTATTTCATGTTTTTATGCTATTCTAAATGGTATTTTTAGCATTTCATATTTTTTGATGCTATTCTAAATGCTAGTTTTTTTCTTTTTCTTTTTTTCCATTCTTTTTTCCCAATTACACCTAACACTCTTGAATACAAGGTATTTTTAAATTTCAATTTTGGACTGTTCATTGCTACTATACAGAAATACAACTGATTTCTGTATATTGACCTTATAACCTGTGACTCGCTAAACTTATTTACTAGTCTACTAGTTGTGTAGATTCCTTCAGTTTTTCTATGTAGATGATCATGTCATTTACAAATCAAAAGTTTTACTGCTTTCTTTTCAATCTGAATGCCTTTAATTTATTTTTATTGCCTGACTGCATAGGCTAGAACCTCCAAGTACGAAGTTGAATAGTTGTGGTGAAAGTAGATATCCCTGTCGTCTTCTTGATCTCAGAGATAACATGACTTAGCCTTTCACCATATGTATAATGCTAGCTGTAGGATTTTTGCAGATGCCCTTTATCAGCTTGAGAAAATTCCCTTCCTCTATTTCTAGTTTGCTGAGATTATTTTTTTTATCAGGAATAGATGCTGGTTTTTTTCCCCTTTTCATCAATTGACATGTACTTTTTCAATATAGTGAATTATACTGATTAACTTTGTAATGTTATACTAGCTCTGCATTCTAGGAATAAATCCCACTTGGTCTACTATTCAATTTGCTAAAATAGAGAAATTCTGCATCTATGTTCGTGAGACATATTAGTCTGTAGGTTTTATTTTATTGTAATACCTTTGTCTGATTTGGCGATGATTATAATTCTGACCTCACAGAATGAGTTAAGAATGATTTCTCTTAAATTTTCTGGAAAGGTTTACATAGAAATTGTATTATTTCTTCCTTAAACATTTGGTAGAAATCTCTAACAACGCCATCTGGGCCTAGAGTCTTCACTGTGATAAGGAAGGGTATTAACTACATAGGGCTATCAGGTTATCTATTTTTTCTTGAGTTAGCTTTGGCAATTTGTGTCTTTGGAGTTTGTCCATTTCATCTAAGCTGTTGAGTTTAATGGCATGCAGTTGTTCATATATTCCCTATTAACTTGTACAATCTGTGGTAATGTCACTACAGGAATCTCTCACTCCAGATAATGGGAATTTGTGTTTTCTTCCTCCTGGTCAGTCTTAGCTAGAGTTTATCAATTTTCTTGATCTTTTAATTTTTTTTTTCTATTTAACTGATTTGTTTTGATAGCTATTTCCTTTCTCCTGCTTACTTTGTATTTAATTTGCTCTTGTTTTTCTAGTTTTTAAGGTAGAAACTCAGACCTTTCTTCTTTTTAAATATATTTTAACATAGATATTTAGTGCTAGAAATTTCCCTGAGTAAAGCTTAGCAGCATCCCACTAATTCTGAGATGTATTTTTGCTTTTATTCCACTCAAACTACTTTCTTTTTTTTGAGACAGGGTCTCACTCTGTCAGCCAGGCTGGAGTCAAGTGGTGTGATCTCAGCTCACTGCAGCCTCCACCCCTGGGCTCAAGCGATCCTCCCACCTCAGCCTCCCGAGTCCCGGCCCTTTTTTTTTTTTTTGTATTTTTAGTAGAGACAGGGTTTTGCCACATTGGCCAGGCTGGTCTCCAACTCCTGAGCTCAAGTGATTTGCCTGCCTCAGTCTCCCAAAGTGCTAAGATGACAGGCATGAGCCACTATGTCCAGCCTCAAACTACTTTCTAATATCTTCTTTGATCCATGAGTTATCTAGAAGTACGATATTTAGTTCCTAAATATTTTGGGATTTTCTAAGGATTTTTCTGTTATTCATTTCTAATTTAATTCTATTGCAGTCTTGGAACATCCATTGTATAACTTTATCCTTTAAAATGTACTGAGACCTTTTTCTTTGACCCAAAATATGGTCTACCTTGGTAGATCTTCCATGTGAACTTCAAAAGAATGTGTAGGTGTGTTCCACAGTTGTTGAGTGTTCTATAAATGTCAATCAGGTCAAGTTGGTTGACAGTACCATTCTGGTCTACCTAGAAAATCCTTGCTGATTTTCTGCTTGCTTGTTCTATCAATTATTGATAGTGGGGTACTGAAATCTCCAACTATTAATTGTGTATTTGACTACTTCTTGCAGTTCTATCAGGTTTTATTTTGCTTTAATTTGAAACTCTGTTACTAAGTGCATAAATGTTTAGAATTATTATATCTGTTGGAACATTTCACCCCTACTTTATCATAAAATGACTTTCTTTACCCTTGGTAATATTCTTTGCTCTGAAGTCTATTTTGTCTGCTATTAGTACAGCCCCTCCAGCTTTCTTTTTATGAGTGTTAACAAAGTTTATCTTTTTCCATTCTTCTTACTTTTAACCTATTTTAAGTTGCTAACTGTAAAGTACATTTTTTAATAGGCACCATATAGTAGGGATTCTTTCATCCAATCTGACAATCTCTGTTTTTTAAATGGTTATTCAGACCATTTATATTCAATGTGATTACTGATACAGTACATCTGAGTCTATCATCTTACTATTTGTTTTCTATACCACATCTGTTATTTAATTCCCTTCATCCCTTTTCTGCCTTTTTAAATTAATCAAGTGTTTTTAATGATTCTGGTTTCTTTTTGACACATGGTCTGTTTTTTTACATACAGAGTCATACTTTTATTTGTACTGTGTTTTGTCAATTAATATTAACCATTCCCTCTAACCACTGACCCACCACCTCCACCTAATTGACCCGTTTTTGGTGCCTAATTTAGTCACCCATAGAATGTGCTATTCTCCTCCAATTTTTGTCTTTCACAAACTTGGCTAATTAAACCCTTTAATTCTCTTCATATAACTTAATCACAATGAATGTCAGCTTAGACTTGAGAACTGTCCTAGATCACCAAAACCCTGCCAACAAGCTCACAGTGACTCAATCATCACATCCATCAGTTATGATTATTTATCTAATAGGGAAAAATGTCCCCTGATCACCCTTAACTACAGGGAAGATGATGAACATAAACCTGTATGGACAATACCAGGACCACCAGTAAATATCTCTTGAGAAAGGACATTTATCTTACTACTACTGTGGGCAGTAGCACTGAAAAGAAATATAATACAGTAGTTGGCCACCATCACAGAATCCAGAGAACATACCTAGCTATGGTACTCTCTCCTCAGTCACAAATTCAATATATAAACTCTTATAAGTCTTAGCAATATCTGTTTTAACTAATTCAGATAAGATTAAGAATTCAGAAGAGAACAAGATGACTGTGTTTCATGTTATTAGTAACTCTGTTTTTGATTCCATTTTCAATAAATACAACTATTTGTTGAGCTCTATCTTTGAAAGGCTGATGGTCTAACAAGGGGAAAATAGCAAGCATATATCATTACGTATAGTGCACAGGAAACTAGAGCAAGATAAGGGGGAAGAGGAATGCCACACGGTAGGGTTGCATTTTAAATAGAGGATTGGGTGAAAAATGGCACTTGAGCAAAGACTTGAAAAATATAGGAGGTAAGCCAAATAGAGCACTAGGGAAAGAACCTTCCAGGCAAAGGAAAAAGCCAAATGCAAAGGTCTCCAACAGGCAGGAGTATGACTGGAGTGCATGAGGAAAGGAGACCAATGTGGTGAAGAGTATTAGGAGACAAGATCATAAAGTCATGGGCCTCATTGCTCAGGGCAGGAGTTGGCATTTATTCTTCTGTAAAGGAATAGACAGTAAATATTTTAGACTTTGCAGGCCATATAAGGTCTCTGCCTCATATACTTTGCTTTTTTAACCAACTCTGTAAATGTAAAAACCATTCTTAGCTCACGAGATTGATAAAAATAGGCCTTACAGGATTTGCCTGCAGAAATTACTTTAGGCCCCTGTTAGGACTTTGACTTTTACTCTAAGGAATATATTATTTGACTCATGTTTTGAAAGAATCACTATGGTTGTAGGGAAACCAAGGGAGACCAGTGAAGCAGTGAGCAGGACACTACAGTAATCCAGGGCAGAGAAAAGGACAGCTCAGTGGGAACAAGGAAAATGGGGAGAAGGGATTAGATTCTGGACTTTTTTTTTCTCCAGATAAAGTGGATAGATTTGGGGAGTGAGAAAATAGTCATGGGTGACCCTTAAGACTTTTGGCCTGAAAAACGGAAAGGATAGAGTTATGCTAATGATGAGCATGAAGAATGTGAGTGGAACAGGTTTTGAAGTATGCATTTTGCTTCAAAACAGAGTAGAACTTCTATCTGTAAAGCTTCAAAATTATCCTGCTGTGATCTGAATAGAATTGCTTTAAGCATGATTTGGGAAGAAATGGCATTTTAACTATATTCCATATTTACTTCTAATAACATAGGCCAGGTAATTCTTGTACCTCTGAACAACATCCTTGAGCTTTCTTCATATGGGTTCAGCGTACTTCCTGATGAAAATGTTCCTGGACATCTTATACTTATTTTTTTGCTGCTATAGTGAATGAGCTACTTTCTTGTAAAATTACATTTTCTAGATATGGTTGGTGATATGATTGGGATATCTGTTCCCTCCAAATCTCATGCTGAAATGTAACCCCCAGGCCAGGCATGGCAGCTCATACCTGCAATCCCAGCAATTTGGGAGGCCAACTGGGCTGAAGCTTAAGCCCGGGAGTTCAAGGCCAGCCTGGGCAACATTGTGAGACTCGGTCTCTACAAAAAATAGAAAAATTTGCCAAACATGGTGGCACATGCTTGTAGTCCCAGCTACTTGGCAGGCTGAGGACTGATTGAGCCCGGGAGGTGGAAGCTGCAGCAAGCGATGATCGTGCCACTGCACTCCAGCCTAAGTGATAGAGTGAGACCCTGTCCCAAGAAAACACATAACCCTAGTGCTGGAGGTAGGGCCTGGTGGGAGGTGTTTGGATCATGGAGGTGGATCCCTCATGAATGGCTTGGTGCTCTCCCCATGGTAATGACAGAGTTCTCACTGTGAGTTCATGCGAGATCTGGTTGTTTTAAAGACTGTAGTACTTCCTAGTCTCTCTCTCTCCTAATAAACTCTCATTTTTCCCATTAATTATCTTGTATTTTGTAAATGTTTATAAATACCTCTACAATAATTTCCCCTCTTTACTTGCAATAGGTATATTCTTTATTTCTAAACCACTTCTTTATGCATTGATTAGAATTTCCAGAACAATGCTCAACAGGTCGCAAGCACCTGGGTTTATAGTCATCAGATTTTCAGTATGACATCAGTTGTTTTTCACTGTTTTCAATTAGTAATGGATTTTCATCTTTCCATTGTTTTCAGGTCTCAGTACTCTCTTCGTTATTTGCATTAGTTGCTACTTCCTTTCGAATCCTGATAAGAAAGTGAACTGGAAATTCCAGGGTTTTTCCCTCCTAGTCTTAAACTATTTCAGCATAAGTAATTTGCATGGGCTGCTCTTCAGAAATGCCTTGCTTTGAACTAAAATTTATTTTTAATAAATTCAAATGTTTTTCTTTGTTTTGTTTATCCTAATAGCGAAATGTCTATTCTTGTTCAATGCTGGTTTAGGGCAGGAGTTCTCAATCTCAGCATTGTTAACATTTTTTTGGCTAGATAACCCTTTGTTGTGGGGAGCTATTCATTCCCTGTTTAACAGCATCTCTAGCCTGTACTAACTAGATGCCAGTAGTAGTATTCCCCTAGTGTTACAACCTGTAATGTCTCCTGACATTACAAGTGTCCCCTTCAGGGCAAAATTGCCCCTGGTTGAAAATCACTCATTTAGTCAAGCAGATGATATGGATTGCATCAGAGACTAAACTTGCCTTCTATCATTCAAGACTCATTTTCAATGTCACCTTCTCAACAAGACTTTCCCTACATAACCTACCTAAATTAGGACATTCTCCCTACCTGCAGCCACTCTCATACACAGCCTTTTAACTATCATAGTACCTTTCAAAGTGCGGACCCTTGAGGTCCTCAAGACCCTTTCAAAGCGTCTGTAAGGTCAAGGCTGTTTTCATAAGACATGTGCTTCCTCCCTCTGTATTGCTATTTATACTGATGGTGCTGACACCATCATGAACCAAGCATGAACAAAGGCAGTGACGCCAAACTTTAATAGCAGTTATTGCAGTCTTCATCACCGTGCACTCAGTTAAAAAAAGTCAGTCCATTGGGAGGCCAAGGCGGGTGGATCACGAGGTCAGGAGATCGAGACCATCCTGGCCAACATGGTGAAACCCTGTTCTCTACTAAAAATACAAAAAAAATTAGCTGAGTATGGTGGTGCACGCCTGTAGTCCCAGCTACTTGGGAGGCTGAGGCAGGACAATCTCTTGAACCCAGGAGGCAGAGGCTGCAGTGAGCCAAGACTGCGCCACTGCACTCCAGCCTGGCGACAGAGCGAGACTCCGTCTCAAAAAAGGAAAAAAAAAGGTCCAACTTAGGAATGTTCCTGAAGCAGTAAAAATTTAATTTTATTAAATCTTGACCTTTGAATATACATACAATATTTTTAACACTTGGAGTTAACAAATGGCATGTACATATAAAGTACCTTTGGCTCCTTATAGAATGGTTATCTTAAAGAAAAGCCCTTGTGTGATTATTTCAGCTATAAGTTCAACTAACTGCTTTTGTTATTGGAAGACAGACAGACACACTATTCAGACTTGAATTATCTGGCAGTTATTTTCTCTAAAATGAATAAAATGAACCTGTCACTTCAAGGAAAACGACCAACTATATTTGTTGCCAAATCTGAATTCTGAAATTTGACTAGATCATGAATAAGCTTGACCACATCCCAATACTTAAGACTCTTCTAATGAGATCAGTGGTGTTATTTAAAAATGTTAATTTTTATAATCTGTATAATGTGTCAACATCTGGGAGATCTGTATATGTCAGTGATCCAACACAGATGCTCCTCATAAACTGATGATGGAGCTACATGCAGATATACCCATCAAAAGTTGAAAATATTGTTAAGTCAAAAGTGCATGTACTACACACCCAACTCACAGAACATCACAGCTTAGCATGGCTTACCTAAAATGAGCTTGGAACACAATAGCCTATCATGGGCAAAATCCTCTTACCCAAAGCCTATTTTATAATAAAGTGTGGAATATCTCATGTAATTTATTGAATATTGTTACAAAAGTGAAAAACAGAATGGTTGTATGGGTACTCAAAGTATGGTTTCTACTGAATGTATACCTATTTTGCAACATTGCAAAGTTGAAAAATCTTAAGTCAGGGACCATTTGTACTTTCTTTGTTTTGTTTTTTTTTTGTTTTTGAGACAGTCTTACTCTGTCACCCACGCTGGAGTACAGAGGCACGATCTTGGCTCCCTGCAACCTCTGCCTCCTCCGTTCAAGCAATTCTCCTGCCTCAGCCTCCTGAGTAGCTGGGACTATAGGTGCGTGCCACCACACCCGGCTAATTTTTGTATTTTTAGTAGAGACAAGGTTTCACTATGTTGGTCATGCTAGTCTCGAACTCCTGAACTCAAGTGATCCGCTCGACTAGGCCTCCCAAAGTGCTGGGATTACAGGTGTGAGCCACCATGCCCAGCCACCATTTGTACTTTCTGAACAACCAAAACATGTTATAAAATCATGTACTGGTAAAAGTTTCGTTCAAAGTACAGAGTATAAAAAGTTCATTCATGTAGTTTAATGTTCTGTAATGCAATCAAGAAACCACCAATTGCATGGTATTAAATATTTTACATTATCTGAAAGGCTATTAAAATACTGCTCTTTTTTCTAATTACACAGCTGTGAGACCAGGTTTTCTTTTTCTCGTCTTTGTTTTTTTTTTTGAGACAGAATCTCGCTTGTCACCCAGGCTGGAGTGCAGTGGCACCATCTCGGCTCACTGCAACCTCTGCCTCCCAGGTTTAAGCAGTTCTTGTGCCTCAGTCTCTTTGAGTAGCTGGGATTACAGGCGTGTGCCACCGTGCCTGGCTAATTTTTGTATTTCTAGTAGAGAAAGGGTTTTGCCATGTTGGCCAGGCTGGTCTCGAACTCCTGGCCTCAAGTGATCCACCCACCTCGGCCTCCCAGGGTGTCAGAATTACAGGCATGAGCCACCACTCCCAACTTTAAGTATACATTTTCTTTATATACTTAAAGCAAAATAATGTTTGAGCAGTTTGATTACAAACATAGCTAAGATAAGCCAGCTGTTTTCTATTAAGCCAGACACGGAGATTTTCAAAACTTAAAACAATGCTACACTTCTCACTAAATTTTTTGTTTTGGACAATATGGTTATTTTTCATTAAAACACATTATTTATAACTTGTAATGAGTTTATTACTTTTAAATGTATTAATAAATATTGTTAAATTTTTCAGTTTTAATTTGTAATAGGGTAGCATCAATAGATAACACACCTATACTTACACGAATCTCTTTTGGGTCCTCAATAATTTAAGAGTATAAAAGGGGTCTTGAGACCCAAAAGTTTAAGAAATGTGCTCTATCATCACATCAGTACATTCTATTGCTTTTGTGGCACTTGCTGCCAACTGAAATTCTTTTTCAGCTATGTTTACTTATTTACTGTCCAGCTTTCTTAATTAGAACGGAAGCTACGAAAGAGCAGAGACCTTGTTCATCTTATTGAGTATTATATCCCCAGTGCCTAAAATCTGACCCAGCATTTAGGTGTTCAGTACGATTCTGATGAATAGAATGAATGTAATGAGTAGACAACATATTTAGCCACAGACAAAAGATGAACCATTTTTAATTTATGGGACATACACATTATCCTTTCATCAATTTGCAGTTTTAAGATAAGGATTAAGGAATAGCCACTGAGGGCAGTTCCAGCAGACATGTATCATGTCTACTCTGTGGGGTCTGCTCTCTCCCGACTGCCTCTAGAGGCCAGTCTTGGGTACCTCTGCTCTTTGCTGGCTGTTAGCTGCCTCCACCTGGTGCAAAGCCTGTAGGGCTATCAGGACTGCTGAGTGCTTCCTAAAGTTGAAGATGTCCAACTGTGAGAGGGAGGTCAAGTTATGTGCTATTACCCTCTGAGTTAGTAGATGTTAATGTGGTTCAGTCAAAAGTCCCCTCTAACTTCTTGAGGTCACTTTGTTTCTAGTTTCTGGAGCTAAACTTTTCATATTTTTATATCCCCATTGACCAATAAAATGAGAAATGTACTTGAATCCTGCGTTTACAATACCACTTACCAGCTGGGCACGGTGGTTCACACCTGTAATCCCAGCACTTTGGGAGGCTGAGGCTGGTGGATCACCTGAGGTGCGGAGTTCGAGACCAGCCTGACCAATATAGTGAAACCCCGTCTCTACTAAAACTACAAAAATTAGCCGGACATGGTGGTACGCACCTGTAGTCCCAGCTACTCTGGAGTCTGGGACAGGAGAACTGCTCGAACATGGAACGTAGAGGTTACAGTGAGCTGAGATCGTGCCACTACACTCCAGCCTGGCTAACCGAGCGAGACTCCATCTCAAAACAACAACAACAACAACAACAACAACAACAACAAATAAAAAACAAACAAAAAACAGTACCACTTACCTTACCCAAGGAAGTTCTCTTAGAATCTATATTGTCTTATTATAAATTGTTTCAATTAATCTAGTTTCCCAGTCCAAAGGGCATTAGAAACATTGAACAGAATGAGAAAATGCAAGGAAGCTGGGTAAGCTTAAGATCAGCCAGCAGCACATACCAAAAGATAATAAGCAATAAAGGAAAATACAGACAGAACAGAAATGATAACTCATAGGTACCGAAGCCAGGACCATTTAGAGTAGGAATAATTAGTTGTATACTCCTCAAACTCACCTGAAAGCATCCGTACTACACTGAAGTATAATCCTTATGACAGAAATCCCAAATCAAATAATGATTATGACATTCTAAGAGGTTACAACAGATACAAGTGATACAACAACTATGCTGCTTAGTTACCCTGAACTAAGGTACCACCTTAGTTCCAGTACCATCACACTCCAGCCTGGTATTATTAATGGTATGTCATATTTTTTACAGTTAAGTACTTACATGTGAATAAGTGTAAGAAAATGACTGCTTATCGGTAGCATATAAATTCAGAGTCAGGAATGATGATGATGCCACAGAACCAGAGACTATGACATTGGTGGCTGAGATAGCAACATCTTTGCCTTTTGATACTTCAATGTACACAAACTTCATTTAATGCAAATTTAAAATATTGTATAAAATTACCTTCAGTCTATGTATACAAGGTCTATATAAAACATAAATGAATTTCATATTTAGACATGGGTCCCATCCCCAAGATCTCATTATGTACATGCAAATATTCCAAAGTAAAAAAAAAAAAAAATCCAAACTCTGAAACACTTCTGATCCCAAGCATTTTGGATAAGTGACACTAAACCTCTACAATTTACTTAGAGAAATAAAGATCAGATCACGAAGATCCTGTGTGTTACAAGAAGAATCTACACTGAAAATGTAAAGCAGAGATTTTTAGAAAGTGCAGTAAGAAGGCTACTGCTAAAATCACAAAGAGTATGAACAACTTCTTCAAGAAGGAATGGAAGTCAGAACTGAATCATAAACAATTTAGGGAGTTGAACAAGATTTAGTGAAAAATTATATTTTAGGGAAGAGAGGGCAAGTCACAAGTGGGATGAAAGTTGGGTTTTGGACTGTGGTGACTGGGTAGATGGAGGCATTTGGCACGGATACACTGAATACAGGAAGAAAACCAGGAGGGGTGTCCTCCCAGGAAGATTGTGGGGGAAGAACCGATTTCAAGAATCAGGTAACTGTGGCACTTATAGCTCTCAAGTTGCCTGCTTGGCCTTCTTTCAAGTATACTTTACTTCCTTTTGTTCTTGCTCTAAAACTTTTACAAACAAACCAACCAAGCAGATAACTGATAACTGTAATCCTAGCACTTTGGGAGGCAGAGGCGGAAAGATCGCTTGAGGCTTGGCGTTTGAGACTAGCCTGGGCAACATAGCACAACCCTGTCTCTACAAAAATAATTAGTAATAATAAATAAATAAATTAGAATCAAACACTTCAAGATGAAATAAACACAATTTAAATAAACTCGAAAACCTGACAGAACAGTTAGAAATCTATTTGTTAGACGAAAATACAGAAGAAAAAGTATGTTGCAACAGCAGCATATGTTGCTTTTGGATGTTATTTTTAAAATCCAAAATAAACCCAAATTGGGACTTACTGATTCCTCATATAAGGTGTCTTGCATTTGCTAATTAAGATATTTCAAATATAAATAAAGCCAAATCCATACCTTTTCTGCTTTTTTATCAGAAATGTCTTGCTTTTCCAGAACAGCCATGCTCTCCTTCAGATTCTTCACAATGTCTGCTGGAGATTTGTGAGACTTCCCAAACGGGAACGGCATGACGGCAGCGGCAGGGGCCTCCGCTGCACTCCGCCTGTGCTACCTAGAACACAGCACAAGGTTCATGTGAGCAAACACTGGGATCAACGGAAGACAGACTTTCTAAATCCTAATCTGGGAAGAAAACCCGTGTTTAGGCAAGTCATTTTACATAACTTTCAAAATCAGTAGGAACAGGGAAATCCACAAATATATGCAAGAAATGATAATACACAGATGTCTTAGAATTACAGAACACTGTATTTTTCAAAACACTTTGTTTTTCTTTCCTTCAAATCAATTGCTCTCCTAACCACGCAAATGGGGACGAACATGCTGACTGATGCTGCTGAGGTAGAGAGCAGCAGCTCCCACTCACAGGGCAACTGCTACTGCCAGGCCTGATGCTGAGCACTAGAACTCATCATTTCATGAAACCCTTTCTAACAATCTCCTGCTCCTATTTACTGGTGAAGTTTAGCAAGGTTGAGCGTGAGGCTCAAGGTACTAAGTGGTCAAACAAGCTCAGATCTGTCTTGATCCAAAGCGTCCTTAATCACCACACTGTACATCAAATTGATAGTATCTATTTTACAGCTGAGGCAACTGAGGCAAAAAGTTAGGTAGGGTGTTTAGCCAAACAGCACTAGCAACAGCCTACTATCTAGGTCTCTCCAGATGCTCTTTTCCCGGTGTTCACGCTGCTCCTCCTAAGCACCCCAGTGGGCTGCCCTGAATATGGCACACACTTCCTCGGCACACCCATCTTATTCAGGCAGTCACAGGGTCTCAGAGCTAGAGAGAAGCCTGGACAGGGGAATAAAATCTCCCATTAGATCCTGTAATCCCCTATGTGACAGTTGTCAAGATGTACTCTTTTTGCCTGGATTTGACCATCTCCTATGAAAGAACTCGCTGGATAAAACCCTGAGGATGATGAACTTCTAGAAGTTCTTAATTTTTTGTGGGTAGTAGAAAACAACATTTCAACCACATAAACCACAGTATTACATCATCCAAAAGGAGAACATGCAACTATTCCAAGAAGGCACTATGAAGAAACAAAGTTAACAAGACAAACAATGGAAGTGACTTGGGAACATGTTGGAAGTTACCATTTTTCAGTAAAAAAACTAGAAGTAGTTAAATTCACAGGCACTAAACAGTCTCCTATCAGACACCGAAAGATGACACTTTTTAGAAAAACCTTATGGATCACTTAGATCAGTGGTTTTCTGACTGTAAGTTTCAACATCCTATATTTAACTGCCCAAGGTGCTCCCCACACACACCCAAGAAAAGGTGGCTCTCAGACACCCCAACCCCACTTTGTTTTCCCCTTCTATATAAACACAAAAATACATCCATTGCATAGTATCATAACACTTCTTTTGAGCTTTACCTAAGATTTGATGAACAAACTTGAGTGTTTTTCCCTTAAGTTTGAAATAGAGTGACTTACATATTTGTTTATAAAGAATGTTTAAAACATGCAAATGAATGCTAATGTCAAGCCTACAACTAAATCATAAACAAGTATGTTATTTCTCAACATGTTCTGATGTGAACTGTTCCAACCAATCTCTAACCCCAAATATTGCCTATCTTACCTTCTGTCACCTTGTAAATCCTTTTTTGACAAAATTAACCAAAGAGAAATAGTTTAATGCATATCCTTTGTCATAGGTTCTTAAATATCCAAGGATTTTTTTTTTTTTTTTTTTTGGAGTCTCGCTGTGTCACCCAGGTTGGAGTGCAGCAGCGCAATCTTGGCTCACTGTAATCTCCACCTCCCAGGTTCAAGTGATTCTTGTGCCTCAGCGTTAGCCTCCCAAGTAGCTGGGACTATAGGTGTGCACCACCAACCCAGCTAATTTTTGTATTTTTAGTAGAGATGGGTTTTCACCATGTTGGCTAGGCTGGTCTCAACTCCTGGCCTCAAGGGAGCCACCCACCTCGGCCTCCCAAAGTGCTGGGATTACAGGTGTGAGCCATCATGCCCAGCCATAAAATCCAAGGATCTTTAAGTCCACTTCTAAATAACTTTTCTATGCCTAAAAGTTTGAACTGACGTTAGGGGAGTCACTCTTAACTAGCTGTCATATGATCGCTCTACAAGCCAGATGGGACACAAAGCCTGGATCATTCTTTTCCTTTTCCTGGATCATTACTTTTTCCTTTGGGCAGGGGAGTGGGCGGCAGGGGGTGGGGGGGAAGCATGCAAGTTGCTTCTCCATAAACAGTGTATCACACTCACAATATGTCCTCTGAAAATATTATCTTTCCTATCTGTAACTCTGCAAATAATAGCAGTGATGTGGAGGGTGGGAATGTTTAATGGTATTTTGCAGGAAGTGTTACGGTGCTATGCAACAGAGATATTTTCAGCTCTGGCTCAATGGTGAAAGATGTGACTTTCCAGGGTAACAGAGGTTTACAAGTCCTACCACATACCAAAAGTTGGTTACAGCAGAAAGAGTACAGCCACCAAAAAGAACACATATATAAAATACTTCTGTGTGGGCAAGGGGAGGCATGACATAATCATTTCTGTTAATTAATATACCAGCCAGCTAAGATTTTACAGAACATATGAACTAGTAAGACTGTATTCTACAGAAATACAGGCCAGGTGAGGCAGCTCACGTCTGTAATCTCAGCACTTTGGGAGTCTAAGGTGGGGTGAATTGCTTGAGGTCAGGAGTTTGAGACCAGCCTCGGCAACATAGGGAGACCCTGTCTCTACAAAAAATTTAAAAATTAGGTGGGCATGGTGATGCATGCCTGTGGTCCCAGCCAGCTACTTGGAAGGCTGAGGCTGGAGCATCACTTGAGCCTAAGAGGTGGTGACTGTACCACTGCACTCCAGCCTGAGTGACAGAGTAAGGCCCTGACTTAAATTTAAATAAGGAGGAAAAGAAACACAGTAACAACTACCCAAAACAAGAAGTGACATTCCTCAGTAGGATCCAAACACATTGGTAAAGTTAATAAATCATTATTCATGATTTAGTTTTAAAAATACAGTTAAAGGCTGGGCATGGTGGCTCACGCCTGTAATCCCAGCACTTTGGGAGGACGAGGCCAGCAGATCACGAGGTCAGGAGTTCCAGGCCAGCCTGACCAACATGGTGAAACCCCATCTCTACTAAAAATACAAAAATCAGCTGGGCGTGGTGGCGTGTGCCTGTAATCCCAGCTACTCAGGAGGCTGAGGCAGGAGAATGGCTTGAACCCGGGACGGGGAGGTTGCAGTGAGCTAAGATCACGCCACTGCACTCCAGCCTGGGCGACAGAGCGAAACTCCGTCTCAAAAATAAATAAATAAATAAATAAATAAATAAATAAATAAATAAATAAACAAACAGTTAGAAACTATCCTCTTTATTTTTAAAGTATGAGTGTAATAATTCTCAAAAATCATTTATGTTCTTAGGCTCATCAACTCTTAATAAAATTACCCAAGATTTTGGTAGGCAAAAACAAGGAAATAACACTCCCCAAAACTTCTGCATTACAGAATTTGTTTCTTATGTTCAGGTTTGCTAAGCATTAAGCTTAAATATCTTACACAGTCATGTAGCTGCCTGATGAGGTTTCAGTCAATGATTGACTGCATTATATGACAGTGGTCCCATAACAGCTGAAAAATTCCTATCACTTAGTGCTTTGTGTTACAAATACCTACTGTATTCAACACAGTAACATGCTGTACAGGTTTATAGCCTAAGAGCAATAGGCTATATCACATAGATTACTATGTAGTTGACTATACTATCTAGGTTTGTGTAAGTACTGTACACTCTATGATGTTTGCACAATGACAAAACTGCCTGATGCATTTCTCAGAATCCATCCCAGTTGTTAAGCAACACAGGAGTTAATTCCTTCACAGGATCATGTGTGACCTTCAGACAATGCTCAAGTGACAGCAAAGGCACCTTTAAGAGTGGACTCTTCAGCTGGTACTGCTTTCTCCCGGGGGGGACGCTGCCTTCCAAAGGGCCTGGTCCACCATCAAGCCATTCAGAGTGCTCTGTGACCTTGAAGGATGTGCAGCACATGGGCACATGTCTGAGTTTTGAAACTGACAATCCCTAGAGTATGGAGATGCCCAAGTTGGAAGTAGCAATGGTTCGAGAAGGGTTCCAGTGGTTTAAAGATATATTTCACCATAACAATCCACCTACCTTTCTCATCTCCCCTTTATCATCAGCAGTATTTCCTTTTATACATATTTGGAGGAATTTAAGGGAATAACACAAATCCACTGGTTAAGGTCTTCAATAATTTTTCACTGCCCTTAGAATAAAACCCAAATTCCTTGACCAAAAACCCAAAAGCAAATGTAATAAAAGCAAAGATAAAGAGCTGGGGCTTAATTAAAGTGCTTTTGCATGGCAAAAGAACAGTTAGCAGAGTAAACAGACAACCCACAGAGTGGGAGAAAATCTTCACAATCTATACATCTGACAAAGGACTAACACCCAGAATCTACAACAAACTCAAACAAATCAGTAAGAAAAAAACCAATAATCCCATCAAAAAGTGGGCTAAGGACATAAACAGACAATTCTCAAAAGAAGATATATAAATGGCCAATGAACATATGAAAAAAATGCTCAGCATCACTAATGATCAGGGAAATGCAAACCAAAACCACAGTGCAATACCCACCTTACTCCTGCAAGAATGGCCATAATTAAAAAATCAATAAACAGTATATATTGGAATGGATGCGGTAATCAGAGAACACTTCTACACTCCTGGTGGGAATGTAAACTAGTACAGCCACTATGGAAAACAATGTGGTGATTCCTTAAAGAACTAAAAGTAGAACTACCATTTAATCCAGCAATCCCACTACTGGGTATCTACCCAGAGGAAAATCATGGAACCAATCCAAATGCCCATCAATCAACGAGTGGATAAAGAAACTGTTGAGTGTGTGTGTGTGTGTATGTATGTATATATATGATGGACTACTACTCAGCCATAAAAAGGAATGAACAGCATTTGCAGCAACCTGTATGAGACTGGAGACTATTATTCTAAGTGAAGTAACTCAAGAATGGAAAACCAAACATCATAATGTTCTCACTGACATGTGGGAGCTAAGCTTTGAGGACGCAAAGGCATAAGAATGATACAATGGACTTTGGGGACTTGTGGGGAAGCGGGCGAGCGATAGAAGACTACAAATAGGCCGGGCGCAGTGGCTCATGCCTGTAATCCCACCATTTTGGGAGGCCAAGGCAGGTGTATCACCTGAGATCAGGAGTTTGAGACCAGCCTGGCCAACATGGCAAAACCCTGTCTCTACTAAAAATACAAAAATTAGCTGTGCATGGTGGTTCGTGCCTGTAATCCCAGCTACTAGGGGGACTGAGGCAGGAGGACTGCTTAAACCTGGGAGGCGGAGGTTGCAGTGAGCTGAGATCGTGCCACTGCACTCCAGCCTGAGCAACAGAGCAAGACGGAGAAGAGGAGGGGGGAAGAGGAGGAGAAGGAGGGATGAGGAGGAGGAGGAAGAGGAGCGGAAGGAGTAGGAGGGGAAGAAGGAGGGAAAGGGGAAGAAGGAGGGGAAGGGGAAGAAGGAGGGAAAGGGGAAGAAGGAGGGGAAGGGGAAGAAGGAGGGGAAGAGGAAGGCAGAAGGGGACGGAAGAAGAGGAAGGAAGAAGAGGAAGGAAGAAGAAGGAAGAAGGAAGAAGGAAGAAAGAAGAAAGAAGAAAGAAAAAAGAATACTACAAATATGGTACAGTCTATACTGCCTGGGTGATGGGTGCACCAAAACCTCACAAACCACTAAAGAACTTATGTAACCAGATACTACCTGTATCCCAATAACCTATGGGAAAAAAATTTTAAAATAAATAAAATCCAAATTCCTTACCATGGCCCTCTAGGTTTTACCTATCTCCAACTCACAGCACAGCCTCTGGCCTTGATCCTAGAGGTCCAGACACACTGATGTCCTTTCTGCTCCCCAAACTACTTCTAAGTCAGATTATCACATTTGCAAATATGGTAAAATTGTAATTTTAAAATTTAGATGGTTGGTGGGTGTGTGGGTTTTCACTGTTAGTTAACTTTTCTGTATGTTCTAAGTTTTTCTTAATATTGTTTTAAAACAGCCTTAACTATGTTTTGGACATAACTGAAGTTCACGAAGAAAATGAACAGAAATAGATATTTTAATAAAATAATTCATTTGGCTTTCAAATACAATTCCCTTGTCCATTAAAAAATGGTTTTTTCTTTTCTTTTTTTTTTTTTTTTGAGATGGAGTCTTGCTCTGTCACTCAGGATGGAGTGCAGTGGTGCGATCTCAGCTTGCTATAACCTCCACCTCCTGGGTTCAAGCAATTCTGCCTCAGCCTCCCCAGTAGCTGGGACTAGAGGCACGTACCACCATGCCTGGCTAATTTTTGTTGTAGAGACGGGGTTTCACCATGTTGGCCAGGCTGGTCTTGAACTCCTGACCTCGTGATCTACCCACCTCAGCCTCCCAAAGTGCTGGGATTACAGGTGTGAGCCACCACGTCTGGCCAAAAAATGGTTTATAATAAACCTCAGCAGGATTCCTTGGGCTAAGCCAAAAGTATTAATGTGACTGGGACAAAGCCAGACAGTGACAGGATTCTAAAGTGGGTTGTGGCAATCCGTACCTGCTATGGGGACAGGCTTCCTTCTGATGGTAATTATTGGTGTATACTTGAATCCCAAAGTGGTGGTATGTGGGGGGCTGTTAACATATTACTTTCATATAAAATGAACAGTTACAACACTGCAAGCTGAATCCGCATGGACATTTAGCTTCCCCCTTTCGCATTCATGCACTGCTCTCCGCTAGTTGTTTTCTTCTCTCTCCCAATGCCCTTTCCTTTCCTGCATCTATTTATTTATTTATTTTCCTTTCTGCATTTAATTCAATGACTCTACTCCAATGTTGATGTCCTTCAAGGTTCCACTCTTGGCTGTCACCTCACCCTATATTCCCTCTGGGTGATCTCATCTATGGTTTCAACAATCTGAAATCCATTTCTAGCCCGACCAATGGCCTACCTTTCCAACTGCTGCTCCCTATAGATGTCCTCCAGGCAATCCAAATTTCATCTAAGTCCTGCTTCTTTTTCAATGTTCCCCTTCCCAGTGAATGGATCCATTGTTCACTCCATCACTAAACTTGGTTGTCACAGCAAACTTTACTCAACTCTTCCATGTATATTCAGTTCACGATTTCAGTCAATTCTGTTTTCTAAATCTATCTTTACAGACATTAAGGGTAGACCCTCACCATTCTCCACAAAGGCCAGGAGTTGTCAATGGGGTCACTATCACCTCTAGGGTATTTCTATGGTCTGAATATACCTTAAAATCCATGGGTTGGAAATTTAATTCCCAATGCAAGTGTTGGGAAGTGGAAACTAATGGGAGGTTTTTAGGTCATGAGGACTCTGCCCTCCTGTCACTATAACGAGGACCTACAGGAGTGGATTGCTCTCTTCTGCCATTGTGAAGACATGGCATTTGTCCCTATTTTGACCTTCCACCTTTCACCATGTGAGATGCAGCCCTCCTCAGACTCTGAATGCCAGCACCTGATCTGGGACTTAGTCTTCAGAACTGTGAGAAATAAATTTGTTTTTTATAAATTACCCAGACTCGTATATTTCGTTATAGCAGCACAAATGGACTACGACAGAGATGTTGTGTGAGATCTGGTTGTCTATGATTGGGACATTTACTGACCATTGAAATATTTTTTTTTTTTTGTAAATATGTAACATTTCACAAGTTTGTGTGTCATCCTTGTGCAGGGGCCATGCTTATCTTCTCTGTATCATTCCAGTTTTAGGGTATGTGCTGCCAAAGCGAGCACCAAAATCATCACTTTAAAAAAGGCATTGCTTTTTAAAAGCACATAAGCATATCCTTCTGCTAGTTTCTATATCCTTTGAGGTTGGGGGTGTGTATGTGGGGGGGGGGGGGGTGGTCAGAATATGAAACTCTTTCCATCTACTCCTGCATCTAAGTCCATCACAGAGAGTTAAAATTCGAGCTTTTAAAAAACGGTTATACTGTTCATTATGCAAAATTCAAACATTAAAGGATTACATAAGGTAGAAAAGTGAAAGTCACCTGAAAAGCCTGTAAGAGACAGTCATTATTAGTAGTTTGGCATATATTCTCCTTTTTATTACTTGCTTTGTATTTGTGGGGGGTTTTGGTACTGAAGTCTACTCTCTTCTCCAGAACAGATGGAGACCAGATGACACTAGAAATGGCCACTTCTATCTTACAAAGAACAAAGACATCAAATCACTGCTCTATTACATTAATATTCTCAAGAATATTTTCAAGAGTACAAAGCAACATCCCAAGAAAGTGCTAGAGAATATACAGGATACCCATTAGGAAAATAAAAGCCCACACCATTTAAGTTAAGCCTGTTAGGTACTGCCCATCTTTGGAGATCTGACTGCTTTTGCGTTATGTGACACACTCCTCTTCACCTATGTATTGACAAATACTGAAAAGAACTCAAAAGGTCCATAAGTCAAAAGGTCCATAAGCCAGTCAGCAGAACATTCATTCACTCCATTTCTAACTGTGTTTACTATATGTCACAAACTTAAGGCATCAAGAGTGCCTGCTCTCAAGACAACATTCTGGTGTGTATGGATGTGGGCGTATGTGTTTAGAGACAATAATGAAAAACTGCTGAATGACAACACATTCCTAGACAGCTGAGCTCACAAGACTCTACACTAACATATGTGTTAGATCTGACTCACGAACTTCGTGGTCAAATACAAAAAGCACAAACAAAGAAAAAACCCCACACATCATAAGATAGTTGCCTACAAGGATTATTAAGGTTCTTAAGCAGTCATGGAGTGTGAAATGTAGTACATGCATGAACACATTCTTTTTAGATAACTGGCTCTAAGACTTAATCCCTTGCTTCCAGTGTTAATGTTACTTAATTAAAACAATAACTATTTACAGATACTGTGTTAAGTGCTAGACTATCTGTCTGGTAGTACAGAACAATTATTTAAAGCACAATAGTTAATTACACGGGTTTTAAAGATAGCCTGGGTTCAAATCCTGACTTTGTTATGCCTCAACTGACTTAGACATTTCTAAGCACTCTTTTCCTTATCTCTAAAATGGGAAAAGCAATAGCTACTTCACGATATGGTATAAGAATTAAAAAGTGCTTAGCACTGTATCTGCATATCTATTATATAAACTGGATAGCAATATAAAATGGAATAAAATGAATGACCTTATTGTTCTATTTAAGCCTACATCTAAAGTCTTGATTCAGCTTTTGGATGAATGGGAAGCAAGATTTTCTTAGCTGCAACTAAGTTGTGATAACTAAAAATTTTTAAAATAAAAACAAAATTGAGAACTACATATGGAGAAGTAAAAAAAAAATAAAAGATGTGGTAACTTAGGTTCCATTAAAATAAATCAAGAGTAGCTTTAAGAAGCAGTTGAAATTTGGGGTAATTTATAAAGGGAAGAGGTTTATTTAGCTCACGATTCTGGAGGCTGAGAGGTACAAGATCAGGTGGCAGCGTCTGGTCAGCTTCTGGTGAGGGTTTTGTGCTATATCTTAACATGGTGAAGAGGAGGTGGACATATGTAAAGAGACCAAACAGCAGAGGTGGCCTCACTTTATAAAAGCCTGCTTTGGCATTAACTAATCCAGTCCCAAAACAGTGAGAACTCAATCCTGGGAGAAAGGCATTAATCCCTCTTAACGACCTAATCACCTCTTAAAGATATCTCCTCCCAACACTGCCACATTAGGGGCCAAGCCTCAGCATAAGTTTTGATGGAAATAAACAACATTCAAACCATAGATGGCACATATTTGTAGAATATTTGTAGAATGAACTATTATTTATTTTGATCCTCAAAGTAACAGCAGGATTCTCCATTTGTTCGTTCCTACAAGAAGTTCTATTATTTCTATTCTATAGATGAGTAAACTAAGGCTCAAAATTATTGGCTAGTTTGTTCAAATATCATGAAACTAGCTAGTAAAGCGAAAAAGCTGGGACTTCAAAGCAGGTTTTTAGCAACTCTTATGCAGTGTCTATTAGGTTGTCCAGTATCTTTCATACTACAATCAATATATTCATATGTATCAGTAAACTTAAAAATGTTTCTAAGCCCGCAATTACACTTCTACGAGTGTATCCTCATAATCTATTGCTTCTCTAAGATTTACATACAAAGATGGCCACTGAATAGTTATTTAATACAGTAGGAAAAGGAAAACCAACCAGAATTCTCAGCAAATAGAACTGAACATTCAGAAGTCATTTAAAATCAATGCTTCTGAGGATTTCTACCGATATGAAAAAATGTCTACAACTCCTCTTAAGGGAAAACACTTTAAATATAAGTTTGCATACATATAATCCCATCTTTATCTATACATGCAGAGCGATTTGCTAAGAGAAAAAATAGCAAAGGTTAATAATGGGTAGTGAGAACATGAATTGATATTTATATTTTTCTAAGGTTAAGTATTTACAAAGTCCATATAATACTTTTTTTCTAAATATAAAAAGTGTATTTTAAAAAAATCAATACATGATCATTTCCTACTAAAAGAAACCAAGACTTCATGAAAGAGTAGGAAATACCCAAGATGAGCCAGGGACGTGTTACTCCAGAAAGCAAATACTGTACTTATGAGGTCATGCTAAAAAAGGCACAGGAGCTAAGTTGAAAAGTGCTGCAAAGGCCTAAGATGGTAGAATTTGAGCATAAAAAATAATGATTACAATGCATTAACATGGAAATCAAGCATCTGCACACATTAAAGTATTGTATATTTAATAGTAACATATGTATATATAAGAATATATGTAAAACATTAGCGCCCATTAAAATTATAATAATACTAAAAATAATTTTCTTTGGTTACCTTGGAGGTTGTGAAGGCAACAATGCAACACTCCAACAATTGGTTTAAAAAAAAAACACGGGGGCGGGGGGCGCACATTTATCCTGCCTTTTTCTGTATAGACTATATTTCAGGATAACCATATAGATGACAAGGGAAAGTTCTTTATAGGAGATTCATAGCTAATAAGTGTGGATAGGAAAAAATTACCATTTTGTTATATATATATATATATATATATATATATATATATATTTTTTTTTTTTTTTTTTTCTTTTTGGAAATAGAATCTCACTCTATTGCCCAGGCTGGAGTGCAGTGGCATGATCTCAGCTCACTGCAAACTCTGCCTCCCAGGTTCAAACCATTCTTGTGCCTCAGCCTCCCTATGTAGCTGGGACTACAGGTGGGTGCCACCACTGCCAGCTAATTTTTGTATTTTTAGTAGAGATGGGGTTTCACCATGCTGGCCAGGCTGGTCTCGAACTCCTGGCCTCAAGTGATTGACCCGCCTTGGTCTCCCAAAGTGCTGGGATTACAGGCATGAGCCACCGCACCCAACCCATTTTGTAATTCTTAATGAAATAATGGAACTAGGCAACAATCACCAATGGCCTTAACCATTAGGTGAAAGGCTGATGGGGAATTTCATAGAGGATACGCAGGCTAACTACATGGACAACACTAATCTATTAGGACAACCACACACCAGTGTGACTCATGATACAACACAATAGGAAGTACAAAGCATCATCTATCAAAATTTGACTCTCCCTTGCCCACCCCACCCAACTACAATTCTGAATCAAATCAAGCTTCTAGATCTAGCGGTTGGTCTACAGGCAACAAGAGGGAGGAACAAGTTTAACATCACCATAGGGAAGCAGTAAATCAAACCCAGAAAATGGACACTTCACAGGACAGATGTCAGGCTTCTCCAAAAAACCAAACAACATAAGAAAAAGGAAAAAAAAAAAAGACAGCAGAGACTTAAATAATAAGAGCCTCATATAGTCAAATACAATGCATGGGCCCTCTCTGGATCCTGATTCAAATAAACAACTGAAAAAAAGATATTTTGGCAATCAAGGGAAATTATATACTGGGTATGACAAGGAATTACTGTTAATTCTGTTAGGTATTATGACGTATGTAAAAAATATCCTGATCAGTTAGACATACATGTGGAAGTATGAGTGATATGGGATTTCCTTTAAAATACTTTAGTTCCACCTCTCTCAGAGAACAAGGTGGGGGACAGATGAAATAGCTAGCAAAGTATTAACTGTTGAAGCTGGAAATTCATTACACTACAGCCTATGTGTATACACTTATATATTTCATAATTTAAAACATAGTAATATGGCAAAAGTTTCTATTTGAAGAACTGGTATGTCTCAAATCACTGGAAGGTGAACTATATAATCCATTATATTTTGCGCTAATTTTCCCCCTTATTTGCCAGCAAGTTAAAAGTTAGATTTATGCATAACTGCAAAATGACCACTGTGACCACTGTAATCCATGTTTCAGACATAAACACTACCTTTTCCTTCTACAGAGTCTCAAAGTTCTCTTACTTAACTGTTCCAATCTACATGTGTTTTCATTTTGTCCACTGTAATTCAATTAAACTCACCTTGTTGATGGCAGGTAAGAGGAAGAATATCTACAGAGGAAACAGTTCCATGGGCAATGCCATCAACAAGTGGTTCATAGTGCTCCTCTCCCCTTCTCTCCGTGAAATAATTTTTGGAAACTACAGCAATGCCAATGGGGGTAACCCCTCCTCAGAAATGCCCTCACTCCTCTACTTGTCAAAATGCTGCCCATCTCTAGACCACTTTTTTCTTTTTCTTTTTGAGAAGGAGTCTCACTCTGTTGCCCAGGCTGGAGCGCAGTGATGTGATCTCAGCTCACTGCAACTTCTGCCTCCCAGGTTTAAGCGATTCTCCTGCACCTGCCTCGGCCTCCCCAAAGTGCTGGCATTACAGGCATGAGCTACCACTCCAGGCCTCTAGACCACTTTCAAACACCAGCTGCTCCATAAAGATCTCCACAGTAAAAGTGTAAGACCCTCCTTATACCCGTAAGATTTTTAAAATCTTGATTATAATGTGTTATTATGTATGTATGTATCACTCCCAACTAATCTGGAGGCCTCTTGATAGCAAAGTTGTATATTAACAGTCATTTTATATTCTTATAACATTTGGCATGCTGCTTTGCATGAGACCCCAGATACATTTGCCAAGTGGGACTGAAGAACATTTCTGAAAACAAAAATCACACCAACAAAAAAAATCCTACAGAAATGATACATAAATAACCAAGAGTTGACTAGAAAATTTTCACCTGAAACCCATGCAGAAAGGAGCCAGAGGCCAGAACCAAGATGCTCTTGGAGGGTAAGTGAGCAGGAAATCTAGCAAAGTGCCTATAATTTCTCTATTGCTACACACAAAGCTGGACTCACACCTTTGCTGAGCAACTCTTAATTTGTCTGTCTGAATACTGTTTATACCATGAATATAAACCTGGCAATATTGTGACTAAAGTGTGATGGCTTCACGTAATACCCAAGATGGAATATTCAAAGGGTTGATCTGGGTTCCTAAGAGTGCAACACTATTTATAGAGCCATCCTGTTATGCAGCGTCACAGCTTTTTGGGATTGACTGTTTTTATCAGTGTTAAACTGGAATGAGTCATTGATTAAGGTGTGTTACATACTGTGATGTGTACTCCCTAACCCAATGTCTGCGAACACTTTCCATCCATGAAACCACCCTGCACCCTTTCTCTAGCTCCCATGGTAACTAATTCCTGTATATCTTTAAAGTCACATAAAAGGCTAGCCGTGACATTACACACTGAATGTAGGTGTCAGGATTCAAGGCAAGTCTTCTGATTCCAGATTCTACTTTTTGTACTTACTTGTTCTGTCATCTTACACATAAATCAAGTATTACAAAAAAATATAAAACATAAAAATGTAATTTTAAACACAGTAATCACAAATAAATGTTTGCTGAGTGACTTTGTTAAATCCCGACCAAATAGGCAAAGGGCAATTTCTAAGATTATGAGTCAAATAAACATGAAAAGGATACCCCTGAATGCCCCATCCTTAAAAAAATTTTTTTTTTAATTTAAAGATTTTGGCCAGGCGCGGTGGCTCATGCTGTAATCCCAGCACTTTGGGAGGCCGAAGCAGGCGGATCACAAGGTCAGGGGATCAAGAACATCTTGGCCAACATGGTGAAACCCCGTCTCTACTAAAAGTACAAAAATTAGCTGGGCGTGGTGGTATGTGCCTGTAGTCCCAGCTACTCTGGAGGCTGAGGCAGGAGAATCGCTTTAACCCGGGAGGTGGAGGTTGCCGTGAGCTGAGATGGCACCACTGCACTCCAGCCTGGGCAACAAGCGCGAAACTCTGGCCCCGCCTCCCCTGCAAAAAAAAGAAAAAAGAAAAAAATTTTAAAAAGCTTGGTCCATACCCCAGCTTCATCTGCTTTTAAGAGGATTATTGCTCATCATTGATAAAGTTCCTTTTCTATTAAATCTCAGATATATGCTGCATAGAGAGTACCTCCCAGTCCCAACCAAGTCTCCGGAGTGCAAGCATAGGTCTGAGGACCATGAGCTCCTCTGAGGACTCATCATCCTTTGGGAAAATAGCATCTTAACTAAAACAAACTTCCTTTAGGCACATGTCTACATTTTTCTCAGAACACTTACAAAAAAAGATTTTTCAAAGACTTCAAATTTTTTTAACCTTTCCAGAATAGAGAGGCAAGGGTAAAGGTAGACCATTGTTAGCGGAACATTCTCCACGATCCTAAAACTAGATATACCTATTATATATGTCAAGTAGACCATTAATTCCATTTTGGTAATCTAAAGTATTAAATAATTCTTATGCTAACCTATCTTTAATGAATGAATGAATTAAACAATGAGTACTTAATGAAATGGGCTTAGTGAATGTATTGTTTAAAAACACTTATGTTCCTCTTAAAAAAGGCTTTCTGTTAATCCTTAAAAATTTTCTTTATAGTAAATGAGAAATGTCAAATTATGAATGTTTATGAAATATGCTGTAATGCTAAGGTTCATTCTTCATTGGAGCAACAAAATATATTTGCTTAGAGAAAAGAGTGGGCTTTGCTTTAGTAGCTGATTTTTTAGAGAAAAGTCATTTTACAAAGTAGCAACAGCTCTTGCAGAAAGCTATGTGTTAATTTTACAAACAGGAACTTCATGTTAAACCTCAAATACTTATTGAGAGACTCATACTACTATTGTCAAATTTTACTGTGGTGATTTCAGTGTACCATGCAGTTGTTATAGATTTCAAAAACTAAAGTTATGATAAACACAACAGATTATTTCAAGCTCCCTTAAATTCTTTCTGGAACAAGGTAGGACATGTATAAACAACCACTGTAACATCTAAACACAGTTAGAGAATATACTTCAAAATATGGTTGGAGGCCAGGCGTGGTGGCTCACGCCTGTAATCCCAGCACTTTGGGAGGCCAAGGTGAGCGGATCACGAGGTCAAGAGATCAAGACCAGCCTGGCCAACACGGTGAAACCCCGTCTTTACTAAAAATACAAAAATTAGCTGGGCATGGTGTCACGTGCTTGTATTCCCAGTTACCCAGGAGGCTGAGGCAGGAGGACTGCTTGAACCTGGGAGGTGGAGGCTGCAGTGAGCCGAGATCGTGCCACTGCACTCCAGCCTGGGCAACAGAGTAAGACTTTGTCTCCAAAAAAAGAAAAAATATGTATATATGGCTGGAAGTGTTTTAACCAAACTGACCATAACTAAGTAGCTCTTCGAAGTTAAGAATGTATCATGGGGCTGGGCACGGTGGCTCACGCCTGTAATCCCAGCACTTTGGGAGGCCAAGGCAGGTGGATCACTTGAGGTCAGGAGTTCCAGAGCAGCCTGGCCAAAATGGTGAACCCGTTTCTACTAAAAATTTAAAAAATTAGCCGCGCATGGTGGCAGATGCCTGTAATCCCAGCAACTAGGGAGGCTGAGGCAGGAGAATCACTTGAACCCAGGAGGCAAAGTTTGCAGTGAGCTGAGATCGTGCCATTGCACTCCAGCCGGGGTGACAGAGCGAGACTCCATCTTAAAAAAAAAAAAAAAAAAAAAGTATCATGTATCAGAGCTCTGTGACTTTATTCTTCTAAGTTCTAATAACCATATATATACACACACATACACATACTTACCTGATTTCTGCAGACAAAAGGTTTCTTTCTTTATATTAATATTTGTTTTTTGCCCTAATTTAATACTGGCCCCAATCAGCAGTTTTCAAATGTCTTTTGTTGTTTACAAGAAAGGTAGTTTGCTCAGTACTGAAACAAGCTGCCATCAAAGCGAGTACTCTTCTAAATGAGTTTCTTCTAGTTATGACTGAATATCAAGTTCTAAATTAGCTTAATAACATCATAAATAAAGTCAAGTTTAAAAATTAAGGTCTACATCCTTATGTTTAAATTTTCTATATTAATGTAGCTTGGCAAAACTTTCAATATTTTTATCAATAACTCCACACAAAACTATCTTTAATAATGTCCTTTAGATTAATTATAAAAGTAAATACGTATTTTCTTCACACTTGAAACTGTCAGACTAACACAACTCTTTCTGGAGTCAGTAGGGGGTCATCACAGCATTTTTCCAATGCACAGATTGCTTTTTAACTATTTCAGCAAAAAGACTCGTCTTTGGGGGTCTTATTTTTAATGAGTTACTCTATCTCTCCCTTCCTTTCTGTGCAGACATAGCCGGCCTTACTTTGTCGTAGAGTTCCAGCCTAGTTGTCTGTGGAAGTCATATAGAGTGAGTGAAGGGAAAGAAACTGCAACTCCTTGTCTTCTTCTCTACTAACCAGAACTAGGACAGTCAATGAGCTTTAATGCCAGTTTCCTCATCTTTATAAAACTTGAGGTAATTAGACCTCTCCTGCCCACCTTAGAAAGCTATTCATAAGGAACGGCTAAACAAATGGCTGACCCGGCCACAAAGAGACCACACGATGTTCTGTGCAGTTATGTATACCACATATGAGAGGAAAATGCAGCCAAGGAAGATTCTGAGTGACTCTGATAAGGCAGTCTGAGAGTCAAAACACAAAGATTCTTAACTCATACCAAAAACTTAGGCCAATTTACACAGTCTTGAATCAAAAGTCCATGAAGGCAGCCATTTCTTTGCCAGCTAATCAACACTAGGACCTATTAACCTTTCCGATTTGCCAGATTAAAAATGCTGTCTTCTTGCCTTCCTCTTCTTTCCACCCCTCTGATCAATTATTTTAATTTGAATTGCCAATCATTAATGACAATGAACATACTTCCATTTGTATTTTCTTACTGAAATTGTACATCTCTATTGCCCATTAGCCAGCTGGCTTTGGAGTCCTTTTCTTATTGACTTGTAGGATATCGAATAATTATGAACATTATCCCTTTGGCTGTTTAGATTTTTTTTTTTTTTTTTTTGCAAATATGTTCTCCTAGTTTGCCATTTGCATTTCAACTTTGTCACTTAATATAAGAAGTTTTCATTTTCTTACAAGATTTATTGGCCAGGCGTGGGGGCTCACGCCTGTAATCCCAGCACTGTGGGAGGCCGAGGCGGGCGAATCACGAGGTCAGGAGATCGAGACCATCCTGGCTAACACGGTGAAACCCCGTCTCTACTAAAAATACAAAAAAATTAGCCGGGCGTGGTGGCGGGTGCCTGCAGTCCCAGCTACTCGGGAGGCTGTGGCAGGAGAATGGCGTGAACCCGGGAGACGGAGCTTGCAGTGAGCCAAGATCGCACCACTGCACTCCAGCCTGGGCGACAGAGCAAGACTCCATCTCAAAAACAAACAAACAAACAAACAAACAAACAAACAAAACAAAACAAAAAAGACTTATCTGTAAATCTTTTTATTTAGGAATTTTGGATTTCCTGCTAGGCTTGGAACTGCATGCTGAGTATGAATCCAAAATTTCATATTTATAGATATCTAACATTTATGGTCAAGCAATGGTATCTTTCTGAAATAAGCCATTCTAGTAGCATCTCATTTAATGAATCTCACTACTATCCAGTTTGAGAAAGGATGGCTGCTTTCATTATAGCACTGCTTAGTTATAGACAAAAAAATAAATCAACAAATCCACTGTAAGAATTTGTGACTTTTCTCCAGTTAGCCAGCAACTAAGTTATTTTGGGGGAAGCATAATATATTCTTTATATGGTAACTATATCTAAATACACGTTGAATAAGTATAACATTACATAAACTTATTTAAATTTGATATATTGTTCAAAATTATAGCTCTAAGATTTGAGGATATTTTAAAAACTGAATGTATACACGTGCCTTTAGAATTGGATTCCAACTTACGATGTGATCAAATTCCCATTCCTAGAGTTGGGCATGGGTGCCTGTAATCCCAGCTACTCAGGAGGCTGAGGCAGGAGGACTGCTTGAGGCTAGGAATTAGAGACCAGCCTAGGCAAAAAAAGTGAGACTCCATCTTTCAAGAAAAAGGAGAAAATAAATTCCCATTCCTAGACCTTATCCCAGTCCAAGCCAAGCCAGGGGCAAATACTAGAAGTAAACTGACGAAGTATCAAATCTGAGCAACCATTTCCATGGGTATCAGGTAGGAATATTCTGAAGTAGACCTGTATCCTTGTGTCTTAAGCATGGAGGCATCCAGGATTGGGATAAAATGAAAGAGATGTCATGAAGAAAGAGCTGAAAGCATTTTCAACAGTCTAATAAGACATGTTAATATGTAAATAACCATCTCCACACTAACCTGTGTGGTGTCTGGGAATGAGAACCATATATTCACATTGAATCTGCACCACAATTACCATAGTCAGCAACCAAATTCCTATAAAATTTATCCAGCTGTGGTTTTGTCAGAGGGAGATAAACCTTGGGGGAATTAATCAGGGGACCGCCTGAATTATTCTCCAGGCATTCCTATTTGTCACTGCTCCTCTCAGAGTGTGGTGCTCCAAACTGGATCCCATACTCCCCATGTGTCAGCTAACCAGGCAGACTACCTTTCCATATATTTCATAAATGTGATCTTAAATTATGTTAAGTTTTAATAGTCACACCACACAGCTAAAACACTTTCTACTGAGCAATTTAATTGACCCAAGTCTTTTGTACATGTTGCATAGGAAGCCCCATCTTCAACCATTGTATACTACTGCAGGGGTCCCCAGCCCCCGGGCTGTGGAGTGGTACGGGTCCAGTGACCTGCTAGTAACAGAGGAGGTGAGCAGTGGGTGAGAGAGCATTACTGCCTGAGCTCTGCCTACTGTCAGATCAGCAGCAGCACTGGATCTCACAGGAGCGTGAACCCTATTGCGAACTGTGCATTCGAGGGATCTAGGTTGTCCACTCCTTATGAGAACCTAATGCTTGATGGTCTGAGGTGGCACAGTTTCATCCTGAAACCATCCCCTGCCCTGCATGTCCCACCAGCCCTAGTCCGTGGAAAAACTGTCTTCCACGAAACTGGTCCCTCATGCCAAAAAGGTTGGGGTCTGCTGTATTACTGCATTTTGGGACGTGCCAGCAGGACTGAACAATTATTCCTATTCAATTCCTTCTGATTTAGACTCAGTATGTAGTATGGCATTTAAATTTTTTTACTTGGATCTTAATGCTGTTATCCAGTATACATCAGCTTCCCCTACCAGATTCCTGTCAACTACAAATCTGATTAGCAAGTCACACAGGTTTTCCTTTACTTCCTATTAAAAGTATGAATAGGTCAGGGAAGAGAGTACTGGAGCTTTCCAATAAAGCCTCTCTTCAATCTGTATTTTGTGTACAGTCATTAAATAACCACGAGGCCACCAGGCCACCTAACTGCATTATAGTATCACTGGTGGCGTACAGACTACTTTGACCTCATGACCCATGATGCACACATATTCATAAAAAGAAAACAAGAGTCACCAAATAGCACTTATACTTACTATGTAAAATTATACTGACATTCTTTATTCTATTTTGTTCTATCCTAGCCCTACTCCTTCCCTTCCTTGTAAATACTAGTCATAACCCACTAAGGGGATTTTATAAACCACTGATAAGATCGAACTTGCAGTTAGTAGAAGATTTAAAATCAATCTGAATAGCTCTTTTATACTAATGATAGCAACCATATTCACAATGCTGAACTTCTCCAATTACGGCAAAGCACAAAGACTTTATCATGATTTAAGACTTCAAATTAGAGGCTGGAGGTGGTGGCTCATACCTGTAATCCCAGCACTTTGGGAGGCCGAGGTGGGCGGATCACCCGAGGTCGGGAGTTCAAGACCAGCCTGACCAACATGCAGAAACCCCGTCTCTACTAAAAATACAAAATTAGCTGGGCGTGGTGGCGCATGCCTGTAATCCTAGCCACTTGGGAGGCTGAAGCAGGAGAATCGCTTGAACCCGGGAGGCGGAGGTTGTGGTGAGCAGAGATCGCGCCATTCCACTCCAGCCTGGGCAACAGGGCGAAACTCTGTCTCAAAAAAAAGACTTCAAATTATAGTTTCATATTACAAAGCATTATTTATTTAGAAACATCTGTAATACATGACTGATTTCTCTGAATATGTTAAAGGTCTTTTATCAATACAGATCTGCCATCTTTAGTTTTACCTACAATGATTTATTCACAGATACCCTAACAAATTAAGAGTTAAATTATCATATCTTTAGAACTAGTTTCAGAAAACGGGAACTTCAGCTATTTCTAGACAAATTAGCACTGTATTTTAAAATACAAAAGGTTAATCAATGTCCACATTTTAAAAATATCTATTTTCCTTCTGGTTAAATTTACTCTCACTTGCTACAAGGCTGTGTAAACATAGTCCATATGATCATGGGCAAACATCACAGCCTCACCCACATTTCGGTAAATAAGAAAAGCAAACAGTGAATCCTGCTCTTTTATAGAGATAATTCCTTTAAAAGAATACCTAAACAAATGAGAAAACTTGAAAGTTCAAGTATGGGGAAAAGGCCTTCCATAAAATTATTTTTGTGTCAAAGAATTAAGGTAGATTGGAAATGCTATGGTTCTAAAGTCATACCTGAGAGTGGTGAAATGATTTTTAGTTTTTCCTTTTAGTCATTCCAATGAATAACTATTCTGAAAAAAAGTTTTATTTGCAAAATTTATAACCTTAAACTTATTTCTACAGCATCAGATGTAAACCTGGAAAATCACTCTCCTTCAAGGTCTAAGCATTGCTATTTCTGTTCTGGCCAAATGCCCACAAAAGCACAAACATGCCACAAAACCAGCCTGAGCTAAACCACCATAGTAGGAGATTGGAAGGTTTCTTTTTAAACTGCTCAAAGGCTGTCGTATGGTGGTATTTAGTGTAAACAGACTTTTTCCAGCAGCAGTATTTAGAGTCACAGAATGCACAAGTACACAGCCCTGTAGATGATCACATAGAACATTCTACCCAAGGATAATTTCTGCTGAGAATTTTCCTAACCAATCAACATATTCTTTCCACTCCACTCCTCCACATCAACACACTAACTGGCATATGAAGCCTTGATCCTGATGAAATAATGAGGCTAAACAACACTGAACTTCAGAGGAAGTAACCAAACCTCATTTGCCAACTGACTGGTATGATCAAATATAAAAGCTCTTGCTTGTGTTTTTGGAGGAAAAAAGTTCCCAATCATACAGCCTAAACTCAGCTCATAAACCAAAAGATGAGAACTAAATGGCATGAATGATAAGTGGTACATATTCGCTAGGTGTTTCAGGACTTAGAATACAGCTGGGGAGAAAGGCACAAATACAGAAGACTTAAATCCATGGAAGACTAATAGGTACAGACAGGGCACTGTGTGCTGAAGGTCCCAGACTTCAGCGGAGACGTTTCTTGAACTGCGTTGTGTAGAATGAAAAATTTGGATAAGGGTCAGAAAATGTTTCACTGGAAGACTTTATGCAACAGTCTGAAGCATGATAAGGCGAGAAAAATGACTTTGTAATTTCGTCAAGCTCTGATGGGTAATAAAGTATCGGGTGAAAAAGCAGGCAGAAGGTGAAAAACCCAAGTGCTGTTTACAGAATAACCACATACCTTCTTTTATTGCTCAAAGAACATTCCACACTTTATGGAGTGGTGCTTTCCAGGTAAGTGTTGACATCATAATATAGTCAAACTGGAAAACTTGCTTTTTAATCTCAAAGCAGTATCTAAAATGCACAACAAAAGCATCTTATATCCAAGGGAACATAAAAATTTAAGTTTTAGTGAGAGGCCTAAAACCATTCAGGAAGAGGTACAATGGATACATTTACTTACATTAAAAACTTATTTTCCTCTACAAAAATTTTGAACATGGCATTTTATTTTTCCTTTACTATTTTGGCAGAAGAATATTACTAACACAAGTTAATGTGAGGACTAAACAAAATATTCGTGACAGCGCTCTGTAATCTCTAACAAACAGAGATGATCATTTTCGTGCAGGCCTCAAAAATCTATCCTTTGGATTTTTCTATCTCCCCAAATGCTGGGGTTATTGTTAACCATACGGCCAATCTCTCAGACTCATAGTGGCTTGAAAAGGAAGTTACATTGTTTAAAATTAGATTTTCTGCAGGTGTCCTGAGAGGGTAGCGGGGAGACAGGGTGAGCTTGTTCCATAACAGTGGGAGAACAGCAATCCAGGCACTGAAGTTTTGTCAAACTAAAATGACAGTAGCCATGATTCTGATAGTGGCTTTTAAGCCCATTCTAAGATCTGCAGCAGGTGAGGGTCTATCTTCTCTTCAGCCCAAACACCTCACTCTTATCAGTTTTACATATTGGGTTTCAGTGTCATCAATTTAAAAAATTTTTTCTAAAAATTACTTTAAAACTGTGTCTATTAAAAATGTCTGCATGTTGGGTGCAGAACTAGTTTCTGAGGAAAACACTAACCTGGACTCCAAGTCAACTTATGTAACTAGATTTGAAATCAAGTCCTGGTTAAGTTTTGAAAGGCAGATATTAGTGTTGGTTGCCATTCGAGCCAACTGTTAAAGCCAGAGCAGCTACCAGACACTCTAACCTTGGACCTCTCTGGTACTCAATTTTAATTAAAAGGTTGGCAGCATGAATCATTATAAAGGGCCACTTCCACAGCTCCAGAGCATCAGAAAAATGATTTAATTAAACTGCACTCTGGCCTAATACTATGTCTTTTACGTCTTGTACTAAGATACCTTAAACTTGAACTCAGGTACTTCATTTTTACAGACACTGTTGAGATCAGAGAAGGGTCAAGTTTTTGAGATTTTTTGACTCCCCTCCTTCCCCTCCTCCTGACCACGATTTGAGAAGTATATTAAGGACCCAGAGCTCGCATTAATAAAGGATCCACAGGGTCTCGATTACAGAAAATTATGCTTCTCCTAAGTGGTTGGCTTTCTTTTTATCTCATAAACTGTCTTGGATTTGCTCTTTCTTTCTTTGTTCTGGCTACTCAAAACTCAAAGCCAAATGTGTAGCTAGTGTAAAAGACATGCATTTGATACTAACCTTGTCCTGAGAATAATTTCATCTCTCCACTTTTTCCATTGCTTTTTATCTAACTCTCTGGGGTGACGTGGAAGATGAGACAGAAGGGGAGAAGAAAAAAAGAGAGAAGGAAACATATCCCTAATTTTCTCCATTTCCCTAAAATGACAGGCAAAGGACATGAAAAAATCTAATTTTAGCACGAGGGTGTAGCTTTTATCCTTACCACCATGCTAAATTTGTTAAATACTGTAAGATCTAGCATGTCAATATTCTCACTGCTGTAGAAATAGGTAACAATGTTACAGGGACATCCTGTCTGGGAAGAGATTACTACATTAAGTCAAACAGAGAAAATGTGGTAAAGCCATCAACATGTACAATGTGCAGCAAAAGAGGAGACTTCCACCATTTTTCTTGAGAGTCAAATACTTTCTATCCATGAGTAACAGCATACCAGCCCATGTGAACATGAGAGATGGTCGGCATAACTCTTCCATCTCTCAAAGAGCCCCTATGCAGTGTGCAATAACTGCTTAGTTGGTGTCGTTCTCCTTTCTGGTAAGTAAAGATGAATGAAAATACTTCCAAGTTTCTCAACATACTTTTCAAGCCCCTATTACATGCAAGCCATTACAGATATTAAAGTCTAAATGGTCTTTATATAAAAATATTTTTTTTGTTGTTGGGCATGGTAGCTCATGCCTGTAATCCCAGCACTTTGGGAGGCTGAGGTAGGTGGACTGGTTAAGCACAGGAGTTCAAGACCAGCCTGGGCACCACAGTGAGACCTGGTCTCTATAAAAAAATTTAAAACTTAGCTGAGTGTGGTGATGCGCACCTAGGGTTCCAGCTACTTGGGAGCCTGGGGTAGGAGGACTGCTTGAGCCAGTGAGGTCAAGGCTGCAGTGAGCCATGACTGCACCACTGCACTCCAGCCTGGGTGACAGAAGGAGACTCTGTCCCCCCCATCCCCCCAAATTATTTTTTAACTAGGTATACAAACCATTCATAAATTAAAATAATGGCTGAGCTGGGAGCAGTGGCTCATGCCTATAATCCCAGCACTTTGGGAGGCCGAGGCGGACGGATCACTTGAGGCCAGGAGTTCAAGACCAGCCTGGCCAACATGGTGAAACCCCATCTCTACTAAAAATACAAAAATAAGCCAGGCGTGGTGGCAAGTGCCTGTAATCCCAGCTGCTCAGGAGGCTGAGGCAGGAGAATTGCTTGAACCCGGGAGGCAGAGGTTGCAGTGAGCCGAGACTGCACCACTGCACTCCAGCCTGGGTGACAGAGCGACAACTCTCTCTCAAAAATAAAAAAATAAATAAAATAATGGCTGAGCTCTACTTGTAAACTGCGATTCCACATTCTACTCCAAACTCTCTAAGGAAATTAAGGAAAACAACAAGAATTCAAGGGGTATCAGGGCAGGCGACCAGCAAAGAGCACAATGTAAATGAAAAACAAGCCGATGAGATAAGCCAAAATGCTACCCAATCAACAAGTATTGGTCACTTGATGCTTTCCTATGATTCAACAGAAAACACAACCCCACCACCGCCACCAAATATTGGTGGTTTAGACCAGCAGACTAATAATGCAGAACAGTGTTCCACCCGGGTGGGGCACATATTCCAGTTCCTCCCTCCACAGTTGAGAGAATGTAAGTGCAGTGACTCCTTCGTCGGGGTGGAATGCCTCTGGGATCCTGTGGGCCAGCTCTTTAGACTCCCTCAGGCCTTCATGATACCTGTGGCCAAAAGCCCTAAAGCAGGGCCTACATTTAAGACTAACATGAGGACTAAAGGACAAAATAACAGGAATGAAGATGTGGTCTGGGTCAAATAACCAAGAAGTCTATGGATGTTTGATTTTGGACACCTAAACAAATGAGAGGGGAAGACGACAGACTCCACCAATCCTCGGAAGGGTCATAGGGTCATTCTATATCACCCCCAGAACCATTTCTTTCTGGCAACTCCCCCACTCACACATACCACTCACATAGCTCCAGTGGGTGGTACTATGGCCTTACCTGACCACATCCCTGCTGGCCTCAACAACCTAACCGAGAGGTTAGGGAGGGGCAAGCTAGACACTGAACAGGAAGTCAGTCTATCCAAAGGCTGAAGTTCCATGATACATATTTAGGAAATGCAGGTGGCCAGATTTTCTATCAGGTGGAAAAAACTAGTCTGCACAGAGATCAAGGGGCGAATAAGCAAGGAAATGCAGTAGGAAACAGACAGTCTTAAAAGTGCCTGTATTCTTGGTTCCAGCTTTTGAGACCCAGATGCACCTCTTCCTTTTCCCCAAAATAAAATTTTACTAAATCTCTGTTTTGTTGGAAAAAATGAGTTCCAATTAATACAAGGGGCCACCTCTAAGGGCAGGGGTCAGATCTTTCTCCTCTTCACCTTTTAGAGGGCCAAACTGGCCTAGTGCGGGCTGCGAGTGGCAATGTCTTATTCTTCCATATACTCTGCATATCTACTTTTGGGGATGGATATCTGAAATGTGTCATTAACAGGGGAAGAAACAAAGAAAAAAATTAAAGTGTAAAAACAGTATGTCTATTTTCACAAATTGAGAACAAAGTTCAAGATTATATAAGCAAATGCAAATTAAATGTAATTTTTCCCCTGGCTATCCTAAACTCAACTCCCAAAACGATCTTGTGAAACTCCTGGTATTTCCCTTGGAAACATTTGCTCTAAAACTTGGAAGGGATATGGAAAATAAAGAATTAAACATTATATAAATATGTAAGTATAGGAATACTGCTACACTGTCTCCTTAAACAGTCCTTTTTTAGAGTTATAAGGCATCCAGTAACAACCATTTAAAATCTGCAACTCCCCAATTTCTCTTTCAATAGTTCCTGAGAAGCTACTTATGGGAGAGTGAAGGAAGAGAGAATCTGGGCAAAAACAGTGTTTACATTTAGAATCTCCTTTCAAACAAAGTCGAATACTTTAGAGCCAGAAGTGCTAACAGCATATAGCTCTCATTGAGAAGGAAGAAAAGTCAAGGCAATCTACTGAAAACCCTTTTAGTTTCAAGGAAGGAATGCTACAGCTCCAGAAGCAACACCTGAGAATCAAACTACCTTGGGGGTATGTGGGGGGACATCCGAGGACCTGATACGACAGCCTTACATCTTTAACACCAAAAAAATGAGAGGAGGGGGTCAAAAAACAGCTAGTCTTGCAACTGCTGAATGGTCAGATGACAATTTATCATCCAAACTAGGGCAAATTGGAGAATGAAGGGGGGCACGATGAATAAATACATCAGGACAACAGGCATAAATGTGTGCTGTCTGGGAAGTCAGGACACTTGGCCACCCCTACTAATCTGTGACTATTTTGACTCCCCTATGACTAGTCAACTTTCCTGTGCATGTCCATTTCTCAATCTAGCAAAGACAGAGCACCCTCTACTTAAAGTAGGGTGCAACAGGGTAACCTGCACATAAATATTTGTTAGTCCTGGTTGAAAAAAATTCCATATTTAAAATTTTTTTTAATTGTCAGTGATAACGTAAAGAAGTCTCTCTTGGCAGTATTTAATACTTCAAATCAGTAAATATCTACAATTCTCAAGATTTATTGGGGATTATGCCTATGTCATGAAATAAATAACTTTTCAACCTCCCACTAACCACACTGACCCAGGCCAGGTGGGCAACTAGTTGCCATTTCTCCTACAGGCACACACTTCATTATCATCATCATTTATCCCATCCTGCTCTCATTGCTGAATAATCAGAACAGGCTGATCTAACTGATCTCATTCCCCCAGCGGCAAGAATCTAAACACGAGTTTTTTCTCCCTACTGAATCTTTGAGCGATTTTACCCTGATTCATGCACCCCTATATTTGAAAATTAACAATAAATGCATTTACATACATGACCCTAGACAGCAAGGGCCATCTTCATGTACTCCTCACAAGGTGGGATACAACTGAAAATAACAGATTATGTCTGTAGGCACACATTAGTTTTAAACAAAGATGAGGTAGAAGATGTTTCCTAAAACCCAAGTAAGGGGTCTTAAAACTGACTGATAAACCTGAAACTGAGTTCTCCTGTTAAGAGATAATTTCGGCCGGGCGCGGTGGCTCACGCCAGTAATCCCAGCACTTTGGGAGGCCGAGGTGGGTGGATCACGAGGTCAGGAGATTGAGACCATCCTGGCTAACACAGTGAAACACCGTCTCCACTAAAAAATACAAAAAATTAGCCGCGCGTGGTGGCAGGCGCCTGTAGTCCCAGCTACTTGGGAGGCTGAGGCAGGAGAATGGCGTGGACCCGGGAGGCGGAGCTTGCAGTGAGCCAAGATAGCGCCACTGCCCTCCAGCTTGGGTGAGAGTGAGACAGTCCCCCTCCCCCGCCAAAAAAAAAAAAGAGAGAGATAATTTCACCAAGCTCTCAGCTCTCTCTCCTTTGACCACTCACTAAGACAGTCTTAGAACTAATTCTACTTTCTGTAGATTTAGGATACTCCATTAAATGGGGTGTACCAATAAAATCAGTGCAGGATAAACTGGACTTGTTGGAACATTTTTAACAACACGAAGTTCGAAAAAGCTAACTATTTTCTTCTCCACTCAATAGCTAAAATAGCTAGATGTTTTAAATATTAGCTTTATTGAGATAAAATTCACACATCATACAATTCAGCATACAATTCAGCTGGGCATGGTGGCTCACATCATAATCCCAGCACTTTGGGAGGCCTAGGCAGGAGAATTGCCTAAGGCCAGTTCAAGACTAGGCTGGGCAACATAGCAAGACCCCGTGTCTACAAGAAATTTAAAAATTAGGTGTGCAGGTGCTCGTCTGTAGTCCTAGCTACTTGAGAGGCTGAGGAGGGACGATTACTTGAGCCCTGACGTTTGAGGCTACAGTGAGCTATGATGACACTAATGCACTCACAGCCTCGGTGACAGTGAGACTTTGTCTCAAAAAAAGTATTTTGAAGCATAAAATCCAATAATTTTCAGTATATTCAGAGTTAAGCAATCACCACCACAATCAATAAAACAGCTAGATTTTTTAAGACACCGAAGATCACTTGTAGTAAGAATGAAAAAGGAATTTTATTTTTTTCCTGGTTTACATGAGTATATTAACAACCTGGCTATATACGGGACCAAACTCTTTCCCAGAAAGGCCCTACCAGCAGTATATGAGATCGTCTTGCCTTATGCATCTCAATGCAACCCTACTTGCATTAAGCATTACTACTTGTTAAAATCTCTAATAGCACCCCCCATTGTTTTATTTACATTTACTTTATTTAGCCACTATCTGATCTGGCTGTTCACTTGGCCAGTGTTTTAGCCTTTAACTTGCTTGAAAGGCAGCATGCTTTAAGGATTAAGACCATCTCTTATCAGACACCAGTTTAAATCCCAGCTCTGCTGTTTAGTAGAGGTATGAACCAAAATCTGGGGATAAAACATTGACCTTTTGTATCTCAATTAGTTATAAAATGACTGTTAAAATTTTAACATGAATAAAATGCCTAGGGCAGCATTTGAAACATAAAAGGAGCTTACTAATAAATGGCAGTTATCAGTTTGTATAAGCTTTTACTATACTGAGGTAAATGTCAACACTTCGGCCATCATCGCACAAATTTTTTTCACACATTTTTCTTAGTTCTTTTCTTCTATCACTCGACAGCAATGAAAATAAACCTGCTTTTTCATCCAATGGATATTCATATAAGTTTTCTTGGCCGGGCGCAGTGGCTCATGCCTGTAATCCCAGCACTTTGGGAGGCCGAGGCAGGTGGATCACCTGAGGTCAGCAGTTCGAGACCTGCCTGGCCAACATGATGGAACCCTGTCTCTACTAAAAATACAAAAATTAGCCGGGTGTGGTGGCAGGTGCCTATAATCCCAGCTACTCAGGAGGCTGAGGCAGGAAATCACTTGAACCCAGGAGGCGGAGGTTGCAGTGAGCCGAGGTCGCACCACTGCACTACAGCCTGGGGCACAAGAGCGAGACTTGGTCTCAAAAAAAAAAAAAAAAGAAAAGTTTTCTTCTAATGTATAGTTTTTAGTCATTCTCCCAACAGATATATTTTCATATAAAGGGTAGCTTAATTATCACAATTCATTTTCCCAAAGAATAACCAATCATTTAAAAATATTTTGCTCTAGCCTGGGCAACATGGTGAAACCCTGCAAAAACTACAAAAATTAACTCGGTGTGGTGGTGTGCACCTGCAGTCCCAGCTACTCGAGAGGCTGAGGTGAAAGATCACTTGAGCCTAGGAGGTCGAGGCTGAAGTGAACCATGATCGTGCCGCTGAACTCTAGCCTGGGTGACAGGGCAAGATTCTGTCTAAAATTATAAGAAAAAATTTTTTTCTAAATAATCCTTTTTCTCCACTAATGTGTGATGTTGCTTATGTAGCAGGCTCATATGTATCTTTTACTGTGTTCCATAAGTCAACTTTTTAAAATATCTGACAGTATTCTCTGGCCAATACTACACTGATTCAACCTGGAAAAATTTTCTCATTTGTTCTTAAGTCTTTTTTCACTTAAATTTATAGTTTTCTTTGTAAAAATCTCAAATATTTATAGATTTCCTCACCCTGGGCATTTCATTTTTTATTGCTATAATGAATGAGGTTTTCGCTCAAGATTTTTCATAGCCAAGTGCTACCAATTATTAAATATCTTTATGTGGTATAAAACCATCTTACTAAACTTTTTTTTTTTTTTTCCTTAAGACAGTTTCATTCTTGTTGTCCAAGCTGGAGATCTTGGCTAACTGCAACCTCCACCTCCCGGGTTCAAGCTGTTCTCCTGCCTCAGCCTCCTGAGTAGCTGGGATTACAGGCACATGCCACCACGCCCAGCTGATTTTTTTGTATTTTTAGTAGGGATGGGGTTTCACCATGTTGGCCAGGCTGGTTTGAACTCCTGACCTCAGGTGATCCACCCACCTCAGCCTCCCAAAGTGCTGGGGATTCCAGGCGTGAGCCACCACGCCGGGCACTAAACTCTTATTTTTAACTCTTGATTTGATTCTCTTGGTTTTCCCAGGTTTAAAATTGTGACTGTCTGCAAATACTGCTATATTCCACCAGTTTCCAATAGTTAAGTCTTTTATTTGATGTATTCTTGCACTGGCCAAGACATTATCAAACATCAGTGTTACTGGGCATCTTTGTTTTGTTTTCTGATTTCAAGTGTTCATAAAACAAGAAGAACTGTTTAACACTGCTATCTTGGCACATATTGGGATGATATAGCCAGAGGTTAAATACTAGCTGGTGCAAACCGCCCAAGGGTTCAAAACCAGGCTCTGTGGCTAATTTGCAACTAATCTTTGGGCAGACTATTTAACCTTTTGGCCTATATTTCATAATGTGTAAAATAAGCATAATCTCTTTCTTCAGGCTGAGGGGATTAATTGAGATAATGTAAGTGCTTAAAACACTTACTTGGCACACAGTAAATACCAGGTTTTGTCTTCTTTGACAATTTCATATTTAATTAGTTTTGCTGGTGTTTTACTTAGAATGTTCTTGGCTTCTGTATGTGCATCTGGGGCCGGGTGCAATGCTTCATGCCTGTAATTCCAGCATTTTGGGAGGACAAGGCAGGAGGACTGCTTGAGCCCAGGAGTTCGAGACCAATCTAGGAAACAAAATGAGATCCCGTCTCCACAAAAAATTTAAAAAATTATAGCTGGGTGTGGTGGCACATGCCTGTAGCCCTAGCTACTCAGGAGGCCAAGGCAGGAGGATTGCTTAAGCCTAGGGGTTCGGGGCTACAGTAAACTATGATTGCGCCACTGCACTCCAGAATGGGTGATAAAGCAAGACCCTGTCTCAAAAAAACATATAAAAGATAAATTGGGGCAGGGTGCGACGGCTCATGCCTATAATCCCAGCACTTTGGGAAGCTGAGGCAGGTGGATTGCTCTGAGCTCAGGCGTTCAAGACCAGCCTGGACAACATGGCAAAACACGATTTCTACAAAAATTAGCTGGGCATGGTGGCTCACCCCTGTAATCCCAGCTACTTGGGAGGCTGAGGCTGGAGAATCACTTGAACTTGGGTGGAAGAGTTGCAGTGAGCAGGAAAAAAAAAAAAGATAAATTTGGAATATAGTTTTCATCCTTTGTAATGTCTTACCAGGTTGCTGTTCTTATATTTTGTATTTTATTAGGTTTTTAAGAGTTTAGGCTAGTTTTTATTTATTTATTTATTTATTTATTTTTGAGACGGAGTCTCACTCTATCGCCCATGCTGGAGTGCAGTGGTGTGATTTCAGCTCACTGCAACCTCCACTTCCCAGGTTCAAGCAATTCTCCTGTCTCAGCCGCCGAGTAGCTGGGACTACAGGCGTGCGCCACCACACCCAGCTAATTTTTGTATTTTTAGTAGAGACTGGGTTTCACCATGTTGACCAGGCTGGTCTTGAACTCCTGACCTCAGGTGATCTTCCTGCCTCGGCCTCCCAAAGTGCTGGGATTCCAGGCGTGAGCCACCACACCTGGCCTGGGCTAGTTTTGTAACATGAATTTGGTATCTTTTGGTATTCTAGGATCTAGAATAAATCTAGTTTATGTTTTTTGAAACTTTTAAAGAGAACATATAATTTATATATGGGTATTTATGTTAGGTATATCATTTATATAAGAGTATATAATTTCTATGCTAACTGGGTCTGGAGCACTCCTTCCCCTAGCTGGTTGCGAGGGCATGGCCTTTAATATATATTTAATATATTCCATGAGTTAAGGCCAGGCACAGAGGCTTACACCTGTAATCGCAACACTTTAGGGAGGCCAAGGCAAATGGATCACTGGAGCCCAGTTCTGGACCAGCCTAGGCAACATAGCAAAACCCCATCTCTACAAAAAATACAAAAAAATTAGCTGGGTATGGTGGTGCACACCTGTAGTCCCAGCCACTCAGGAAGCTGAGGAGGGAGGATCACTCAAGCCCAGAAGGTTGAGGCTACAGTGAGCCAAGACTGCGCCACCGCACTCCAGCGTGGGTGATAGAGCAAGACCCTGTCTCAAAAAAAAAAAAAAAAGAAAAAGAAAAAAAAATACACACACACACACACACACACACACACACACACACGGTTAACAATCTATTCAAGTGCTCTACTTCTTAAATACATACTTATTTAAATATTTACACACATTTAAAATATCCCCCGCCCCTCCCTTTTAGCTTCCATAAGGGTACCCGCTTCCAATTTATATATATTTAAATATTTACATATATTATTAAATATGGTTAACAATCTATTCAAGTGTTCTACTTCTTAAGACAATTCTGAAAAGCAATCAGTTCCACCTTCATGATTAGCTCTTCCAAAGTTGTGCATGACACACAAATTTAGACCCAGTGTCTACAGTTACTTGGTCACTTTCTTCTGGATATACTCCTATGTCTTGTTCCTCTTCCCTCTCCGTATTTCTTATTATTCCTTCCTCTTCTCAATGATAACAAAAGCCTCCATAAAAGACAGTCTTTTGACCTTTTCAAACACCAAAGGGCATCAGCATACAATCTCGTATGCTAAGCACCCTGATTCCTGTCTTCCTTTCACTATATTTAAAAAGTCCGGGAGCTTCCATAAGATTAAAAAAGAAAAAACATTCCCCGCCCCTCCCTTTCAGCTTCTGTAGGGAAGGGTTGCCCTCTTTCCATCAACTCAGTTTCCAATCACTATGTGAACAAGACCAAGACTAGCCTTTGAGTAAATGAATAGGTTAGCAACAATCTTAAAGAACAGAAATGGATGATTTTAACAATATAAAAACAGAAGGTATTTACACTTTGCTGTTTACATACAGGAAGATGCTAACAGTTCCTAGTTCCTTCCTGCCTACATGGGAAGGTTAAGGCACAGGGATGCAGGCCACTGTACCTGTGACTAATGTGCCATATGTGACTTATGTGCCAAAGCATATTAGATAACTATAATGAACACAAGTAAAAGGATCCTATAAAAACATCAAAATGAGACCAGGTGCAGTGGCTCATGCCTGTAATCCCAGCACTTTGGGAGTCCGAAGTGGGCAGCTCACTTGAGGCCAGGAGTTCAAGACCAGCCTGGCCAACACAGCGAAACCCCATCTCTACTGGAAAAAAAAAAATACAAAAAATTAGCCGGGCATGGTAGCATGCACCTGTAATCCCAGCTACTCAGGAGGCTAAGGCACGAGAATTGCTTGAATCCAGGAGGCAGAGGTTGCAGTGAGCCGAGATCATGCCACTGCACTCCAGCCTAGGTAACAGAGAGAGACTCCGTCTAAAAAAAAAAATTAATTAAATTAAAAAGCAAAAACATCAAAATGACTTTCAAGTCCTAGAAAATATTCCAATTTAAATTGTGCAATTTAATATTTTCAGATAATCTCAAATATGGAAGAACTATGCATTCTTTCAGCAATCCTATCCTGCCCCATCCTTATCTCAGACATTTAATAGAATCCTACTAAAAAAGGAAATAGTTAATAAATAAATGGATGTAGCTTCTAGAAATCAACACTTAGCTAGGTATTCTGGCAATCAACATCAAGTGCAGTCTGATGATTTGTAGATTCCATCTTTTCCTTTTATGGAAAAACTGTACTTTTAACTTTCCTAATTTTCTTGCATGGCTCCATTTCATCACAGCTCCTCAAAGATCACTGACAGCAACTCAGTAAAGAGAAATGAAAGTTCTTTGTGTCCTGAGACATCAAACATCCTGACCAGGAGACTTGACCTCATCTGTTTCTGTATCAGAAATGTCCTATGTTCCAGGATGATTCTACATTCCAGTATCATGTGGTAGAGGCAGCATGGTAGGTTGCAAGTTCAAGCTCTGTGACCTGGGTTTCAAATCTAGGACCCCTTTCTACATGTATAACTTCGGGCCAATTACACAATTTGCTTGGTTTTCCCCATTACTTACCTAAAAATATGAGGACAAAATTTGATATTAAAAAGGGCTGTTAAAAGATTAAACGGGAGGTATCCGCAGGAGTGGCCGGGTGGCGGGAGGAACCGTTACGGGAACTGAAGTTGCGGATTAAGCCTGATCAAGATGACAACCTCCCAAAAGCACCGAGACTTCGTGGCAGAGCCCATGGGGGAGAAGCCAGTGGGGAGCCTGGCTGGGATTGGTGAAGTCCTGGGCAAGAAGCTGGAGGAAAGGGGCTTTGACAAGGCCTACGTTGTCCTTGGCCAGTTTCTGGTGCTAAAGAAAGATGAAGACCTCTACCGGGAATGGCTGAAAGACACTTGTGGCGCCAGCGCCAAGCAGTCCCGGGACTGCCTTCGAGAGTGGTGCGACGCCTTCTTGTGATGCTCTCTGGGAAGCTCTCAATCCCCAGCCCTCAACCAGAGTTTGCAGCCGAGTAGGGACTCCTCCCCTGTCCTCTACGAAGGAAAAGATTGCTATTGTTGTACTCACCTCCGACGTACTCCGGGGTCTTTTGGGAGTTTTCTCCCCTAACCATTTCAACTTTTTTTTGGATTCTCGCTCTTGCATGCCTCCCCCGTCCTTTTTCCCTTGCCAGTTCCCTGGTGACAGTTACCAGCTTTCCTGAATGGATTCCCGGCCCCATCCCTCACCCCCACCCTCACTTTCAATCCGTTTGATACCATTTGGCTCCTTTTTTGGCACAACAGTCACTGTCCTTGTAAAGTTTTTTAGATCAATAAAGTCAGTGGCTTTCAAAAAAAAAAAAAAAAAAGATTAAACGAGGTAAACTACTCATAGAGGTTTTTTTTTTTTTTTTTTTGGTGAGCGTGTGTGTTTTTTTTAGATGGAGTTTCACTCTTTGTTGCCCAGGCTGGAGTGCAATGGCGCGATCTTGGCTCACCGCAACCTCCGCCTCCAGGGTTCAAGTGATTCTCCTGCCTCAGCCTCCCAAGTAGCTGGGATTATAGGCATGTGCCACCATGCCCGGCTAATTTTGTATTTTTAGTGGAGGCGGGATTTCTCCATGTTGGTCAGGCTGGTCTCGAACTCCTGACCTCAGGTGATCCGCCCACCTCGGCCTCCCAAAGTGCTGGGATTACAGGGGCGAGCCACCGTGCCCGGCCCATAGAGGTCTTAAACAATGTATCAGCAGCTAACATACCTGTGCTAAAACATACCTGTGCTATGTTAGCAATTATTTACTTTTTACCACATGCCTCCTGTTCACACAAGTACAGAATCTTTATGCCTTTATGCTATCTTCTTTTTTTTTTTTTTTGAGACAGTCTTGGTCTGTCACCCAGGCTGGAGTGCAGTGGCGCAATCTCGGCGCGCTGCAACCTCCACCTCCCGGGTTCAAGCAATTCTTATGCCTCAGCCTCCCAAGTAGCTAGGATTACAGGTGTGCGTCACCACACTCAGCTAATTTTTGTATTTTTAGCAGAGACAGGGTTTCACCATGTTGCCCAGGCTGGTCTCAAACTCCTAAAGGCCTCAAGGGATCCACCAACCTCAGCCTCCCAAAGTGTTGGAATTACAGGTGCGAGCCACCACGCCAGACCCTCTTTATGCTATTTGCATACTGAATTGGTATGTGGCGGTGACGCTGATTGGAACCTCTTATTTCAGCAACTTCAGGTCACACTGAAGACAAACTGGGGAATAAAAGAAACAAACTGAGAAACACCTCAAATTGCCTCAGTAGTGACATTAATATATGAAGTAGCCAGCTATGTTTGAGATAATGGGAACCCTTGGCCAAACAATGCACCAGGGCATGGAGAGGGCAGGGCAAGACATACGCTGAGTTCTTTCTCCTCCTACCCTCTCTAATCTTCTGCCCAGGGCTTCCATTGGCTAAACCCAACCAAAGCCCAACCAGTAGGCAGGGGGTTCTGGGTGCCATGGTGACAGCATGGTCCTTCAAGGACAGTGTGGGGCACTAAAAGGAGCAAAAGGGTCTGGGAGGTGAGACAACTGGAGGATCAGCTCAAAGGCAACACACTCCAGGAACGTAGAGATGAAGACACACCTACTGCAGAAGGGGCAGCAAGATTTCTCTGATGTGGCAAGAATGTTGAATCAGAGACTTGCTTGTCTTCCTGTGTTTGGGGGAGGTTCAACCTTAACATTTAAGTGGGGTGGGTTCAGGAAGCCCACAGCAGAGAAATTAAAATGAAGTGTTTAAACCAGAAAGAAAAAAAAAAAGATAATGGGAAATCAGGCTCCCACTATCGTAAATCCCCTGTAAATGTCCCTTTTCTTAGGTCAGGACACAAAATTAAACCCCCAATGGCAATATAAAATATTGAGGATGGGCAAACTCACCAAACCTGCAGAAACGTGGATAAAACAGGAAACAGTAACTTTTATTTTTTTATTTTAATGAATTAAAACTACAAGAAAGCTAAATTAATAGGTTACAGGTATGAACATATTTGTATTTAATTACATGCTTATAAAGATTTTTAAAAAAGGCTTGAAAAGCTGCTAAAGTATTCATTCTTTTAACAAAATTGAAAATTAAGAAAGTTAAAAAGGAATAGTTTTAAAACTATATAATAATATAGCATAAAGCTCGGCAACCGAGAGTCAATTTGCAACTGAGACAAAACAACTTTAAGTGGCTCCTTTTCGCTATTTTTAAAACTTACTATTTCAGAGGGCTGAGATCACAACAAATGATACATCCAACTAGAGATCAAGAGTCTAGCTTTACTTGGAGGTTGCTTAAACACTTCTAAAGTCTTAAAATATTTTTCAAAGTACGTATAGTACAGCAGAAAGAATTTGAGACTTCAGCCATCATAAAAGCTAAAATGTATTGGACACTTACAGCACACTATCAGACACGCTATGCATGGCATTCTTACTGAATCCTCACAACTACTTTATGTATAGGTTCTATTATTGCTATGTTACAAATGAGAAAGCTGAGGAAAAAGAGGCATTAAACACCCTGCCCAACAACACACAACCAAGGTTTAAATCCAGAATTTATGGCCAGAGTCCCTCCCATCTCATCTCTACACTGAGCTTTAGTTTTCTCACTTATAAAACAGTTTGGAGCTGGGCAAGGTGGCTCAAGCCTGTAATCCCAGCATTCTGGGATGCTGAGGCAGGAGGATCGCTTGAGCCCAGGAGTTTGAGGCCAGCCTGGGCAATATAGTGAGACCCCGTCTCTACAAAAAATATTTTTTAAATAGAAAAATGAAAGTTTGTATGGTATATTCTCACTCTAACTAAGTTTATAAATTCATGTAACCTTGTAGTGTCTCTCAAATTGCATGCTGATTTTAGTAGTTCATAAAAAGCATTAAGAAATAAAATAGAAAGTATTAGAATGCATTCTATGTAGTAAGACCTAAGTACTGTTTCATGAAATTTCTTTTTCAGTTTTGAGAGTGTGTGTATGTGTTGGGTCACTGGTCAAAAATATAATTTCTCACTGCAGGCTGAAATTAAAAAAAAAAAAAAAGGCTTGGTGAAAGCCACTACAATCTTAGTTGAATTCCAACTGACAAAAAATTATCATCCGAATTAGTAAGTAAATGCTTTGAATGCCATACTAGTAAGTATGCAAATAAGAGGGTTTCCTAACCTGTGTTCCAGTAGAACCTTTCTTCAAGATGTTTGTGGGTATTTCCTGGGGGGGAGGGTGTGTTCTTTTGACCAAATAAACTTGAAGGAAGGAAATATAATGTGCAGTATTTCTCAATTTGCCAATACACACTACTAAAAACTCTGACAAGCTCTGCAGAAAAACAGTAACACAATCACCATCAAAAATAAAACTCTGTTTAACTATGTTTAACCCAGTGTTTTCCCAAGTTGAAATCTCACCCTGGAACCTCTCCTACAAACAACTAATCTCTCTAAGACTGGCAGTCTACAAAACACAATTTGGGAAACACGGCTTTACGTGGAACTTATCTGCGAAAAGGGGATCCTCATAACCTTCAATTATCATGGTATGTAAATCACTTTCAAATAAGCACAAATATAGCTGAGATAAAAAGATAAACAGAAAAAATTGTATTTTGGTTAAGTATTTCATCTCTGTTAAGCAAGTTTGCTTTTTCTTTTTTCTTTTGAGATGGAGTTTCCCTCTGTTGCCCAGGCTGGAGCGCAGTGGCACTATCTTGGCTCACTGCAACCTCCACCCCCAGGGCTCAAGCGATTCTCCTGCCTCAGCCTTCTAAGTAGCTGGGATTACAGGCACCTGACACCATGCCCAGCTAATTTTTGTATTTTTAGTAGAGACATGGTTTCGCCACGTTGGCCAGGCAGGTCTTGAACTCCTGACCTTAAGTGATCTGCCCACCTTGGTCTCCCAAAGTGCTGGGATTACAGGCACGAGCCACCATGCTGGCTGCAAAAGTTTTCTTATACTACCACACAGCTGTATCATTTAATATTTATAGAAAGAACGTATTATTATACTCTGAAAACATGAGGTGGGGAAGAGGGGAGGGAAGATAAATTTTAAAAGGTAAGAAACAAAAATCCTCTATCCAAATAAATTACAATCTAGAGACACGAAACTTACATACATAGGAAAAACTTATAACTCACCAATGCTGAACAGCGATGAAACCATACTGTAACTAGAGAGATGGGAGCCAAAAGAGTATCTACATGGGTCATGTTAACGGCCTGAGTTTCTGTCTCCCTGCTATAGAATCTAAAAGTAAATGAACTGGCTGGCTGATGATATGCCATCAAAGCAGGAAAAAACTTGTTTACTGAGCTCCTTGAGGCCTGGCCTTTAGTACCTAGCATAAGGGGCATTAAAAACTGCTTAAGCCTGGCGCGGTGGCTCACGCCTGTAACCCCAGCACTTTGGGAGGCCGAGGTGGGCGGATCACAAGGTCAGGAGTTCAAGACCAGCCTGGCCAACATGGTGAAACCCCGTCTAAAATTAGCCATGCATGGTGGCGCGCACCTGTAATCCCAGCTACTCGGGAAGCTGAGGTAGGAGAATCGCTTGAACCCGGGAGGCGGAGGTTGCAGTGAGCCGAGATCACGCCATTGCACTCCAGCCTGGGCGACAGAGGGAGACTCCATCCTGGGAAACAAACAAACAAACAACTTGTGGACCAAATTAATAATAGACATTTGAGGATGTATGAATGCTAATGGGTGGTGAATATCACCCTTATCTCTTACCAGTGATAGAATCCCGAGCTGCAAAGAACCCTGTGATCTAAGCCAGGATGCCACCTTTACATAGGTAGGGGATTAATACCAACCACAGCCAAAGCATGTTCTTTACATTCCCAAATTTAATTCTACATTTTTGGTTCTTTCTTTCCCACTCTCATTGCCTTTTGTTAATGTTTTTCCTTCCCCTAAAACACACAACTCGCCCAACTTTACAACACAATTGTGACAACGAAACTGATGTGAGGCTTGAGGACTTGTTAATAAATAGACTGACTTACTAAGCTTGTACTTTACAACCATAAAACATTTAGTTCTTAACTATTTATTCATAAGCACAAAGGTAGAACATTTGAAAATACACATTTTGATGTTATTCTCATTACCCTAAGCAGAGAACTTCAGTACTGTGAAATAACACTACCATCTGACCAACTGGGAGAAAAAAGGTTAAAGCACAGTCACATGCCATAAAGTACTCAGACTGCAAGACCACCAGCAAAAGGGGAGGGAACCAGTGCAGGAGAAAAAGGCAAGTCAGAAGCCTACATACAAATCACTGAAAATAAGGGTAAGAGAATTTAAGGGGTTTTCAATCTGGGGCCCTTGGTATAATAATGGGATGACTGAAGCCCAGAGAGATGGAGTTACTTGTACAGAGTGACAACATAATTAGCCATGGAGTCAGGACCCAGCCCAGATCTTTCGATTCCCAGGCTTCTGTGTTTCCCACTGTAACACAGGCCTCCCATCTTCTCTACAAGAATAATGTAGAAATTAAATACTATCTACTGGCCTAACTAAACTATAAGCCACTAATCAAATTATGACTATACAACGAAAGCATTTATAATAAACCATCTCTTTTAGATTGTAATGTGGTTACTGCTTGGAAACCTATTAAAATCCAAATTCGGATCTATTTATAAACCTCCATTCTAAAATACTAATTCAAAACTGCTCAGCAAGGAAAATAAAATTATTTCATGAGGGAGTCATACCCTATTTCAGGGAGCACATATTTTGAAGTGAGGCAGACCTGAGTTCAAATTCTGGCTCAACTGTGCAATGTTTGTGTTATCCTGGACAAACCCTCCACTTTGGTTTCCCATCAATGATGTTGGGGACAATACTACCTAAGAGGTTTGCCCAACATTTAGTGGACCTAAACGGTAATTTGTTCCCCCAAGCTAACTAATTTTTGTTAATTTTCCTTGATTCTTTGTCTATTTCGACTTCTAACTTCATACACGCCTCCCAAATCACTTGCCAGCTACATCACAAATATTATGAATATTAGTATATTAAACCTTAAAAAAGAATTATATGACAAAGAACATTTAATATATTTTGAATACAACCTTTGTAAATGTTAGTGAAAAGGTCCAAAAGAAGACATTACTGCATAAAGTATGATACTTAATTCAAGTAAACTGGACAAAGAATGAAGAAAACCAGGCTCCAGATTCAGTCCTGTGGCTAATAAGCCATAAAACCCTAGAAAAGAGACTTCACTTTGCAGAAAGCTACACCTGTTACTGCTCAAAGTGAACCAAACTCTGCTCTAGTTACGGTGGGCCTCAGTGTTCCCACCTGCAGAAAGAACCATTCTGCCTAGGTTGTTTCTGAAGTTCTAAAGTTTCTCCCCCCTGGAAAAGCCTATCATGAGCATCACAAAACTTATGTCTAGGCATCTGATACACGGCAGCACATCAGATGTAGCAACTCATTTAATCGTCCTACAACCCTCTCAGATATGGTCTACTATTACCATCCAAGGAATTCAAGCTAGACAGAAGGAACTTAAGGTTATAGAGCCCACAGCAGAGGAATGAGGGTTCAAAATCTAGGCAGTCTGGCTGCACCTGCGCTTTTAACCACTGGCTAACACTACCTCTCCAAATTCTATAAACCTAAAAGCGGGCCTTAACTACAGACATGTAAACAGAAACCTGTCCAAGTATTTCTTCCTAGTGCCTCAATACAGCTGATATATAATCTACTGTGGAGGGAGACAACAGTGACTAGCATGTTAATAGTCAGTACACTGTAAAGAGCAAGTTACAGTTCATGAGACAAGATCACAAAGTAGGAACTTAATTAAGATCAAGATACACAATGTATGTTTTGTTTCTCAAATGTATTACCAAATAAAGTGTGTGATCTTTTAACAGTATCATACTTCCGTGGTCCTCAACAATTTTTGCTGGATAATGCTCCCAAAGAATAATTACCATATAAAAACAAACTGCCACTAAATAATGGCTAGATTTTCCCCATCTTTGAAACATGCATATGAATACACACATAAACAAGCAAACACAATCTATAACTTAAACACTATATTCTGAGTACCAAGACAAAAGCTATTAAAGATCATACAAATAGGTATGCACTGGATATGGTCAACATGAAGGGCCAAGGCAGGATTTACCTCCCTCCTTTGGAGCCACTTCACACCCGAATGACCTCCCGCAATTCTCTGCATGCCATCCTGCCTTCCTCTGCAGGCTTAACATCACAGCTGCTATAAACCACAATTCTGCTGTCCCCTCACCCCTTCTGTTTTAAAAGTTAAAAGCACAGTGGGACTGGGAAGCTCAGTGAGACAGAAATGGCACAACACCCCCCAAAAATGCAGATGGCAACTAGCTGTTAACCTGATTTCATCACCACCAGTCTATGATCTGCCACCTAGGCCTGTAGTAACTCTTCTCATAATCCTCGGAGGGCCTGAGAAACAGAGGCAGAACACTGATCATTTTATTCACAGACTGTTCTACTCTACAAATGGTGACGGCAGAAGTATTTGCTTCACTTTGCTCTGCCCCCATATTCCGGACTGTAGAGATGAGGGGAGTTGAGTCCAGTCTCTCTTTCTCACTGCAAGACACCCTTGCAGGAGAATTTTTTAAAAAGTAGTGGTTGGGATCCGGTCGGAAAGTCACTAAGGGCACAGAACGTACGAACTCTCACACAGCTCAATTCCTTCTGTAATTAAAGAAGGCTCTAATACAAGTCTTCTTACAATGGCCAAAAGATACTGATGACTAAATTGCTATGCAAATTTAGATTACCTGACTTCATAATAATGCCAGATCTTTACACCTCAGTAATAACAAGTCACAAGTAATTTAACCCAGAGATTCAGATTTGATATTTTTTCCCCACAATTTTATCAAAGTGTGTAAAAAAAAATGTTTACCAGTTTTTCTGTTATCCAAATTAATCCACCTTCCACAGTCCCATTTCTGTAACATGTAAAGACGTTCATAAAATCAAATGCCCAATTAAAAGAAGCAATGAAAAAGAGGAAAATGAATTTTTATTTTTATTATTTTTATTTTATATATACATTTTTTGAGATGGGGTATCACTCTGTCACCTCAGGCTGCAATGCAGTGATCAAAATTCACTGAGGCTGCAAATTCCTGGGCTCAGGCAATCCCTCCTGCCTCAGCCTCTTGAGTAGCTAGGACAACAGGCACACACACCACCATGCCCGGCTAATTTTTTATTTTTGTGGATATAGGGTCTTGCTATGTTGCTCAGATCGGCCTCCAACTCTTGGGCTCAAGCAATCCTCCCACCTTGGCCTCCCAAAGCACTGGGATTATAGGAGTGAGCTACCCCGCTCGGCCTGACCTTTTAAAATAGGGCTGGAGGCCAGTGTGGTCAGGCCTATAATCCCAGTGCTTTGGGAGGCTGGGGCAGGAGGATGGCATAAGCCCAGGAGTTCAAGACCAGCCTGGGCAACAGAATGAGACACCATCTCTTTTAATTAAAACATTTTTTAAATTAAAAAATAAAATAGAGCTGGAATAGAAACAATGCCAGAAAGGTAAACAAAAGACAATACCTGAAACAAAATTCGTCCTACTACTGAATTTTATTTTTGGGGGTTGGGGAGGTTGGATTTGTGTATTTTCATGGCAGATGGCTAAACTGTGAGTGATTAGTCATCAATCTGGAAAAAAGGCTCTTGGGAAAGTATGGCAATAACTAAAGAAATCTGTAATCCCACAAAAGTTGATCAAAACAGAAAACTTTAGTAAATATTCCAAGGTAATAAAGACCCTGTGTGGCATACGTATTTGCAATATACAAACATTCAAATAAAATCAAGTTACCAAACCCCATACTTATACTGGACTTTCTTAGCAGTTCTTCTACATTAACTTTAGGAAACGTATACAGCCTTACTCAGCATCTTACTTCATACGTGATGAAACAGAAACAGAGATCTTATTAATACACCTTAGAATGTAAAATACATGGGAAAAAACTGACTTAGTACAAGAACCTGAAGTAGAAAATGCTAATGAAGGGAAGTAAGCTGCCTTGAAATAAAAAAACAGATATCCAGGCAAGCGTGGTGGCTCACGCCTGTAATCCCTGCACTTTGGGAGGACAAGGCGAGATTACTTGAGCCCAGCAGTTCAAGACCAGCCTGGGAAACATGGCAAGACCCTGTCTCTATAAAAATACAAAAATTAGCCGGATGTGATGGTACGAGCCTGTGGTCCCGTCTACAGGAGGCTGAGGTGAGAGGATGGCTTGAGCCCAGGAGGTTGAGGTTGCAGTGAGCCATGTTCGCACCACTGCACTCCGGCCTGAGCGACCGAGTGAGAACCTGTCTCAAAAAACAAAACAAAACCAAAAAGGCAAATACCACCCATTTGTTATAGTAGCAAACCATTTCATGAAATATTCTATGCTTATATCCAGCCTGAGTCTTCGTGATGTCATGTTCAAAAAATAGTTAACCTATATGGATGGCCCTAGTGTAGAGACTATTTTTCAGGAGCGAAGTGGGGAGTGGGAAGGGACACTGCATCGCCGTCTGTGGGGGATGGTATACCAGCCATGACAGTAATCTTTTGACAACATCCCTTTAAAAGTCCATTCACTCCTATAGCAGAGATCTGTGTGCTTTCTTCCTCTTCCACACCTCATGACAACACACATCCTGCCAAGAAAAACTTTATTCAACAAGCAAGAGGATCCAAGTCTTACAGAGAAAGAAACATACTTCAAACAAGAAACTTTCAGAAAAAGTTCTGTCCACACTAGTAGTTATTAAGCCTAACTACTGCATTTCATCTGAGGTAAATAATACAACCTTGTCAGGAAAACATAACATGCTTAGAAGACTTCCATTGTTGAGTAAAAATTTTTTATATGAAGATATTTAATGACAAGAAAAGCTTAATAAGAGATGTGTGTGTGTATACATATGCATACAATATATTTCATTATGCAAAGAAAAAATACACAGAAAAAGACTGGAAAGAAAATACGCAAAAATGTTAGCAGTAACCAAATCTAAGTGGTAAGATTATAGAAAATGTTTTAAAGATTTTCTAGCACTCCCTGAATTTTGGAAGCTTTGACAAAGATCATGTATTATTTTGAAAAGCAGAAAATTTTTAAACTGCAAAAAGGTGGCATTCACTTGTCATACACGCAAACAAGTGCAAGCTTACAAAACTTAGGCCCTAAGCTGCTTTCACAGATCGTATATTCTAGATTTCGAATACAGCTGCTAATTACTTCCTAACAATTTGAACAAACTACAAAATAAAGCTAAACACTTTCACTTCTGGCTCTACTATAAAGATTTCATAATAAAATAAAATATAAAAACAAAGTTTTACCTTTCTGTAAAAGGTCTACGTCTGGCTTTCTACAGCAGAATATTACTAACCATTTTTTAAAAATCATCAATTTATGTTATTTTACACAAATGCCACCTCAAAGAATGTAGGTTTAGCTTAGTAATTCCAAAGTACATACGCCTAATACAAAGTGCAAGAAGTTTTTATGCACTGTAGCGAACGCACAAATAGAAACACCTTCTGTGTGCAGATGAGCTTATTTTATAGACACCTTTCCATTACCTCTTAAGAGCCTGATATCTAATGAAGCTTTCTGCAAAGGTACTTTGCTTAGCCTGGGCATGGATTTACTTGATTATCTGGGAAGCTGTCAAAATCGATCTGAAACTGCATTACATTCAAGGCACAGAATGTCAACTCCTGACTGGGCCTCCTCCTCTCTCCTTTCACAAGAGCGCCTTTAATATCCCCTAGCCTACATTTCCGGGCTCATGAGTCACTGAGAAATGAGCTCTAAGTTTCTCTTAGAATGCTGCTCAAATAGCTCCTCTACAGCATTCAAGGATCTGGCCCCAAAATACCTCTTTAGCCCAATACCCCCCGCCCCCTGCACCATGCCAACAAACGGAATTATCCATGATTTCTAGGCTTTGTCTTCTCGCTTTTGCTACCCCTTCCACACACCTCTTCTGCAATCCTCCTCTCCTAAATCCCATCAGGCCTTCAAGACTCTGCTCAGCATCCCCCGCCCAGGAAGCCTTCCAGGTTTCTGCGAGGCAGAAGTGATCGGTTCGGTTTTTCCGGGTGCCGTTCTAGCACTCCGTCGTTCTTTCACAGGACTTATCACCTCCTTCCCGGTATCGCAGTTATTTGTGTTCTCGTCTTATCTCTCACACCAGAGCCTAAGCTCCTCGGGGGAGGGGACCGGGGCCCGCTTCACCTTTGAATCCCTCCGGTGCGGGCCGACTACGGCGCCTGCACGCAGTCTGCGCTTGGGGTGGTTCCATTGAACTCCAGAACGCTCCGACCGCCCAATTCCTAACCAGAAATCAGTTAGGCATTTTCCTGAATTGGTCACAAAGCTGGTATCTGCCTCCCGACAACAGGAAGTTTACCAGGGGCGGGAGCGAGGCGCTGAAGCCCGGGTGCAGCCGGTGACAGTTGACCCGGCCCGCACTTCCCCGCCCGCCCGACTCCGGCCCGGACCACCACGCGCCGCCAGCCCCGCCAGAGAACCACGGGGGGAGAGGCAGGAGCGCCTGGACTGCAGGCCCCCGGGCGCCCCACGCCGGCGAAGGCAAAGGGAGCGTCTCAGCGAGGGACCGGAGCCGAGCCGGGCGGAGAGGGCAGGCTGGGCCCGGCTGCTCCCGGGGGCTCCGGGGACAAGCTGGGCCGGGGCCGCCGCCACCCAGGAAAATGGAGGCAGCCCCGGGGCCGGTGAGGGCCCAGCGGGGCAGGCGGAAGCCGGGCAGGCGTCCGCACCACGAGCAGGGCCGGCCGGGGGTCACTCACGGGGCTGGGCCGGGCGTTCCCTTCTCTGCCTCCGCGTCGTCGCTGTCCCCGTCCTCGGCCGCCGCCGCTTCGGGCTGCTCGTTCGGTCCCCGCGGAGTGGCTCGGACGCTCGGCCCCTCCGTTGTCTTCCGCCCGCTCCTGCTCCCGGCGACGGGCTCCCGCGGCGGCGGCGGCTGCGCGGGCGGACGGCTGCCCAGGGGCTCCCGCGGCTGCCGCCGCGCTGCTGCGCTCGCTTGGGCTGCGGCTGCTGCTGTGGGGCCCGGCGCCGCCTTAGTCTTCGCCTGTGCCCCCGCCCCGGCGCCTGAAGGCTCTGTGTCTCCCAGGCCGCGCCGCTCCCCGAACCCCTCGCCCCGCTTGCGGCCCGAGCCCGGCTTTGACGTGCGCACTGCGCAGCCGCCGAGGACGCGACGTCGGGCGGTGCCGCAACGCCCCCTTCCGCCTCGGGCGCCCCCGAGCGGCCGGCGGACTCAGGGCGCCGCAAGTAGGCGCGAGGCCCGAGCGGGAGGGGCCGCAGAGAAAAGCAGAAGCCAAGCCCCGCAGTTCCTCTTCCTCCGCCGCAGCTTCCAAGGCGGGGCTCAGCCCTTTCTCCTCCGCCTGAGCGCTCTTACTGCGGGAATCGCACGCCCACTTTCAACGACCACTTCCTCAACTCTTCAAGCTTAATTCTGCGAGAGGCCGGGATCCCACTTTGTGCAGACCGATTCTTACTTTCTTGGAGCAGATCGCTTCATTTTAGCATCCAGGGGGACACAGCATCCAGGGGGACAAGTGCCAGAACGTTCCAGATTAATGGGAATATTCCTATTTAAATCAGCAACCTGGATTTAAGTCCTGCTCCACCATTTGCTATCTATGGGCTGTTTCACGTCCCTGTGCCTGGATTTCCTCACACATTAAAAAAAAAAGTGTGTAATAATATAGTGGTACCAGCCACGGGCTTCTGAGGATGAACGGGACAGTGCATTGCAAAGCTCTGACAACGGAGCCTGGCACATACAAATGCCATATGTGTGTATTTTTGTTTCTTTGTTTTTAATGTGTAACTGAACTACTTTTTAAGCGCCTCCTGTACGTCAGGGATGGGGCAGTGAGCGAAACAGTCCATGCTCCTAGCACAAACAGTTGACAAATAATTGACTAATAAACCTACAGGTATGTATAATACTGGACAATTGGGCCAGGCGCGGTGGCTCACGCCTGTAATCCCAGCACTTTGGGAGGCCGAGGTGGGCGGATCACGAGGTCAGGAGTTCAAGACCAGCCTGGCCAACACCGTGAAACCCCATCTCTACTAAAAATACAAAAAACAATTAGCCGGGCGTGGTGGCGGGCGTCTGTATTCCCAGGTACTTAGGAGGCTGAGGCAGGAGAATCGCTTGAACCCGGGAGGCGGAGGTTACAGTGAGCCGAGATCGCGCCACTGCACTCCAGCCTGGGCGACGCAGCGAGACTATCTCCAAAAAACAAAAACAAAACAAACAAAAAACAACAACAAAAAAACAAATACTGGACAGTTAAAAACACCACTGGGTGAGGAGGGGAGAGAAAGCAGGGTGTTGTTATTTACAGTGTTCATTCAGGGAGCAGCTTCCTGGAGAGAGAGAGCCTGGGAGCTTTCTGTATGGAAAGGCAGAGGGAATAGCAGGACCAAGGCCCTGAGGCGAGAATCTGCTGGCTTGAAAGCGGCCCCAGATAGGGGAAGAGATGAGGAAGAAGTGCGGCCCTACCAACCAAAGTTAGGACTTCCTGTTTTTACTCTCAAGGAGATGGGAAGCAATTTGAAGGGTTGCGAGCAGAGAAAGGACGTGGAATGACATTTCAGGAGGATCCCTGTGGCTGTGGTATGAGGACCAGACTGAAAGCCCTGAGGGTTTCAGCAGGGGGACCAGCGAGAAGCCTGTTGAAATCAGCCAGCCAAAAGATAAGACTGTCCGGCCGGGCGTGGTGGCTCGCACCTGTAACCCCAGCACTTTGGAAGGCCGAAGCAGGGGGATCACCTGAGGTCAGGAGTTCGAGACCAGTCTGACCAGTATGTTGAAACCCCGTCTCTACTACAAATACAAAAATAACCCCAGCTACTTGGGAGGCTGAGGCTGGAGAATTGCTTGAACCCGGGAGGCGGAGGTTGCAGTGAGCCGAAATCGCGCCACTGCACTCCAGCCTGGGCGATAGAGGGAGACTCCATCTCAAAAAAAAAAAAAAAAAAAAAAAAAGATAAGGCTCTGTCCAGGGTGGTGGCAGTAGAAGAGTAAAATGATCACCTGTAGACACGTTTAAAAGGTGGCTCACGCCTGGAATCCCAACACTTTGGGAGTCCAAGGTGGGAGGATCATTTGAGGTCAGTTCGAGATCACCATGCCCAACATGGTGAAACCCTGTCTCTACTAAAAACACAAAAATTAGCTGGGCATGGTGGCGGGCACCTGTAATCCCAGCTATTCGGGAGGCTGAGACAGGAGAATCGCTTGAACCCGGGAGGCAAAGGTTGCAGTAAGGGGAGATTGCAATGAGCCAAGATTGTGCCACTGCACTCCAGCCTGGGCAATAGAGCAGTACTCAGTCTCAATAATAATAATAATAATAAAAGGTGGCTCACGCTTGTAATCCCACCACTTTGGGAGGCAGAGGAGGAAGGATCACTTGAGGCCAGGAGTTGGAGACCAGTCTGGGCAACATAGTGAGACTCCTGTCTCTAGAAAAAAAAATTAGCCAGGCGTGGTAGCATGTGCCTGTAGTCCCAGCTACTCCAGAGGCTGAGGTGGGAGGATCACTTAAGCCTGGAGAGTCGGGGCTACGGTGAGCTGTGACTGTGCCACTGTCACTCCAGCCTGGGCCACAGAGTGAGACCCTGACTCAAGAAAAAAAATAAATAAATAAAGGGTAAAGCTAAAAGGATTTTCCTGATTTCTAATTTTTTTTTTTCTCAAGCAACTGGAAAATACAATTTGGTGATATGGGGAAAATTTAAGCAGAAACAGATGTGAAGGGAGGAACTTGGAAATTTACTTAGGGACATACAAAGTTTGAGCTGCCTGTTGGACACCCAAGTTGGAAGTTGGACTTAAGAGTTCAGAGGAGAAGTCCTGGCGCGGTGGCTCACGCCTGTAATCCTAGCACTTTGGGAGGCTGAGGCAGGCGGATCACCTGTGGTCAGGAGTTGGAGACCAGCCTGACTAACATGGTGAAACCCCGTCTCTAATAAAAATACAAAAATTAGCCGGGTGTGGTGGCGTGCGCCAGTGGTCCGAGCTACTCTGGAGACTGAGGCAGGAGAATTGCTTGAACCTGGGAGGCAGAGGTTGCATTGAGCTGAGATTGCGCCACTGCACTCCAGTCTGGGTGACAGAGCGAGACTCGGCTCAAAAAAAAAAAAAAAAAAAAAAAAAGAAGACTTCAGAGGAGAAGTCTGGGCCACAGACAGAATTTAGGTGGTTCTCAGAGTAGGTAAAACCTCTGAATTCAGTGAGATCCTTTAGGATGTGAGTGTTACTACTAAGCCCAGTCCCCCAACAATGACAGGTCAGGGAATGGTAAGGAACCAGCAAAGAACCCTGAGAGGGAGGAGCCAGTTTGGTAGGAAGAGATCCAGGAAAATCTGGCCAGGTGAGGGGGCTCATGCCTATAATCCTGGCACCTTGAGAGGCAGAGGCAGGTGGATCACTTGAGGCCAGGAGGTCGAAACTAGTCTGGCCAACATGGTGAAACCCCATCTCTACCAAAAATACAAAAATTAGCAGGGCGTGGTGTTGCATGGCTGTAATCCCAGCTATTCCGGAGAGTGAGGCAGGAGAATTGCTTGAACCCAGGAGATGGAGGTTTCAGTGAGCTGAGATCACACCACTGCCGTCCAGCCTGGGTGACAGAGGGAGACTATGTTAAAAAAAAAAAAAAGAAAGAGAAGGAAAGAAGATCTCAGGTGATCCACTCAGGTGATCTCTACTAAATACAAAAAATTAGCCAGGCGTGGTGGCACATGCCTATAATCCCAGCTACTTGGGAGGCTGAGGCAGGAGAATCGCTTGAACCTGGGAGTTGGAAGTTGCAGTGAGCCGAGATTGTGCCGTTGCACTCCAGCCTGGGCAACAAGAGTGAGACTCTGTCTCAAAAAAAAAAAAAAAAAAAAAAAAAAGCCGAGCACGGTAGCTCACGCCTGTAATCCCAGCACTTTGAGAAGCCAAGGCGGGTGGATCACCTGAGGTCGGGAGTTCAAGACCATCCTGACCAACATGGAGAAACCCCATCTCTACTAAAAATACAAAATTAGCCGGGCATGGTGGCATGTGCCTGTAATCCCAGCTACTTGGGAGGCTGAGGCAGGAGAATCACTTGAACCCAGGAGGCGGAGGTTGCCGTGAGCCGAGATCGCGGCATTGCACTCCAGCCTGGGCAACAAGAGCAAAACTCCGTCTCAAAAGCAGGAGAGGAGGAGAAGGAAGGGGCGGGGAGGGGAGTCCCTAGAAAGAATGGGGGCCCTGGAAAGAAACCATTGGTTTAGACAACATTTTCATGAAGTTTTGTTTCTAATGAGGAGCAGAGAAATGGGGTGATGGCTGGAGGGGAATGTGGGGTCCGAGCAAATGTTTCGTTTTATTTCATTTTGTTTTGTTTTTAGATTGGGAGCTCTTCCAATGTGCTTAAATGCTGGTGGGAATGATTCAGTCGTAAGGGAAAATGTGATGATGAGGGTTGGGGGGTGTTTTCTGGAGAGCTGTCCCTGATTGAGTGAGAAGGGAAAGACGCAGAGTGCACTGGAAGGTCTGGCCTTGAATAGGAGCAAGGCAGGTGAGGTCACGGTTCCAAGAGGGCAGGCAGAATGTGGGCACGAGGCAGAGATCCAGGTAGACGAGGTTCCTGGAACTTGTGGACAGTCCCTTCTGAGGGCTTCGATTTCCTCAGGGAAACAGGAAGAACAGTCATTCATTCGCTCAGTGCAGAGAGGGAGGAGGTGTTGGAAGTTCCAGGGGAGAGGAGCAGGTGTAAAGGACCAGTTGGCAGGCTTATTCCATGTTTTTTAGCAGCCACATTTTGCTGGGAAGGTGGGGAATCTATTCCACCAGGGTTGTTTTTGCTAGATAATTCCATGGAGGGAAACAGGGGAAAGGAAGGTGAAGGTACAATAAGGAAGTAATAATTATGGTGGACTGTTAAATCCACACCTGTCCAGGAGGGAATGAGGAAGGGTTGTGGGCAGTGGGGGGAGAGAGGCCCATGTAGAAGTGGCAGGATCAACGGATGGTTGGAATCAGCACGGTAAGGGAGTGAGCTGGAAGGAAGAACATGCTGGTTGGAGAGCCAGGTCGCTTGCTCCCGAGATTATGGAAGGAGTGGTTTTCAGGAATGATAAGGCCTAGGGCAACTTCTCGAACTATGTGAATTTATAATGTGCATTTCCAGGGGCTCTTGAAGAAATGTAGATAATGGTTTTAGTGGTCTGGAGTGGACCCCTGATTCTGCATTTCTAACAAGCTGAGATGGGAAGGGGTGGAGGAAGATACTGATTTTTTGTTTGTTTGTTTGTTTGTTTGTTTGAAACGGAGTCTCTCTGTGTCACCCAGGCTGGAGTGCAGTGGTGCAGTCTCGGCTCACTACAACCTCTGCCTGTCGGGTTCAAGCAATTGTCCTCCCTGAGCCTCCCAAGTAGCTGGAATTACAGGCGCCTGCCACCACGCCAGGCTAATCTTTGTATTTTTAGTAGAGATGGGGCTTCACCATGTTGGCCAGGCTGATCTCGAACTCCTGACTTCAGGTGATCCACCCACCTCGGTCTCCCAAAGTGCTGGGATTACAGGCGTGAGCCACTGCATCCTGCCAGATACTGATGTTATTCTGATTATTGGCATGATACCAAAACCTCAATAAATGCAACACACAAAAAAGAAAACTAGACTAACCTTGCTCATGAACCTAGATAGGCAGATAGATGGAAAACTTAACTACAAAATATGAAATGTAAGAAAAATGTCAGCACGTTTAAAGTCCATCCCAACCAAGCCCAGCCGTTACGCCGAGAAGGAGGCCTACAGGGGCTGTGGGGCTGGACTCAGAGAGAAATCAGCTGAGGAAACATCCTGCAGCCCTGGAAGTGAGGAGGTGCAAGTTTGCCGATGTCCCTCGGTTCCTCTTTGCTAACCGTGAAAGGGTGGAAGGAAGGTGACCAGCCCACAGGTCAGACTGCAAGTGATGTCGAATTTTGAAACTTTTTTCATTAGGACTTTTTTTTTTAAGATGAGAGTTCTTTGTAACTGTTGTCCCAAAGAGAGGCTTTTATTGTGCTGACATTTCACAAAAACAAGTGTGGACCCAATTTCCCACAGAAAAAAAGAATGCACAGGGGTGGATAATCCCATATACAGGGTTTTAATTGCTTCGCTTTAAGGATCAGAGTAAGATTCCAGATTAATGTCTTAACTGGGAGAAACAGCTGAGAATTGTAGCAGTAAGACAGTAGACATTTCTGATACAGGGGTTTGTAACAAATTCTGAAACCAAACTGGAAGAAATCATGTCGTTTGACCACTTGAATGTACACTGGGAGACATCTTCTAAACCCTTCTATTGGGCTCTCTGGGAAGACCTTTCTATTAAAATGCTTCTCTGTAGACACAACCACTTTCTAGAAAATTCTCCCACCTGTTCATCATGAAATCCTTTTGAACGGAGGCCCTTCATTCTCTAATGAGGGCCCACAGATCTCAGGGTTATAAGGCAGTGCCATGATTCTCGTTGAGTCACTGCTGGCTCTCTGTGTATCTTCCATCACTTTCATTTCCCTTCCTCTCCCCGTGCAGCTTGGAATTAGGATGAAGGCACCTCCCTGCCTTAATCAGACCATCTATGAAAGGACTTTGGAGCCTGACTCACAGCTTCCCTCCCCACCCCACCTGGTGCCTGACCTGACTTCTCCTGGGCAACACCAAGTGCCACTCATCCCATCTATGGGGTCATAGTTGCCTTGTATTCTCTGCTCCAGTGACCTTCAATTCTACTCCACTTCAAAAACCACTTGTTTAGCCCCACCCTGGATACTGCACCAGAAGGACTCTACCTTTGAAGCATGAACTCTAGTTATCTCTTTCGCCTCCCATCCTTCCACCCTACCCACACCCTCAGACTCACCAAACCTGCTGTAAATCTCAATGAAACTTTGTTTATTCAACAAATACTTATTGAGAGTAAAAATTACTGAGCACAAACAGTGAGAATGAGACATTGAACACTGTGTGGTCCTTGCTCTCAGTGAGCTTATAGTCCAGGAAAGACACACAAGAAAATAGGCAACTACAAAAGAGTGAGATAAGAAACACGAATAAGATTTAGTCAAGTGAAGATGGGGTTAAATGTTCAAGGAAAATCATGCAAATAACACCAAAAACATGGTGAACTTAGGGAACTTCATATGGGTAGTTAATTATATAAAGCTTAGAGTTTGAGGAAGGGAATTGGCACCGATAAAGTTGGAGCGATAAGCAAAGGGCCAGTCTTGAACAGCCATATCATCCATATTAAGGAGATTGGGTTTCAACATGAAGATAGTGGGGGTGGGTTAGGTAGGTGGGCATTGAACCTTTAAGCCATTGAGTGACACACTCAAATGTGTACTATAGATTTGGAAACACCACTCTGATCCTGGTGTGTGCTGTGGCTGAGAGGAAGGCCAGATTGAAGGCCGTGAGACCAGCAGGGAGCTGTTCTCATTCTGGGAAGGGGTAATGAGGGCCTGAGCTAGGATTGCAGCAATGGGCATAGGTAAAAGTGAATCCATTAGAAAAAAAATATTTATAAGGTAAGTACTTGGTGTTCTGATGGATGTAGAAGTCTAGGATGTGAGGTCAGGAGTTCGAGACCAACATGGCCAACCAACATGGCCAACCAACATGGCCAACCAACATAGTGAAACCCCATCTCTACTAAAAATACAAAAATTTGCTGGGTGTGGTGGCATGAGCCTGTCATCCCAGCTACTTGGGAGGCTGAGGCGGGAGAATTGGTTGAACCCGGGAGGCAGAGGTTACAGTGAGCCAAGATCATGCCATTGCACTCCAGCCTGGGCAACAGAGTGAGACTCCTTCTCAGAAAAAAAAAAAAAAGTCTAGGATGAAAACCAGGCTTTGCCAGGCACAGTGGCTCATGCCTGCAATCCCAGCACTTTGGGAGGCTGAGGCAGGTGGATCACCTGAGGTCAGGAGTTTGAGACCAGCCTGATCAACATGGTGAAACCCCCTCTCTACTAAAAATACAAAATTAGCCACGTGTGGTGGCATGTGCCTGTAATCCCAGCTACTTGGGAGGCTGAGGCAGGAGAATCACTTGAACCCAGGAGCCAGAGGTTGCAGTGAGCCGAGATCACACCATTGCACTCCAGCCTGGGCAACAAGATTGAAACTCTGTCTAAAAAAAATAAAGAAAGAAAAAAAGGAAAAGCAGGCCAGGCGCGGTGGCTCATGCCTGTAGTCCAGCACTTTGGGAGGCCGAGGCGGGCGAATCATGAGGTGAGAAGATTGAGACCATCCAGGCCAACATGGTAAAGCCCCATCCCTATGAAAAATAAAAAAACTAGCTGGGCGTGGTGGCGCATGCCTGTAGTCCCAGCTACTTGGGAAGCTGAGGCAGGAGAATCGCTTGAACTCGGGAGGCGGATGTTGCAGTGAGCTGAGATCTCACCACTGTACTCCAGCCTAAAGACAGAGCAAGACTCCGTCTCAAAAAAAAAAAAAAAAAAAAAAAAGAAGCTTCCAGTGATCATCCTCCCTGCAGAAACACCAAACTGAGCAACTAACCCCACAAAAAAGCACCTTCCTGAGAACCAAAAATCAAGTGAGAGATTATAGCACCTGGTTTAAACTTCATATCACTGAAAGAGGCACTGAAGAGGGTAGGAAAGATAGTCTTGAATTGCTGATGTTCCCTATTCCCCCATCCCCTGGCAGCAACCATGGGGCACGAAGAGAATCTGTGGTCTTGGGTGAGGGAGAGCACAGTGATTGCAGGATTTTGCATTTCCAGCTGTGGTGGCTATGGGGAGAGAACCATCTGCTTGAGGAAAGGAGTGGGAAGAGTAAAGGGGACTTTGGCAACTTAGGTATCAGCTCAGCCTCAGGGGAGCAGAGCACCAAACAGGCTTTTAGAGTCCCTGATTCTAGGCCGTGGCTCTTGGATGGCATTTCTGGACCTGCCCTGGACCAGAGGGGAGTCTACTGCCCTGAAAGGTGAGTCCTAAGCCTGGCAGCATTCACGGTAAGCTGATTGACGAGCTCTTGGGCCTTGAATGAACATTGGCAGTGGCCAGGCAGTACTTAACTGTGGGCCACGGTGGAATAGAGCATCAGATAGACTCTTAAGGTTTCCTACTCCAGGCCTTGCCTCCCGGATGGCCTCTCTGGACCTCTTTGGGACCAGGGGGATCTTGCTGCCCTCAAGGGAAGGACATGTGCCTGGCTGGTTTTATCACCCAATGATTGTAGAACCCCAGGGCCTTGAGGGAACATAGGTGGTAGCCAGGCAATGGTTACTGTGGGTCTTGGGCATGACCCAGTGCTGTGCAGGCTTCGGGTCTGACCCAGCACAGTCCCAGTGGTGGTGGCCACAGTGGTGCTTTGTGTCACCCCTCCCCCAGTTCCAAGCAGCTTAGCACAGAGAGAAAGAGACTCTGAAAGAAAGTAAAGGGGCTGGGCACAGTGGCTCACGCCTGTGATCCCAGCACTTTGGGAGTCTGAGGAGAGAGGATCACTTGAGCCCAGGAGTTCAAGACCAGCCTGGGCAACATAGCAAAACCCCATCTCTACAAAACATACAAAAATTAGCCTGGCCTGGTGGCGCATGCTTGTAATCCCAGCTACTCGAGAGGCTGAGGCATGAGAATTGCTTGAACCCGGAAGGTGGAGGTTGCGGTGAGCTGAGATCACACTACTGCACTCCAGCCTGGGCAACAGAGTGAGACTCTGTCTGGAAAAAAAAAAAAAAAAAGAAGAAAGACAGAAAGAGAGAAAGGGAGAAAGAGAGAAAGAAAAGGAAGAGAACAAGATTCTCTGCCTGGTAATTCAGATAATTCTTCCAGCTCTTATCCAAGACCACCAAGGCGGTACCTCTATGAGTGAGTCTACATGAGTTGCAGCATTGCTGGGTTTGGAGTGCCCCCTAATATAGACACGGTAGCAGTGACCAAAAACTTAGATTACAACACCCAAGTCCCTTCAAATACCTGGAAATTTTCCCAAAAAGGATGGGTACAAACAAACCCGGACTGCAAAGACTACAATAAATATCTAACTCTTCAATGCCCAGAAACCAGAAAATATCCACAAGCATCAAGACCGTCCAGGAAAACAGCTCGTCAAACAAACTAAATAAGACATCAGGGACCAGTCCTGGAGAGACAGAGATATGGGAACTTTCAGACAGACAATTCAAAATAGCTATTTTGAAGAAACTCAATAAAATTCAAGATAACACAGAGAAGGAATTCAGAATACTATCAGATAAATTTAACAAAGAGATTGAAATCATTAAAAAGAATCAAGCAGAAATTCTGGAGTTGAAAAACACAACTGACATGCTGAAGAATACATCAGAGTCTCCTACCAGCAGAATTGATCAAGCAGAAGAAAGAATTAGTGAGCTTGGAGACAGGCTATTTGAAAATAGAGGAGACAAAAGAAAAAAAAAATTAAAAAGAATGAAGTATGCCGGCTGGGTGCGGTGGGTCACACCCGTAAACCCAGCACTTTGGGATGCTGAGGTGGGTGGATCACCTGAGGTCAGGAGTTCGAGATCAGCCTGATCAACCTGGAGAAATCCTGTTTCTACTAAAAATACAAAAAATAAAAATAAAAATAGCCAGGTGTGGTGGTGCATGCCTGTAATCCCAGCTACCCGGGAGGCTGAGGCTGGAGAATCGCTTGAACCCGGGAGGTGGAGGTTGCAGTGAGCCAAGATCATACCACTGCACTCCAGCCTGGGCAACAAGAGCAAAAACTCCATCTCAAAAAAAAAAAAAAAAAAAAAAAAAAAAAAAGAAACGTGCCTACAGGATCTAGAAAATAACCACAAAAGGACAAATCTAAGAGTTGCTGGCCTTAAAGAGGAGGTAGAGAGAGAGTTAAAAGTGGAAGGTTTATTGAAAGGGATAATAACAGGGAACCTCTCAAATGTAGAGAAAGATATCAGTATTCCAGTACAAGATGGTTATAGAACACCAAGCAGATTTAACCCAAATAAGACTACCTCAAGACATTTAATAATAAAACTCCCAAAAGTCAAGGATAAAAAAAATGATCCCAAAAGCACCAACAGAAAAGAGACAAATAATATACAATGGAGCTCCTATATGCCTGGCAGCAGACTTCCAAGTCTTCTTTACAGGCCGGGAGAGAGTGGGATGACATATTTAAAGTGCTGAAGGAGGCCGGGCATGGTGGCTCATGCCTATAATCCCAGTACTTTGGGAAGCCGAGGCAGGCAGATCACTTGAGGTCAGGAGTTCAAGACTAGCCTGGTCAACATGATGAAAACCTGCCTCTACTAAACATACAAAAATTAGCTGGGCATGATGGTGCATGCCTGTAGTCCCAGCTATAGGGGAGGCTGAGAATCACTTGAACCCGGGAGGCAGAGGTTGCAGTGGGCGGAGATTGTGCCACTGCACTCCAGCCTGGGTGACCTAGCAAGACTCTATCTCAAAGAAAAAAAAAAAATCAAAAAAATTGAAATAATGTCAAGTCATCTTCTCTGACCATAATGAAATAAAACTAGAAACCAATAATGATAGGAATTTTGGAAACGATACAAATACATGGAAATGAAACAATATGCTACTGAGTGACCAGTGGGTCAATGAAAAAATTCAGAAGGAAAGTGAAAAATTTCTTGAAACAAATGAAAATGGAAACACAACATAAAAAAACTTAAGGGATACAGCAAACACAATACTAAGAGGAAAGTTTGTAGCTATAAACGCCTGCATCAGAAAGCTACAGAAGGTTCTAGAAAAGAGAATTTTGTCATGGTCAAGGCTTACTAAGATTTGATGGACTTATTTATGATTTTTTAAAAGAGCTTTACTATCAAATATACTGATACAAAACTAGAATTTTTCTCTCTGTTAAAATGAGAAAAGTATTGGTCTGTCCTTATTAAGTAGTGTGTGGTAGACTGAACAATGCCTCTCCTCCACCCCCAAGATGTCCACATCCTAATCCCTGGAACCTGTGAATACGTGACCTTAGGTGGTAAAGGGAACTTTGTAGAAGTGATTAAGATCCTTGAAGTGGGGAAATTATCCAGGATCCTCTGGTGGGCTCAGTGTAATCAGAACGGTGTTTATAAGCGTGAGGCAGGAGAATCAGAATGAGGAACAGGTGATGTGGGAAGGGACATGGTGGGAAAGAGATTGGAAGATCCTCTGCTGCTGGCTTTGAGATAGAGGAGGGGCCCTGAGCCAGGAATGAAAGGGGGCCCTAGAAGCTGAAAAAGGCAAGGAAATGAGTTGTCTTCCTAAAGTCTCCAGAAGGAACCAGTTTTGCTGACACCTTAACTTTTAGTCCAGTGAGACTGATTTGGGACTTCTGATCTCCAGAACTCTAAGACAATAAATAACACCCCTTAAGTGTGTGGTAATGTGTTGGCACAGCAAAAGGAAATGAATACAAGATTGTGAAAGAGTATTCTTCACTTTCTTTGTAGTTTGCCTGGGGAACAAAGATTCTGTGTTTTACCAGAAGAACCTTCTCTGGTTTATGTTGACTTTAAGATGTCCTTGATTTTTTAATTATTTTTTATTATTTTTTTGAGACAGAGTCTTGCTCTGTGGCCCAGGCTGGAGTGTAGTGGCGTGGTCTTGGCTCACTGCAACCTCCACCTCCCAGGTTCAAGCGATTCTCCTGCCTTAGCCTCCCGAGTAGCTGGGATTACAGGTACGCCACACCTGGCTAATTCTGTATTTTTAGTAGAGACGGGGTTGCACCATGTTAGTCAAGCTGGTGTCCTTGATTATTTAAGAGAGCAAAGTTTTCTCACTTAGGAAAAAGTAAGATTCTTTATAATTATGTTACCTCCCATGTTTATTTTAAAAAATATTTTATTGTCACTTTAAGTAGTCAGGAATTGTTTCACAGTAGCTCATGATCCTACCTTAATGAGGTGTTCAAGTCTCCTGATAACTTAATATTTTGCCTTCCCTAAATTAATCCTAAATAATATCTTCTGCACCCAAAACTATCTTTGAGATTTCCCAGAGAAAAAGACCACAAATGATTTTTTTTCACCCCGTAAAAAGAGAAGTGCTGGAAATAATTAGGTTTATTTGATATATTATTGATGAGTTGAATGGAAAGAGTCCTCAAATCAGAAGAAATACTTAGTCTTGTCCAGGTTAAATTTGTATCACAAAGTGTTATTAAATACAGATATTTCAGGAATTGTATGCTATGTGAAAAATTCCTAGAGATCCATCAACGCCTTTATTGTCCATATGTTTGTTGGTGCAGCTTTATCTGATGTTAGACAACCACAGAATATCATTTTCAGTCATAATTTCAGCTATCTCTTAAGGTGGTAACTCAATCGTAACTTCTGTAATTTGTTTTTTTTTTCAATTTTTATTTATTTTTATATTTTTGAGACAGGGTCTTGCTCTGTCACCCAACCTGGAGTGTAGTGGCTTGATCTCAGCTCACTGCAACCTCTGCTTCCCAGGTTCAAGCGATTGTCCTACCTCAGCCTCCCAAGTAGCTGGAACTACAGGTGTGCACCACCACACCCAGATAATTTTTGTATTTTTTGTTGAGACAGGGATTTGCTATGTTGCCCAATCTGGTCCTGAACTCCTGAACTCAAGCGATCCCCCCACGTCAGACTCCCAAAGTGCTGGGATTACAGGTGTGAGACACTGCACCCAGCCATAACTTTTTAAATTTGAATATAGCATCTCCTATACCAGCAGTTTTCTTTCTTTTCCTTCCTTCCTTCCTTCCTTCCTTCCTTCCTTCCTTCCTTCCTTCCTTCCTTCCTTCTCTCCCTCCCTCCCTCCTCCCTCCCTCTCTCCCTCCCTCTCTCCCTCCCTTCCTTCCTTCCTTTCAGACAGAGTCTCACTCTGTCACCCAGGCTGGAGGGCAACCTCAGCTCACTGCAACCTCCACCTCCTGGGTTCAAGTGATTCTTGTGCCTCAGCCTCCTGAGTAGCTGGGATTACAGGCATGCACCACCGTGCCTGGCTAATTTTCATATATTTAGTAGAGATGGAGTTTCACCATGTTGGCCAGGCTGGTCTCAAACTCCTGGCCTCAAGTGATCTGCCCATCTTGGCCTCCCGAAGTGCTGGGATTACAAGCATGAGGCACTGTACCCGGCCCTGCCAGGGGTTTTCAACTGGGGACTGACATCACCTACCTGTGAAGTTTTATTAGTATGCAGATGTTTTGGACCTATTCCATATTTACAGAATCTCTTCACTTTATGTTCTTTATATATTCTTAATATATTCTAACAATATGTTTAGTATATTAGTGGTATATTATGTTGGTATTATTATATGTTATACCTAAAGATTTTTTCTCGGTAAAGATTATGTTCCTCTGTTTTTATAAATTGGAGATAGCATTCACTTTTCTTTGGAAGTAGGGTTACTCATTATGTTTGTAAATATTTCATCCAAAACAGTTTTTAGATTGATTTTCTTATTTTGGTTTGCATGCCACAGAAACAAACAACATCCCTGTCAGTTTTACTATTCTTGTTATAAACTCCCAGCAGATCTTTCACTTCTGAAAATTGTCAATAGTTAAGCACAGCCATTTTATTTTATTTTATTTTATATATATATTTTTGTGAGATGGAGTCTCACGCTGTCACCTAGGCTGGAGTGCAGTGGCACAATCTCGGCTCACTGCAACCTCTGCCTCCTGAGTACAAGCTATTCTCGTGCCTCAGCCTCCTTAGTAGCTGGGATTATAGGTATGCGCCATCATGCCCAGCTAATTTTTGTATTTTTAGTAGAAACGGGGTTTCACCATGTTGGCCAGGCTGGTCTCGAACTCCTGACCTTGTGATCTGCCCGCCTTGGCCTCCCAAGGTGTTGGGATTACAGGTGCGAGCCACTGCGCCCGGCCTAAGCACAGCCATTTTATTTTGTCATCTACTGATAGGGTTTTTTGTTTTACTCTGATGCTTCCCTGAAAGCCCTTGTAATCAGCTACAGACCACAGTGCTTCATCTTCAACAAAGAAGGACTGTCTCAGAGACATGCAGTAAAGGACTATGCGAGGGACTTTAAGTGCAAGCTTCTGGCGGCATCATTCAAACAGCTATGAGACCACATCAGTGGACTGAGTCAGGATTTCTAGAACTCTAGTTGAGACGCTGGTTAGTTCATGAGATGACCAACTCAAAATCCAGTGGAACAAGAATTTATTACCTAAGACTAAATGAACTGATAAGGAATGATGGTGGGTTTTGTTTGCAATGTTTTAGATGTGGTTTTAATGTTCCATTTTCTGCATATGAAGGAACCCCCTTCTCTTCTCTTAAGCTCTCTATGACTCGTAACAGTTTGGCAGACTTTGGTAACCAGAAACAAACCATTTTTAAATATCTTATTCTCCCTCCCTGACCTCTCCAAAATTCAGAAACTCTCATTAAGTATTCTTAATTTTATGGCAATATGATTATTTGCATAGGTTCAATGAGAATCTGCCTTCCTTATTAACAGGACATAATTGGAAATATTGATTATGCACCCAAAACTTTGCCTGAAATATCATGTTTGAGAATGATGCTCATTTAATCAGAAATCACCTGATACATTAAAGTAACTAGGATTGACTTTATGGAGCCAATGCTTGCCAGCCCTCTGACTTACAGAGTTGTCAGCCTTACACGTAAGTTAGGAAGGTCACTTCCTTGCAAGCCCGTGAACTGTAGGATATTGAGGGGTCCTTGAGAAGAGAGGAATTTGCTCATATTTATAGGTACCAGAAGTAATTTGGATGTCAAGTTCTTGGTGTGGCTTCCTAGTCTCAAGAGGCTTTCAAACGTCCAATCTGAGATACCTTATTAAAGCTTCCAGCAAAGCAAGTTTAAGGAGGCCTATCTGCTAAAGTACCATTCTTGCTGCTCCTGTGTAAATAGTGAGACTATACCTAATAAGGCCAGCCTTATTTTGTGATGATGAAAAATTTTTCTTTGAGATTATCTTTGTCAAAAGACAGGTGTCTAAAATGAGAAATTTTATGTTTCAATATGTAGCACACCCTTCTGGTTATCAGACTCCAGCCCTGTGCATTGCCTTTGAGTCTTCTTGGACCTCTTTACACACTGCAGGTAGCTGATGACTATGCAAACTCTGTCTTGTCTGATGAGATTTAATTGGCTGCCTTTCCCTACTCCTCATAGAAAAACCAGTTTGGGAACCTACCTTTAAATTTGATTAGATCCTGTTGCCTTGCCCAAATTGTCAATCCTTACCAGGTTTTCAATTTCTCCAGTTTTCTTCAATATCTGACTACAGTCCTCCAAACTAACTTTCACATTTTTTCTTCCTCAAGCCTGAATTGGCATCACCAAGAATTAACACCCGACTGCCCAAATCCCTGTCAGGACTGTGGGTTGCCTTGCAGCTGGCCTTTTCTCCCAGAATCTGAAGGAGTTCTACAAGCTGAGGCTTAGCGATTTGGCATAAACCTTGAAAGACTCAGCCCTTCAGGATACCATGAATTCTCCCTGGACAAGCTGCTGCCTGGACCACTAAGGAAGCCCAGCAAAATGCTCAGGCCATGTATGCCCTTTCGTGACAAGTGCCAAGATTGTGGACAATATCACAAGACATTGACAGCTTTAAGAAACTCAAAAACTGGTGCTGGAAGATTTTCTTCTGCTAACCTCTTGGAATTCACTGAACCAGCTAATTCTCAGATTCAACTACTGGCTTTTACTTTAATGTAACTTTTATATTATTATTTCGTTATTTTAGACATCCCTCTTTATATATATATATTTTTACTTTTTATTATTTTTTTTCGAGATGGAGTCTTGCTCTGTCGCCCAGGCTGGAGTGCAGTGGTGTGATCTCGGCCCACTGTAGCCTCTGCCTCCTGGGTTCAAACAATTCTCCTGCCTCAGCCTCCTGAGTAGCTGGGACTACAGTCGCCCTCCACCATACCCGGCTAATTTTTGTATTTTTCGTAGAGACAGGATTTCACCATGCTTAGACATCCCTCTTTTAAGATGCCTGAGGGGTAGAGGGCTGGGGGAGGGATAGCATTAGGAGAAATACCTAATGTAATTAGGGTTGATGGGTGCAGCAAACCAACATGGACCGTGTATACTTGTGTAACAAACCTGCACGTTGTGCACATATACCCTAGAACTTAAAGTATAATAATGAAAAAAAAAAAACAGATGCCTGTTCTCCTGGACCCTAAAACAACTCACCTCTTAACAGATGGTTGAACTGGTTTCACGGGAACAGCACCAACAAGAATGTAAGAGAGTCTGTTCATTAGGCCCTGCTTCACCCCACTCAGGCAGTGCCTGCATTCTTCAGTCTGAATTCTTCAGTGATCGGGAATATTCATCTTGAACAAGAGCTGGGACTGACAATATTAAACTTTTTTTTTTTTTTTTTTAGATAGAATCTTACTCTGCTGCCCAGGCTGGAGTGCAGTGGCACGATCTTATGATCGTAGCTCCCTGCAGCCTCTGCCTCACAGGTTCAAGCAATTCTCCTGCTTCAGCCTCCCGAGTAGCTGGGATTACAGGCGTGTGCCGCCACACCCGGCTAATTTTTGTATTTTTTTAGTAGAGACGGGATTTCACCATGTTGGCCAGGCTGGTCTTTGAACTCTTGACCTCAAGTGATGCGCCCACCTCGGCCTCCCAAAGTGCTGGGATTACAGGCATGAGCCACCATACTTGGCAAGTATTGAACTTTATCTGAGCACTGTACAACTTCAGCAGTGATGATTAAGAAATGTCTCTACCTTTCTGTGTTTCAGAAATGGCAAAGCAGATGACCGCAAAAGGCCACACTGCCCTCCCAGTTTCTTCCAGAAGACTGGTCTTCATCCTGCCTCATGACTCCCATAGACTCCAGGGTGCCTCCCTCTTTTTTTTTTTGAGACAGAGTCTGGCTCTGTCATCCAGGCTGGAGTGCAGTGGCGCAATCTCAGCTCACTGCAACCTCTGCCTCCTGGGTTCAAGCGATTCTCCTGCCTCAGCCTCCGCAGTAGCTGGGACTACAGGCATGCACCACCATGCCTAGCTAATTTTTTTTTTTTTGTATTTTTAGTAGAGACGAGGTTTCACCATGTTGGCCAGGCTAGTTTCAAACTCCTGACCTTAGGTGATCTGCCCACTTCGGCCTCCCAAAGTGCTGGGATTACAGGCATGAGCCACCGCGCCTGGCCAATGCCTCCCTCTTTTACCTTCGTCTGCAAAATCCCAGGCCCCCTTCCTTTTCTTTGAGATGTCCCTCATTAATGAGCATTCTCTTCATGGCACTAGCTTGAATAAAACCATCTCCTTAATCGTCAAGTGAATTTCGTCTGTCACAGTGCCAGCGACGAACTCTCATAAGGGCAGCCAGCACTTCGCCCCTGACTGTCCTGCTGGAGTGACAACCATCTGTGCTGAGCCTCTTTGCAGTCCTCCTGTGGCTCATCCCTCGGACAGCCGCCCTTTCAACATCTCAGGTATGAGCAAGTTCAGAGAAGGAAGTGTGGCCCTAGACACCTCAGGCAGTGGTGCAGTTGTGGAGGGGAAACTCCCACATTCTGTCTTGAGTGAAATAGAAAGGAATTGGTCTGAGATGCTTCTGAGCTGAGACAGTGGTAAACACACCCAGGTATGCCTTTATCGGAAGGAGGAAATAATATCCAGGCAGCTTAGGTCCCACCCTGGACAGGCATTGGGCAGAAGCCAGGCCAAGGCAGAACTGGACTGGAGCAGGTGCCACTCAGGTCTTGGAGCTGGCTTAGTGACCAGTATGAAGGCCAAGGGTAAGCCTGGAAGTTAAAAGTGCCAAGGGGAGGCTGGGCGTGGTGGCTCACGCCTGTAATCCCAGCATTTTGGGAGATTGAGAAGGGTGGATCACCTGAGGTCAGAAGTTTGAGACCAGCCTGACCAACATGGTGAAACCTGGTCTCTACTAAAAATACAAAATTAGCCAGGCATGGTGGTGCACACCTGTAATCTCCACTACTTGGGAGGCTGAGGCAGGAGAATCACTTGAACCTGGGAGGTGGAGGTTGCAGTGAGCCAAGATCACGCCATTGTACTCCAGCCTGGGCAACAGGAGCGAAATTCTGTCTCAAAAAACAAAACAAAACAAAACAAACAAACAAACAAACAAAAAAAAACTGCCAAGGGGAAGCCCTACAATCTGGGGAGGGGGAGGCCAAAAAAATAAAAGGCATGCACATTTTTAATCAATCTGACCTCATCTCATTCCCCTTCTTGGTGGGGGCACAGGACAGGCAGTGATGGCTCCACTGGGTTGAGTGTGTAGTCAGGGGTGTTTGAAGGCAGCAAGCAACAGGACTTGCCATCTCTGCAACTTCACAGGAATCGAAAGGTGCTCTTCCTGATTTCAGCAAGGTCATGTGACAAAAAGGGTGAGGAGACCCAGATGATGTCTCCATTCTGTAATCATCTCTTTGGCTGCCTGAGGCTCCACCATCCATAGTTGATTTTCCTTTGATGTGTCAGATACCTGCTTCAGCTTGATAAAACAAGCATGTCGGTGGCGAGGTCCCGCGGGCTAGTGATAACCGGGGAACCCCTGAGAATTCTTAGGGACTTTGGGTATTCTCTGTGATGTTCCCAGGCCTTGCCCAGTGCCTGTACAGAGGAGGCAATTCATGGTGCTTGAGAATCTGTACTTACTGCAGAAAGTGTGTTCTGGGTCATATAAAGAATAACAAAGTAAGCCGGGCATGGTGGCTCACACCTGTAATACCAGCACTTTGGGAGGCCGAGGTGGGCACAGCACTTGAGGCCAGGAGTTCAAGACCAGTCTGGGCAACATGGCAAAACCCCGTCTCTACTAAAAATACAAAAATTAGCCAGGCGTGTTGGTGCCTGCCTGTAATCCCAGCTACTCAGAGGCTGAGGCATGAGAATTGCTTGAACTTGGGAAGTGGAGGTTGCAGTGAGCCAAGACCATGCCACTGCACTCTAGCCTGGGTGACAGAGTGCGACTCTATCTAAAAAAAAATAATAATAATAACAAAGTAGAAAGACTCATCAGAAGCAAGATAGGAGAATGAGTTATGCTGACTGTATGGCATGTAGCCAGGGGAGATGTTAAAATTATTCAGTAAGTATAACTATACAGGCACCAACTAAATACAGTGGATTCCAGCTGAAAATCAGTCTTGTGTGTAGCGGTGGTAGGATGCCTCTGAGGACTGGCCCACTTATTGTTTTTTGTTTTGAGATGAAGTCTTGCTCTGTTTCCCAGGCTGGAGTGCAGTGGTTCACTGCAACCTCTGCCTCCCGGGTTCAAGTGATTCTCCTGCCTCAGCCTCCTAAGTAGCTGGGACTGCAGGTGCCCGCCACCACACGGGGCTAATTTTTGCATTTTTGTAGAGGCAGGGCTTTACCATGTTGGCCAGACTGGTCTCAAACTCCTGACGTCAAGTGATTTACCTGCCTCGGCCTACCAAAGTGCTAGGATTACAGGTGTGAATCCTAGCACTGCGTCTGGCCACACTTTCAACAAAGATGGGGGATAGAGAGGTAGACTGACATACATTAGGCTTTGTACTATGTCTCCAGAATTGGGATGCAAACTGTGGCCAGTGGGTAGTTCGTGGATTTAGGACTCAACCTTGATGAACAGAGCTATGATGGCTGGAAGTGGGGCTCTGGTACAAGAAATGGTGTGGATTGTCTTGTTTATGTCATCCATAGCACCAGCATTTCAAGGGACCAAGAATATTACAGAGTCCAGTTTTTCAGAGGCTCTGGCATCAGAAATGAGTAAAGAAGTCTTCATTGTCTTCCTAGGCCTGACCTTGACCTGAGTATGTCTTGCCAGAAGATCTGACATCTGCGTCCCTCTACGTTGATGTCATGGCAGAATGCACACCCGTATTCTGGCTTTTTCCCCAAGGAACATGCTGGAGGGGTCAAAATGGCAGAGCTAGCCCCCTGCCCCGTTCTCTGCACTTTTGGAATCCCTGCAGAATGGGTGGGAGACCTTGTCTAGGGACGGCTGTGGTAGGCATTGGCTTGCAGCTGGTATCTGGTTATGCTGGTGGATTTTAAGATTGCTCAGTGATAACTGTTTCACGATGGAGAATCTTCTTCAAGTCAGGGTGGTCTTGGCTGACTCCTGTTATTTGGGCTTGTATAACAAGGTTTTAACCAAGTGGTTGCCTAGAACCTGGTTGTTTGAAAATTCCAATCGTTCAAAGTTAAGTGCCTACTCTAAGTGGCCAAGACTAAGTTTTCCTGGCTCAAAGTGGTGTCAAGCTGCAGTGGCCGTTCCTCAGGGACCTCTGATGCCAAGTTTCATCTCTCTAAGCCTTAAAGCCTATTTTTATGTAATTCATGTGCTTGGAGATGACTTTGAACAGGACTGGTCTTTTAAAAATAAGCAGAAGAACAAAAGTCCTCTAGCAATATCATGGCCCTATATGCATGGCTGAGAGGTTCCCAAGTCGGCAGACAGCTCCATGTCCAACTACCTAAGTGAGGATGAAACCAAAGTCTTCCAGTTAGGGGGGCCAGGAGCAGTGGGGTGTCCAGCAAGGGTTGCAAGGAGTAGTCAAGGACCTCTGTGGTTATGCTCTTGGCACCAATGGGGCACCCTAGAAGCAGGGACTCATCTGTGCTGTCTGTCCATACTGGTGTGTCCCTGAGTTCAGAAGACTCCCTGACATCCTGTAATCTAATGTGACAAGCATTACAGTAACTCGCGGTTCCACAGGTAGTCAGATCCTTTCTGCCTTAGGTCTTAGGGCAGAGGGTTGAGTTTGGATTCCTGGTGGATGACATCATTCTTGGTGGTTGGGAGGGGAATAGGAAAGGAGCATCTATTAAGCAGAGGAATGTGCCGTGGTTCCCTTGCATGATTTGCCCATTTGACTGGTGAGTATGTGTGCTGGGGGGAGGTGCACATAGGTGAATGTGTGGGTGTGTGTGAGTGGGTATGATGTGTAAATGTGGGGGAGGTTCAATGAGAGGTGGCCCAGAATACTTGTATAGGAAGCCTACTGACCACCCCAGGCAGTGCCTGCTGGCTGGGCTGGTCAGGAAGTCAAGAAGCAGTAGAGCCCTATTTACCTGGCATCTTCTGCCCTGTTCATCTACGGATTAAAAAAAAAAAGTAGGCTGGGTCTGCCAGGTGGGACAAGCACCAATACAGACACGCCTGACCCCCCACTAGAGGACAACCAGTGACCTCTGCCAGTGTGTGCACTGGCTCACCTTCTCGAATAAGAAGGATCCAGGGGTCAGGGCCATGCAGGAAATGGGATGGAGGCACCAGACCCATACACTCAAGCAGCAGCCGTGGCTGGAAGCCAGCTTTCTCAAGATTCTGCTACAGTGGAAGAGAGCCCGGGGAAGCTGCCAGCTACTTGGTTTCGTCCCACTGCTTCCAAAAGGAATTGTTCAGCTGCTCCTGGAGTGATGCAGAAGATGGGCTCTTTCTGGTCCACGCATGGTCTGGGTGACCGCGCCTGGACTGCTGCAGCTACGATGCAGCTGATGGGCTTAGCAACTGGCCTCCACTTGTCAGCAGGGCCCCCAAGAAGGAGCTGCGATATCTCCAGCTATTTTAGGACCAATGCAGAAGATTGCCACGGTGTCTGAGGAACAGTACATCACAGTACATAAGGTACATAAAGTGTGTTGGAGATGGCCCAGATCAAATTCATCAAACTGAAACTTGATTTCTTTCAGGCTGAAGATCTCTGTGTACAGTCACAATCTTGGTGCAGCTTCTGCAGACCCTGGTGCATCCAGTCATACCAATTCCACATCCACAGCACATGCTACTAGCCACTTCCAGGATCATTAAAATACATTTCTGGCCATTTCTGGACCCAGTCCAAAGATAAAGACTGACTATGCAACAAACAAATGACAGATTAAAGGAGACAAAAATTACTTTCACAATGTATAATTACCAACAATGTAACATTTTATTAAATGTGTCTGTAGTCTGCATATCTGTGTTGACTATTGGTGTTCAGTGGCCCAGGCCTATTTTATAGTGATTATACCACAAACCACCCCACAACCCAAAGCACAAGGCTACATTATGGGTGGATGAGATACCTCTAATAACATAAAATCCCAATGAATTCAATAATCATTTGCATGCTCCTGGTTAAAATTACCAAGCAAATTAACCCTAACACCATGGGATGTTTCTAATTAAAATTACACTGAAACAGGCCGGGTGCGGTGGCTCATGCCTGTGATTCCAGCGCCTTGGGATGCCAAGGCAGGTGGATCACTTGAGGCCGGGAGTTTGAGATCAACCTGGCCAACATGGTGAAACCCCCTCTCTACTAAAAATACAAAAATTAATCGGGCATAGTGGCACAAGCCTGTAATCCCATCTTCTTGGGAGGCTGAGGCAAGAGAATTGCTCGAACCCGGGAGGTGGGGGTTGCAGTGAGCCAAGATTGCACCACTGCACTCCAGCCTGGGTGACAGAGCAAGACTCTGTTTCAAAAAACAAACAAAAAACAAAAAAATAAAAACAAAGAAAAGAAAAGAAATAAAAATTGCATTGAAACAGCCTAGGCTGGGTGCGGTGGCTCACGCTTATAATCCCAGCACTTTGGGAGGCCAAAGTGGGTGGATCACTTGAGGTCAGGAGTTCGAGACCAGCCTGGCCAACATGGAGAAACCCTGTCTCTACTAAAACTAAAAAAATTAGCCAGGCATGGTGGCGGGCACCTGTAATCCCAGCTACTTGGGAGGCTGAGGCAGGAGAATCACTTGAACCTGGGAGGTGGAGGCTGCAGTGAGCCAAGATCCCACCACTGCACTCCAGCCTGGGCAACAGAGGGAGACTCCATCAAAACAAATAAACAAACAAAAAAACGCCACAGCCCAATTTGTTTAATTTTATTTTTATTTATTTTAAGGTTGGAATTGCTTTTATTGGGTTGGATGCCCATGGTCAGGTTAGTGTTCTGCCCTCGAAGAGATGCCAGCAGCCTGACACCTCCACCTGCCACCTGCCCGGGTTAGTGGAACATGCAAAGCTCGGAGGGTGGAGGCAGGGGTGGAAACAGCCCAATTTTTAACTGGCATTTCAGATTAACCCATTTATGCCTGAGGTTGCAATTTTTTGAATTTTTGCAATCAGAACTTGGCAATGACCTTGAGCAGTAGGATACAAATAACTCCCACATACTTAGTGTTCCAGTAATGGAACACTAGTCATAAATGGGCTAAGTTCTATCACTGACTACTTTAACAAATATTATCTCTAAAGACATCTTGGTTAAGTCATAGTACAAATTATGTCACAGAAAATATTTATAAACGTGGCTATTTGCCAAGCTATCTTGGGACCAGAAAATTAGTTCTGCATTTTTGTATTATTTGTATTTTCTGAATAAAACTGTCATGGGACTTTATACTTAGCAGAATTGGTCACACATATACAATCATATGCTGAATTATATACAAAACTGAGCATTTGCACATTTGATTTATTTTGTCATAAAAGTGACGTAAAATTGGCAATTCTACCCCTGAAGTAATTTATTAATAATTCCCTTCCCATAAAATAATGAATGCCCTGAGTCACTACTAACACCATCTCTGCATAAGCTTTTTTATCTTTTTGTTTTTAATGCCCTTCTGATTCTTGTAATTGGGACGTGCAAAACCATAAACATTTGATATACTGCAGAACTTCTCCAGATCAATACAGATTGGACCTTGATTTTACTTTTAAAAATTACTTCACTTCATTAAGTAATGAAATACTTTTATAAAAACATTTCAAAAAGCAAATTAAGCCTTCAAATATTAAACTCAAGTACACATACCCAGATATTCATGCACTAACAAAATTTTAACATGTTTTGTGAAAGTCAAATGGGTGCAATTAAAATGGAACAAATCACTTGTGGTGGAGGCGGGGAGGAGGAACAGTAAGAGGGGAAGGGGCTGGATTCTAAGCCCCAAGCTAAATCCAGGAATTCTTTCCAGATCCCCCATCTACCTAACAGTATTCCTTTCTTTCTTTAAAAATCAGTAGAGAGATTTGCACCAAATGACAGTCTCTATCTTTCCAATGGAAAAAGAAAACATTTTACATGTACAACTTCCAAATTTACAATAATCAAGATTCCTGATTTATCAGTTCTTTCAGGTCTCTGCCTCTCTGAGGCTAAGGAATATTTATGTCTTCTTCTGAATGCCCTCTTTGCTCCTGGCTGAGTCATCCGTGAGGCTGGATCACTTTGCCCTTTTCCCAGGCTTGGAACCAGTGTCTCTTACATTTCAGTCACCACTGTAAAGTTCCAAAGAGGCGGTGGATTCATATTTCACCTTTGATTTTTCCTCCCGCTAACCTCTGTGTTCTCTCCGTCTCTCTCTCTTCTCTCTCTGTGTTTTCTCTCTCTCTGTTTCTCTCTCTGTCTTCTCTCTCTCTCTTCCGTCATCTAGCCTTTACCCCAGTCCCACCTGCAAAGTCAGTGTACTTTGCCCAAGTCTTACAAGGGCACCTCCTAATCCTGTAATGACAGTTGTATAGAGTCTGAGGGTAGAAACCAAACAACTCACAAAGATTTTTATTTATTTATTTATTTATTTTTGAAATGGAGTCTCGCTCTTTCATCCAGGCTGGAGTGCAGTGGCACCATCTCGGCTCACTGAAACCTTTGCCCCCACCCTGGTTTAAGCAATTCTCCTGCCTCAGTCCCCTGAGTAGCTGGGATTATAGGCACACACCACTAAGCCCGGCTAATTTTTGTTATTCTAGTGGAGCTGGTCTCGAACTCCTGACTTCAAGTGATCCACTTGCCTCAGTCTCCCAGAGTGCTAGGTTCACAGGCATGAGCCACCATAGCCAGCCTATTTTTATTTTTTAAACTTTTATTTGAAGTTCAGGGTTGCACGTGCAGCTTTATTTCATAGGTAAACTTGTGTCATGGGGTTTGTTGTATAGATTATTTCATCCCCCAGGTATGAAGCCTAGGACCCATTAGTTGTTTTTCTTGATCCTCTCCCTCCTCCCATCCTCCACCCTCCAAAAGGCCCCAGTGTGTGTTGCTCTCCTCTATGTGTTCATGTGTTCTCATCATTTAGCCCCCACTTATAAGTGAGGATGTGCAGTATTTGGTTTTCTGTTCCTGTGTTGGTTAGCTAAGGATGATGTCACAAAGACTTTTCTTAAAAAATAAATTCTATTGTGTGTATTTGAGGTTCATAACAAATGTTATGGGATACATATAGATAGTAAAGTGGTTACCATAGCGAAGCATATTAACATAGCCATCATCTCACATAGTTACTTTCCTTTTTGGTGACAAGAGCAGCTGAAATCTACTAACTTAACAGAAATCTCTAATACAATAAAGTTTTATTAACTTTAGTGTTTTTTTGTTTGTTTGTTTTTTGTTTTTTTTTTTTGAGAGAGAGTCTTGCTCTATTGCCCAGAGCAGTCTCGGCTCACTGCAAGCTCTGCCTCCCAGGTTCACGCCATTCTCCCGCCTCAGCCTCCAGAGCAGCTGGGACTACAGGTGCCCACCACCACGCCTGGCTAATATTTTGTATTTTTAGTAGAGACGGGGTTTCACTGTGTTAGCCAGGATGGTCTTGATCTCCTGACCTTGTGATCCACCCGCCTCGGCCTCTCAAAGTGCTGGGATTACAGGCGTGAGCCACAGCGCCCAGCCAACTTTAGTTCTGATGTTGCACATTACATTTCTAACCTTGTTCATGCTACGTATCCCACAAAGACTGAAGTTTTGTTTTTGTTTTTGTTTTTGAGACAGAGTCTTGCTCTGTCACCCAGGCTGGAGTGCAGTGGCATGATCTTGGCTCACTGCAACTTCTGTCTCCCAGGTTCAAGAGGTTCTCCTGCCTCAGCCTCCCGAATACCTGGGATTATAGGTGTGTGCCACCACGCCCAGCTAATTTTTGTATTTTTAGTAGAGATGGGGTTTCGCTATGTTGGCCAGGTTGGTCTTGAACTCCTGACCTCAGGTGATCTGCCCGCTTCAGCCTCCCAAAGTGCTGGGATTACAGTTGTAAGCCACCGCGCCTAGCCTGAAGATTTTTCTTTTTTATATCTTAAAGTAATAAGATTAAAATTGTGATTTTTCTGAGAATCTACTATGTACAATTCCATATATTACCTGGCACCGGTTCACCTATATTATTTCTGATCCCAAAACCAAAGGGAATGCTGTATTTCATCAAATCTAAGATACATTGATTGTAACACTTGCCATTACTTTATGCCATATGAAGAGAAAAGCCCTACCAACTATATTGTGGCCTGCCATTGATCGCTAATTACATCCTAATTTCAGCGATGTTAAAATGTTAAGAAAAAAAGGTGTGTCTTAGAACTGATGAAGAGGAATTTTACAGGTGAGGAAGCTGGAGCTTAGAGAAGCTGGGTAATGTGGCCAGAACCAGAGAGCTAAGAAGAAGCAGAGATTTTAGACCACTCACTGCCTCTCCAGAGGTTTGAAGGCTTTTCTTTTCCTGAGTGGTTTCTTCTTTCCTGCCTGCCTTTTGTCAGGAACCGATGTTAAGCCATCTGTCTGGAAAACACGTTCTCCGCTTTAAACTACCCAGACTTCTACCAGAGCTAAAACAGCAGGCTTTTTGAGACGGCTTCCCCTCTTCACGGAGCCTAATTATGGAAACTGTGCATTCTGCTGTTGCTGCATTATTTTTCACAGTGGTAAGGTCACAGGGGAAGCAGTGGGAGCTAGTGATGGCTGCAAAACCTTCCCCTTCTCCCCCACAGCTCTTTGTGTCTGTGGCACCCAGGGACAGCCACAGTACCAAGGAGTGGTTTAATAAAAGCTGATTTAGGGAGCTGGGCCTCTGGGAAAATTCCCCCGTGCCTCTCCTCATCAGATCTTCTTGCTTTTCTCTGTCAAAATTAGCTGCCCCTCTGATCCCTAACTCAATTTCACTCCTTAGACTTTGAAGTTTTGTTTCCCTCTGAAATGATGCTCTTTGTGGCCTGAAGTGAACTCTCAATTGCTAAGCCCACTGCCCACTTAATGCAGTTTATTTATTTAGTGAGTCACTCAATATTTCCTGGACACCGATGACACACAGGTAGTCGGCTAGACCCTGAGGGGGAACCGTGAGCCAACACATGCAATTCCTGTCCTCACTGGAGCTCACAACCCTCGGGACAGAGACAGACACCATCCAAGAAGCTCATAAATAAATGTAAAGTGACAACTGTGATAAGAGGCTTTTACAAAAAGCTGTGGCAGAGACAAGTAGAGCTTCCTAAATATTCCATGAGCTGGGCATGGTGGCAAACACCTGTCATCTCAGCTACGCAGGAGGCTCAGGCAGGAGGATTGCTTGAACCCAAGAGTTTGAGACCAACCAGGGCAACAACTGAGACCCCATCTCTTAAAAATAACTAACTAACTAACTAACTAACTAACTAACTAACTAACTATTCCACGTACATCCCACTATTTCCCAATACCTTTTACAGTTTAGTCTGGGGCATGTGATCAATTCTGGCAAGGACCTTGAGTGGGTGTGATTTGTGTCACCTCCAAGGATGCACTTTAAAAGCTGGTGTGCTTCCTTCTCATGCTCCGCATTGGTGACATTGGGTGTGGCATATTGCCAGGTGGCCAGTGTAACTACAAATGAAGGAGGCCTTCCCAAGCCACGTGGAAGTAGAAGAAATCAGCCTCTGTTGTGCTTGCTCACTGGGATTGCATGTTTGACTCAGTGATTGGTGGTAATGATCTGAACTAATACAGAATCACATACTCCTAAGAAGGAAAACGGGGAAAGAAAGAACCAGGCAAAAGGCCAAGAAAGGGGTCTTCAGAGAAATGATGTCTAAGCTGGGGCGCAAAGGAAGAGTGGGAGTCAACTTGGAGAGCAGGGTGGGGAGGAGTGTTCCAGGCAGACTGATGGCATGAGCAAAGGCCCTGGGATCTGAGGGTGCAGGGCATGCTCGATGGAGTGGACGAAGGGCAGAAACATGGGGGAGTGCAGCCTGAGGGGCTTCTCTACTCTCTGGCTCATCTGAGACAAAACCTGGTGTCCAGGTCACACACTGGGATGCCATCTTTAAACCATGAGGAAATGGCTAACAGAGGCCACCTTGTCCCCAAAAGGCTATTGAACCATCACTGCTGCCCAAGTCCCACTGCACAGCTGTAGGCTGCTGGATGGGTCACCTAGGCTTAGCGTGGGGAGTCAGCTTTGCCCTCCTCCTTTCTTACCCACTCACAACCAGCCAGCAGCGGGCCCTGTGTAGCTCATCATCTGCCCCTGTGTTGCCCTGTCTGGTTCTGCTCAAATAGAGGGCCCTGGGGAGGGGAGAGGAGTCCTGGGAAGCTCTTACCCAGCATTGCTGGGGATGGAACCCTAATGCTGTGGGAGGAGCCAGGGGATAGCTGGGCAAGAGGACCGGGATCAAATGAGAGGACCATGGTGAGGACCACAGGGTATAAGGAAGAGACATGGGGGTGGTAGTCTTGAGGTTTCTGGAGGGCCAGTCTGACCTGAGTCCCCTTCTCAAAGGGTGCCACACTTTACGCCTGTGAATGCGGAGCCTGGGTTGCCCAGTTCACATTTCTGAGGTGCCCAGAGGCCCAAAGGGGGTGCTGGAGGCTGGGCAGGCACTTGCTGCCTCCCAAACTGTGGCTGTGGTCTGCACCTGCCCCTTAGTTTGGCCAGGCCTGCCTCTTCCATCTCCCCGAAGACAGCTCTGCCTGTTTCACAGCTGCTCAAGACCGTGCGGAGAGCTCCCCTCTCAGCACAAACACAGGCTGGTGTCCAGGGACTCAGCTCTGGCCTCTGACTACCTTCCCATCACTCCTCTTCCCAGTCCTGCCCTCAGCTGGACCTAACAGCTATTTCCATCCTTCACTGGCCCGAATATCAACGCTCTAGAGCAGGACAAGACTTTGTTCACCACACAGAGGATGTATCACAGCAGATCTCATGTTGGCCTAATCAATATCCAGCCCCATTTTCGCCTTCGTACGAGGACCCTGATTTAGTTCCATGCAGCGGTGTGCCCAGCAGAAGGTGCTGACTTCATCTACCATGGCAGTCCCGTTCCCAGTTCTCTCAGCTCTCTTGCAGCCAAGGGAAGGCCAAGGGACACGGTTCTCTCAAGAAGACCCAGTGGGAATATGCTGGAGAGAAGGAGTGTTTTCTAGACAAGCATTTGCTTTCCTGGTAATAGGGGAGATACACAGCTGGTACATCGTTTTCTCCTTCTTCCTTCCTTGACTGTAGATGCAATGGCTGGAGCAGGGACAGCCATCTTTCAACCATGAGGAAATGGCTAGCAGAGTCCACCTTGTCCTCAAAAGGCTATTGAGCCATCACCATCATCTGTCTGACTCTAGACTTCTTATCCTGTATATCCCAAACTTATTTAAGCCACTGCAGCCATGTTGCTGTTGCTTGCAGCAAAATTGGGTTCCTATCTGATACACCTATCCAAGAACCTAGGCTTGCACGATTTCTCTGATCTTAATCCCAGTAACCCTCACCTCTGCTCCATTTCAGCTCCGTACCACATTCAAATCCTGGAACTTGTCATCACCTAGAGCTACTCCACACCTGAAATATCTGATACAAGCAGCTCATTTCCCTTCCTTCCTTCCTTCTTTCTTTTCTTTAATTTTCTTTTCTTTTCTTTTCTTTCGACAGAGTTTCACTCTTGTCACCCACTGCTGGAGTGCAATGGTGTGATCTCGGCTCACTCCAACCTCTGCCTCCCAGGTTCAAGCGATTCTCCTGTCTCAGCCTCCCAAGTAGCTGGGATTACAGGCGCCTACCACCACACCCAGCTAATTTTTGTATTTTTAGTAGAGACAGGGTTTTACCATGTTGGCCAGGCTGGTTTCGAACTCCTGACCTCAGGCGATCCACCCGCCTCAGCCTCCTGAAGTGCTGGGATTGCAGGTGCACTTGGCCACTGCATCCGGCCAAGCAGCTCATTTTCTGACTCACACTCTGATCCTTCCTTATCCCTGGGGTGATTATAAGAGGGTGCTATTCTTTGCGAATTGGAAAGTTAGTGTGCACTCCCTTTACAAAGGGTCAGGATCTGCAGAAAGCTCTCATTAATATTTCTTTCTGGTGATCATCCTGTACTGAACACTGTACGGCTCCCACCATCCTGGTTTTCCAGTGTGTCACACCCACCCACCCACCCACCCTTGTCTCTGAGGACGAAGTGTTCCTCCTCATGGTCAGGTCCAGCCCCTCACGCTGCCTCAATTTTGTCCCTCTTGCTCCAATTTGCTCACAACTTGCTGCAGTCACTCCTATCTCCCTCTGACCCTCAATGTACAAACATGCTCAAGTTCTCCCCACCCAAAAAACACTTTCCTTTGATCCTATACTCCCCTCTTGCCTCTCCCTCTTTCCTTTCCTTTTGCCCTGAGCTTATTATAAGAGCCATCTTCACTGGGTAATCCTAGCCTTCGTTGCTCTATCATTCCCCACCACAGTACCCTGGTTCTGTCCCTACCACGCCACTGTAACTGTTTACCAAAGTCTCCAGACTTCCAGATTATCAAACCCACGGGATACATTTCAGTCCTTATCTTTCTGGGCCTCTTTGTTGCATTTGAAATGGCAACCACATTCTCCTCCTGGAAACTTTCCACTTCCTTGATTTCTAAGACAGCCTCTCGCCTGGAGCTCTTCCCACCTGTCGAGCAATTCTTCTGAGACTGCTTGGTGGAGACGCGGGGTCTTGAGACCTGAGTCTTGCTCCTAGGCTCCCACGCTCAGCTTAGTGTTCTTCTCTGTCTCACACTGTGCCTGTCATTTCTCATCTGTGTTAGAATTTCTATCACCTCTATGCTGCCAACACTCTAATACATATCTTCAGCCCTTATATGGCTTCTAAGGTTCAAAAAATTGCTCTGCAAACTGTGGCTTGCATCTCTAGCTGCCCCATGAACACTGCCATGTGGCGGACCACCAAGTTCAAGTTCCTCAGGATGACTTATGTGCCCTCGGGTCCTGGCTTCTGCTCGTTCTTCAGTCTGACACCCAATCTACTCACTCCAGAGGCACGGGACTTCCCACGCCACGCCGTGATGCCTCATCCCTCTGAGTTGTAAGCCATATGGCCTGAAACCCCCTTCCACTCCTTTCTTCTTTGCCTCATTCTTACTCATCCTCAGTGCCCAGCACAGGTATCACCTCTGCCAGGAAGCTTTACCTGCCTGTTGTCCTCGGGCAGAGCCGGGTGCCCCTCTTCTGGGCAACACCTGTGTCACAGCACGTATCACAGCACATTAACTCCAAGGCATCTGTTCATGTGTTTCTCTCCTCTGAGACTGTCCTTGAGCATAGAGACCATGTCTGGGTACCTCAAGCCCTTACCTAGCACAGTGCCTGGGGCACGGGGGCTATACCCCTCTGGACTCCTCCTTGTGGTGACATGATGCAGCTCCTGGTTGCTCAGCCAGTTATATAGGGTTTTCTGTTGCTCACAACCAAAAGTATCCTAGTTGATGCATTTAATAAAGGTGTTTGAGTTAAACTGAGCTACCCACCATCTTAAGATATTTGAAGACAACTTCCTGGCATTCTGAGTTTATATTCCTCCATGTAGACATCCCTATCTACACCCCACCAGCCACCTCCTAAGCTCTTTATTTTTATTCGACTGAACAAATGAATATTGATCAAGTTGAATTGAATTTGTACATTTCACATGAGGAAGTGAGCATTCACTGTGCAGTCAACCCTACTCCTTCCTTGGGAGCTTTGACAAAAATCTCTTGGTTGGGAGATGGGCTCACAGCGTGTTCTCAAAGGGAGCTCTGGGGACCTTCTACTGCTGAATCATCTGGGTGATATTAAAAGTACAGATTCCCAGGCCTATCCCAGAATTAATGGGTCAGAATCTCTGGGAGCCAGGCCCAGTACTCTGCATTTTTACAAGAACATTAGGATATTATAGCGAACACTCGAATTTGAGAACCACTTGTAGAAGAAAGTAAAGATGAGGTCCATGAGCCTCTGACTCTCTCTGAGCTCTGGGGCCTGTGCTGATCTCTGTGTTCTGGGTTTATTCATATTCCAGATGATGACAATACTGGAACCTTCTGCCTATTGAGGTTCCAGTGGGATAGCATAAGGGCACTTTACAAAGTACCAACTAATCTTTGCATGCCATCTGTTGGTATTGCTCTAAGGTAAGTTCTGCTTAGTTAGGTCTGTTTTTTTCTTAGATGTACTCCCTAAGAGCCCAGAACAATTTATATGACATAGCAGATGCTCAATAAATATTTGTGAATGAAGTACTTTTTCACTGTGTATTCCCAGCATAAGGTCAGGCACATGGTAGATGCTTAAAAATACCTGTTGAATGGATACTCCTCAGGCCAACACACCTGCTTATAATCCCCTTAACACTTTGGGCTGAAAGCTGATACTTTGCCTAACACATCAAGTGCTGAACTCTTTCTCTTGCAATTTAAGTCCCAAGTCAATTAGGGTTATATCTGTATTAGAAATGGTACCTTTTGGCCGGGCACAGTGGCTCATGCCTGTAATCCCAGCACTTTGGGAGGCTGAGATGGGCGGATCACCTGAGGTCAGGAGTTAGAGACCAGCCTGGCCAACATGGTGAAACCCTGTCTCTACTAAAAGCTACAAAAATTAGCCAGGCGTGGTAGCGGGCACCTGTAGTCCCAGCTACTTGGGAGGCTGAGGCAGGAGAATAGCTTGAATCCAGGCGGTGGAGGTTGCAGTGAGCCGAGATTGTGCGATTGCACTCCAGCCTGGGTGACAGAGCAAAACTCCGTCTAAAAAAAAAAAAAAAAAAAAAAGAAACGGTAGCTTTTGGTGTATTTGCTGTCAAGAAGTAATATGTTTCCTTAGACCTTCTTGTTTTCTCCCCGTTTCCCCCTCCCTACCACCTTCCCTACCTTCTTCTTTATTCTTTGTCTCTCTCACTGTCTCTACCTACTCTTTGGTGTGTGTTTCTCTCTCCCCAGCCTCTCCTGGGAATTTTATTGCTGGAATTGCAGGGAAAGACATGCCATGTAGCTTGTTTATTTCATGTTTTATCAGTCTCTGTCCCACATACTGTAGGATCTATGTCCCATAAGGGCAGGTTTTTTTTTTTTCTTTCATCTCTTTTATTCTTTTAGTGACACACCAACATAATTGAGTAAGTTACATTGGCTTAAGAACTTTATGGGTCACAGGCATGGTGGTGCATGCCTGTAGTCCCAGCTACTCAGGAGGCTGAGGAGGGAAGATCCTTTGAGCCTAGGAGGTTGAGACTGCAGTGAGCTGCAATTGCACCACTGTACTGCAGGCTGGGTAGCAGAGCAAGACTCTCTCTAAAAACAAAAACAGAAAGAAAAACAAAACCAGATTACTTTAGAACTTAAAGGATCTTCTTGGAATTGTGGACAAGGCTAGGTTTCCATCTGTGGTAGGGCCTTCCTTAAATGTCTTTTTCATGTAATCTTGTGGTTTTTCTAGTTCAGGGGTGTGGCCAGCAGCTTCTGACATGGCCCCCACTAGTTCTCCTCTCCTGGTATTCATGTTTTTGTGAAATCCCTTCCCCTTGTTTGTGGGCTAGACCTAGCTAATTGCTTTAATTAATTGAATACGGCAAAGGTGATAGGATAACAATTCTAAGAGTAGGTTATAAAAGATTGTGACTTCTATCTTGTTGCACTCTCTCTGGCTCTTCTCACACATTTGCTCTGATGAAGAGAGCTGTAGAGGCCCATGTAATAAGAAGTTGAGGGCAGCCTCAGCCTAACAGCCCTGCCAACAACCCTGTGAGTGAGGCTAGAAGTAGCTCCTTCCCCAGCTGAACCTTCCGATGAGACCACAACCCCAACTGACACCTTGTGTTTTTTGTTGTTGTTGTTGTCTTTTGTTTTTGTTTTTGTTTTTGTTGTTGTTTTTGAAACAGGGTCTCACTCTGTTGTCCAGGTGCCACTCAGCCTCTCAAAGTGCTGGGATTATAGGCATGAGCCACTGCACCTGGCCAACACTTTGATTCCAGTCTTCTGAGATGCCCTGAAACTGAGGACCACCTAGGCCATGTGTGGTCTTCTGACCCACAGAAACTGTAAGATTTTAAAATGTGGCCAGGCATGGTGGCTCACACTTGTAATCTCAGCACTCTGGGAGGCCAAGGCTGGTGGATCACCTGAGGTCAGGAATTCAAGACCAGCCTGGGCAACATGGTGAAACCCATCTCTACTGAAAATACAAAAATTAGCCTGGGGTGGTGGCGAGCATTTGTAATGCCAGCTACTTGGAGGCTGAGGCAGAAGAATCACCTGAACCCACGAGGCAGAGGTTGCAGTGAGCCAAGATTGCGCCACGGCATTCCAGCCTGAGCAACAGAAAAAAACTCCATTTGAAAAAAAAAAAAAGAAAAAGAAAAAGAAAAAAAAGAAATCCATAAAATTAGCTCAAGTTACAAGAAGGAAGGGTTGTTATGAGGATGAGGCACCTCTGAGACAGCCACAGGCAGGACACATTCTGGCCAGTCCCAGCCTCTCTTTCTCTCTTCCAACTCTCTCTCTTGCCTCCCTCTCTGTCTCTCTCTTTCTGCCTCTTGGCCTGCAGCATCACAGCCTCTCCCTGCCTGCATTTGCCCCAGCCTCCTCTTGGCAGCAGGGGAGCTTGGCCCTACATGTGGTGCTGACTTCACTCCACATCACCTCCTAACTGCACCACCCACAAGCTGGATTTCAAGCATCAGCAGCTTCGCCTCTCAAACTGCACTCACTTCCACATCCCAAGAAGAAAGTGACTGGCCCACTTTGGGTCAGGGCTAATCCATGGGCAGATGGGGTGTGGGCACAGTAGAGGGATCTTCTGGGACACAGGGTTGCCTATCTAAGCTGAGTCAGGAAGGAGGAGAGCATACCCACCTCCAGTATAACTGATTAAAAAATAGGCCGGGAGCGGTAGCTCATGCCTGTAATCCCAGCACTTTGGGAGGCTGAGGCAGGTGGATCACCTGAGGTCAGGAGTTTGAGACCAGCCTGGCCAACATGGTAAAACTCCGTCTCTACTAAAAATACAAGAATTAGCCAGGTGTGGTGGCACATGCCTGTAATCCCAGCTACTTGGGAGGCTGAGGCAGAAGAATTGCTTGAACCTGGGAGACAGTGGTTGCAGTGAGGCAAGATCCTGCCACTGCACTTCAACCCAGGCGACAGAACGAGAAAAAAAAAAAAAAACAAGACAAAAACCCAGTACACTTCTATAAAGCAGCACTAAAGCTGAGCCCTCTTCCTCATGCCCAGAGCCAGCCTCCCTGAGTAAACTGTGGTTCCTATGAAACCATCAGGGCAGCACTCTTTTCCAGTGCCTCTGTCATTAATGCTATGTTGCAATTCATACGTTTGTTGAAAATTAGAATGCTGCATTCGTTGATTTGTTGTCTGAAGGGTTCTTCCTTAGGGCTTATGGCTCTACAAATGATATTGGCTTGACCCCCAGAATTAATTTCAAGAAGGCCTGAGCTGGTAGGTGTTGCTTGCTTAGTCCTGGGAGCCTATCCAAGCCCTGCCTTGCCCTTCTTGGACCCTCCCTCCTTGGTGACCTGTTGGGCACTCTGGGGAGAAATAGGTGCAGACAGCCCAGGGATCTCTGGGCTGTAAAGGGCAAGTGGTTAAGTATGTGGCAGCACTAGTGAAGAAGACTACTCAGCAGGGTGCCTGGCTAGGCGTGGGGACCCAGAGAGAAACACAATCCCATGCTTGTTCTGAAGGAGCACGCCGAGCTGTGAGAGAGGCACACACATACGTGACCATCCCACCATCCCACGTGCCTCACCCCCTTTGCTGCTTTCTTTGTCGTTACAGAATTTTGAATTTGACATGCCATGTAGCTTGTTTATTTCATGTATTATCAGTCTCCGTCCCACATACTGTAGGATCTATGTCTTATAAGGGCAGAGTTTTTTTTTTCCTTTCGTCTCTTTTATTCATGGTGGCATCCCTAGTGCCCAGGACAGGTACAGAGTAGGTACTTAAGTATTTGTTGAATGAATGAATGAAATACTAGGAGCAAGGTCTTTGCAGGGTGCTGGAGAAGCTGGAGGATTCAGAGACAGGTTTCTGCAGCCAATGTGCCTAAACTGCATCTCTGAGCCTCAGCCAGGTGAATACAGGTGGGCAGAGGAAAGAGGGCCGCACAAACAAAGGCATAGAAGGAAGGCACAGCCTGCTGCATATATGTCTGGTCCCGGCTGGCTGTCCTCAGAGCAGAAGGCTTCGTGATACGGATGCAGCCATGATTAACTGGGGAAAAGGGACCCAGGTGGATAGATGCTAATGGAGTGAAAGGAGAGCCTGAGCTATAGGCATCCCCTCTTTGAGTGGTTAAGGCTGGGTGACACACAGGTTCCCATCCCTGTGCTGGGGCTTAGCATAGGATCAGGAGGAGGGCATGTACGTGGGAACCTCTTCTTATAACTGAACAGCCAAGCCCCTCTGCAGCCAGTCACACTGGACCACAGAACTCAGGTGGCACTTGGCCTAGGATCTTGGTTAGCAGAGGGACAGCTGGGCCCAGGACTTGGTGACAAGTATCTTAGATGGCACAGCATTCCAAACGCCAGGGGGACAAGGAACGGATGGAACCCTCAATCCAACTCCTGGTTTTGGCTGCCTCTGCTCCTTCCCTGCCACACTGAGTTGGTGTTGGGAAGGGTCCTGTGTGGAAGAAGAGATTCTTGTCCTCTGTTGGGATGAGGCCCTGGCTGCTCTACTTTTAGCACAGATGGCAGAGGAGCCCCTCCCTCAGTTTCCTGAGGCATGAATGCTCAGTTTACATTTTCATGCTCAGCTGTGGTGTCTGAAGGCCACTCCCTGGGCCCATCCACAGGCTAAGCCCCACCTTCTAAGCCCTAGTGTTGGGCCTCGGCTCTGAGTCCTGTCACAAGGAGGAGTCCTCACAAGGACTTTCCCTCTGAGGCCCTTCCTGCTGTCAGTCCTCAACTGCAACAGTCTCAGTGAATCAGAGATGTTCTTATGATGTCAAAGGTTAAAAGGCCTGGGGCCATGGTCTGGCTTGCTTTGTTCTGGGACGCTTCTTGGTCCCTATGCCAAAGTGGCACCTCTTCCCCCGGGCCAGCTCTGCAGAGCAAGGGTACAGCAAGGTGAACTCTGTGGCTGTTGTACCCTCGGGGTCCATTCTGTGTCCCTGGCGATGCTTCGGCAGGGTTGCACCACGGCTCACTGCACCCCAGCTCCCACTGGGGCTGAAGACCCCTCTGAGGTCTGCCCGGAGCTTGTGCTTGGTTCCAACCTTAGCAATTTGCTTACACCCTAACTGTCCTGCTACAATGGACCCCTCTGGAAGCTTCTCATTTAGACTTGCAGCTCCTCCAAAGTCTGGCTCATGCTGCCAAAGGTCTAAGGGTGGCTTAGCAGAGCTCAGCTGTTGGCAGCATCCTGCCTAACCAAGACACGCTGATGAGGCTGCATCCCAAGCAGGTGCAGGCAGCCTCTCAGCAACCTTCTCCCAGAGGCCTGAGTAGGGAATAGGGTGGGCTGGGGTGAGGAGGAGAAGGGGTTCCTGCTACCCTCCACCTTGTTTATATCCTATTGGTCCCTCTGACTGGGACATACCTGGCATTGCTTTCCTTCCCCTACCCCCTTTCTCTGTCTTGGCTACTATTTTCAGGGCTGGAGGGACCAGCTCTTCTCTAATTTCCCTGTGTAGCAGGACAAGTCACAGACAAAACTCCTCAGACACTGAGTTAAAGAGGGAAGGGGTTTATTCGGCCGGGGGCATCGGTAAGACTCCTGTCTCAAGAGCCGAGCTCCCTGAGTGAGCAATTCCTGTCCTTTTTAAGGGCTCACAACTCTAAGGGGGTGGGCGTGAGAGGCTCGTGATCGATTGAGCAAGCATGGGGTACGTGACTGGGGGCTGCATGCACCGGTAATTAGATCAGAACAAAACAGGACAGGGATTTTCACAGTGCTTTTCTATACAATGTCTGTAATCTATAGATAACATAACCGATTAGGTCAGGGGTCGATCTTTAACTTCGAGGACCAGGGTGTGGCGCCGGGCTGACTGCTTGTGGATTTCATTTCTGCCTTTTAGTTTTTACTTTTTCTTTCTTTGGAGGCAGAAATTGGGCATAAGGCAATATGAGGGGTGGTCTCCTCCCTTACCCACAGGAGAGGGAGAGCACATTTTTTTGAAAAACTTACTTGGGAGGGGGTTTGGATAAAGTAATCTTTATTACATTTTATTTTTTGTGACGAAGTTTCACTCTTGTTGCCCAGGCTGGAGTGCAATGGCGCGATCTCGGCTCACTGCAACCTCCGCCTCCCGGGTTCAAACGTTTCTCCTGCCTCTGGATTACAGGCATGTGCCACCATGCCCGGCTAATTTTGTATTTTTAGTAGAGTTGGGGTTTCTCCATGTTGGTCAGGCTGGTCTCAGGCTTCCAACCTCAGGTGATCCACCGGCCTCGGCCTCCCAAAGTGCTGAGATTACAGGCGTGAACCACCGTGCGCAGCCGTAAGTAATCTTTAATTATCTTTTGTTTTCAAGGCAATAGCCTGACCTGCAAGCCTGTTTTGTTTGTTTTTATTTTTGTTTTTTTTGTTGTTGTTTGTTTTTTCCTATAGAAGCTGAATTGTACCTAGATTTTTTTCATAATTTAACATCTGTAACAAAGCCTAAAATTTCCCCAAGCCAATGGAACCCAGGCTAAGGTGGAAGTTCAAGATCTCAATAATATTTTTCAAACTCACTGCACACTTTTCTCATCTATTCTTCATGTACCAGTACAAGGTTCTTGCTCAAAACAACAACAACAAAAGGTTTTCTTTGGCCGTTTGAGAAAAAGAACTGAGATCCCCTCTTTATTCCTTCCTTCATATGTTCTGGATAATGAACCGGTCAAACAATGAAGGCATCTGTTAAGGGCAGTCCTTTGTTTCTTCTTTGTCTCGAGTTCCACCATCCCTGCTTCATTTCTGGCCTCCCCTGTAACCCACACAGCTGTCCTCCGTATTATGGAAGAATGTAGGGTATCTTCCTCTGGTCATCTGCAGTGGAAAAAATATTCCCCTGGAAGACCATGCCAGGATCTCAGGATACAACCTGAGCAACCGAGAGCACACGCCCACTCCACGCAGTTGCTCCCGGGTCAGCAGCAGGAAGGTTAACGGGATACAAACGGGTGGGTCGTAGCATTCCCTTGGACTCCGCCGTCTGGACATTTGCTCAGGGGGATGGATAAAGGAGAAACAAATTACATTTCTTCATACCTGCCTGGATTCACTGAGTATTTATGGAGCACCTGTTGTGTGAAATCCGAGGAGAAGGCTAGAATAGAAAACAGACTCTCGGCCACGCACTGTGCCTCACGCCTGTAATCCCAACGGTTTGGGAGGTCGAGGTGGGAGGATAGCTTGAACTCAGGAGTTAGAGACCAGCCTGGGCAACATGGCGAAACCCCATCTCTACAAAAAATACAAAAATCATCCAGGCATGGTGGCGTGTGCCTGTAATCCCAGCTACTTCAGAGGCTGAGGTAGTAAGATTGATTGAACCGGGGAGGCTGAGGCTGCAGTGAGCCATGATGGTGCCACTGAAGTCTTTTTTTTGGTTTTTGTTTTTTTTTTGAGATGGAGTCTCGCTCTGTCGCCCAGGCTGGAGTGCAGTGGCACGATCTCGGCTCACTGTAAGCTCCTCCACTCGGGTTCACGCCATTCTCCTGCCTCAGCCTCCCGAGTAGCTGGGACTACAAGGCGCCGCTACCAAGCCCGGCTAATTTTTTTTTTGTATTTTTGGTAGAGACAGGATTTCACCATGTTAGCCAGGATGGTCTGGATCTCCTGACCTCATGATCCGCCCGCCTCGGCCTCCCAAAGTGCTGGGATTACAGGCGTGAGCCACCGCGCCCGGCCCGCCACTGAAGTCTTAAGTCTTGCCTGGGCAACAGAGGGAGACCCTGTCTCAAAAAAAAAAAAACCTGTGGGAGTCCACAGGAGGATACAAAGTTCATGCATGAAATAGAACCCTAGGAATGCCAATGTAACCTGCTCCACGCATGGGAGCCTGAAGCATCTTCTCCCTGGCCCCCACCCATCCAATATGCATGGAAAACCACAAAGGGCCCTTGCCCTACAGTCTGGCATCTTAGTGCCTTGAGATTTTTAACCCAGGTTAAAAATTAACCTGTCTTACTTGTTAACTTGTCTACTGAGAGACCAGTTCAGGTCACTACAAATCACCTCTGCTACTTGGTGGCTGTTGTGACTTCTGTTAATCTCTGAGAGCCTTAATTTTCTCATCTCTAAATTAGGAGCTATGCTAGTACTCATACAATAGAGTTTTGTGAAGATTAAATGAGACCTTATTTGGAAGGTGCTTAGCTCAGTTCCTGGCACACCAGGGACTGGCATTCTCTGCCCCATCTTTAGGGGGCTGGAGTCAACCAAGAAACTTTGGCTGCCAGTTGTGAGCCACAGTGGAGAGGAAGATAGTCTTAGGCTAGTATTAGGGAAATAAGACTAACCCACAGGGAAAAATAGAGGACAAATTAACAGCTAATTTGTGATAGTGGTCACAAATGAACTAGAGATTTATGTAAGGAAAGCTGGGAGGACTTGGGTGGCTAAGGAGGTCTCCTCAGAGCAGCTAGAGCAGGTGTTTGATGGGATCAGAGAGATCATCTTGTGGTTAGCTAAAGGCCATTCCTGTGAGGCAGAGTCAGGGCTCATTCAGTTTGAGCCAGCTGCATTGTATTAGTATTCACACTGCCACAAAGATACTACCCGAGACTGGAGACGGGGTAATTTATAAACGAAGGAGGTTTAATTTATGACTCACAGTTCTGCATAGCTGGGAAGGCCTCAGGAAACTTACAATCATGGCAGAAGGGGAAACAGGCACCTTTACAAAACGGCAGGAAAGAAAAGAACAAAAGAAGGAGGAATTTCCAAACGTGTATAAAGCAATCAGATCTCATGAGAATAGCATGGGGGAAACTGCCCCCTTGATCCAATCACAGATCCCTCCCTCAATACCTGGGAATTATAATTCGAGATGAGATTTGTGTGGGGACACAAAACCAAACTATATCACCCATGTAGGCTCAGATGGTGGGCTTTGAAGACTTTCTACTGCCCCAAAGACAAAGTTTGCATTTGAACTTATTAAGCACTTACTATGTGATAAGCATAAATATAGAACAGCTCCAGTTTCTCAAAACATCATTTGGGAAGTATAAATATATGATTTGGAGACTTGCTGTTAAATATGCATCTACAGACTTCTTGCATAGATGTTTGGCAGAGCTGAACGCTTACTTGTTTTTCTGTAATGAGAACCCAATTTAGATATCTTTTCTTTCTTTCTTCCTTTCTTTCCTTCTTTCTTTCTTTCTTTCTTTCTTTCTTTCTTTCTTTCTTTCTTTCTTTCTTTCTTTCTTTCTTTTTTTTTTGAGATGGAGTTTTGATCTTGTTGCCCAGGCTGGTGTGCAATGGTGCCATCTCCGCTCACTGCAACCTCCACCTCCCGGGTTCAAGCGATTCTCCTGCCTCAGCCTCCTGAGTAGCTGGGATTACAGGCATGCATCACCATGCCTGGCTAATTTTGTATTTTTCATAGAGACAGGGCTTTACCATGTTGGTCAGGCTGGTTTCAAACTCCTGACCTCAGGTGATCCACCCACCTCAGCCTCCCAAAGTGTTGGAATTACAGGCGTGAGCCACCACGCCCCACCTGAGACACCACGCCCGGCCTGAGAACCCAGTTTAGAAGTTTATCAGAACAAATCTAAGCTTGGTCTGGTATAATTTTTCTCTGGAATCCCTGACCCTCCCTTATTTTTCTAGTCATGCAAAGCTTCTTTATTTAAAAAAAAAAAAAAAAGTTGTGGGTGTTTTTTTTTTAACTCAATTACCCTTAAACTTGGTCTTGTGGTTATGCAGGAGAATGGACAATTCTTATGAGATGCAGCTGAAATATTTGGGGCTGTGTCGTGATTTATGTAACTCACTCTCAAATGTTTCAAATACAGGTAGACAGAGAACAAGGCAAAATCTAAACAGTCGCTGAACATAGATGAAGGGCTCGTGAGTGTTTGCTGTACTATTCTTTCCATATTTTCTATGTGTTTGGAAATTCTCAAATAAAACAATAGGAAAAACTCATTGAAACATAGGGAGGAAAATGGGGTAAGAGGAGAAAGCCCCCCTTCCCTGCTGGCCTTTTCAGGCTCTAGCCTGGGGCATGTCTCATTTGATGCCTGGAGCTGACGAGTTTCCCCTTTTTCTTGTTATTGGCATACTTCAGGGAGTTCTTCAAAACTTGGTCATTTTGGCTGTTCACCAAAGGCCTCTGATTTCCACTCTCTGTGTGGGGGCCCCTCTCTGCCTCTGGTTGACTTCATTCTCAGCCTGTCGGACTTCCCGAGGCTCCACTAGACTCTGTCCTGGCTGTCATGACAACAGCGGCAGAGTCCCTGGAGAAGGCTGATGGGCGATGGGAAGGCTCTTACATCTAGGAGTTCTAGATGTATGTTTTTTTGGAGGCATGTCCCATAAACCTCGGGAATTCCTGAGCAAGTGCGTGTGTTGGGCCAAGGGCTGGGGAGCTGGGCCAGCGGTCCAGGTCCCTCTCCTCAACAAAAGGAAATGGATTTGTACTGGACTTCTTGAGGAGATCTAATGTCAATCCCAATAAGCTGTCTTCCTGATGGAGTTTCAAGGGTAATTTAAACTCTGAACTCTTTTAACCTTATTTGCTAACTTTAGACCTAACCTGCATGTAGCATGCTGTCACTGTGTAATAAAACGCTCATTCATTCATTCCACCCACACTTACCAAGGGCTTATTTTGAGCTAAGCACTGTGCCAGGGCTGGGGACACAGGGCTGTACTGTGGTTTCCAACCACAGTTACCCCACACACTGAGAAAGGGAGAGCTCTCTTTGTGAGGTGGTGGTCGGGGCAGATTTCCTGGGATGGGTGGGCCTGGGGCAGGTCAAAGAGAAATTGAAATTGGACAGAAAAAGGAGCTTTTTGGAGGGATGAGGGGGCATCATGAGTAAAGACAGCCTCTGCTCCATGTGCATTCTCTGGCATGGTGGAGATTAGTAGGCCTCAGTCAGGCTGAGAAAAACCTAAAATTAGCCTGACCAGCTGGGCCTGGGCTGTGTGGGACTCTCCCTCACCCCCCTTGCCTTCTCAGGTTTCAGAAAGCCCGAGTATGTGCAGGAACAGCATGCTTTGCCCAGGTCGTGGCAGGCAGATCAGGGCACCTGGGGCCGGGCCGGGCAGAGGGTGCAGCTCCCAGCAGGGATGTTGTCTTTTATACGGGTTCCCCAATTCTGCAGGCCTGGCAAGAGGGAAGGGGGAGACTGCCCTTCCCATCTTCTTCTTGATGCCACTTCCTCTTTGGCTTGTTCCTTCCCCTTCCAGATCTGCAAAGCCTGGCAGTGTGGCACTGCCCAGGCCAGCAAACCAGAGACACAGCACGGCAAGCCCCACCAGGGGAAAGAGGCTTGGATGGGCAACTTCCTGGACACTGGGGAGGAGCAACCAGAAAGCCTCATCCTCACCCACTTTACCCTGTTCCACCTTCCTTTCTGATCTAGCCTGAAATTCCCTCCGTTAGTCACCATCAGCAAAACCGCAGAGCATGTGCTATGATCAAGACTTAGAAGTTGTGTGAGAAGCTAATCTCACCTCCAAAGGTGCTGGAGCTGGTCTGAGTGGGTGAGGAGCAGCGGTGCATGGCACCACGTGCATGGTGGTGGGGAAGGTGGGAAAGAGATGGCCAGCCTGGTGGTGCTGGCGGTGGTGGGGGCTGGGCAGCAGGGTGGCCTTTCCCACTTAGTGTCCGTCCCATCCCTACATCAGATATTCATGACTTGTTTCTTCTCCCTAGATGGCACTGTCTGGTACTCTCTGCCTTCTCATCTTCCTCTAGTCTGGGGTCCCTCCTTCTGGGTCACCAACTCCAAGACAGTTTGCAAATGCCAGTCCCCCTATCTGAAACAGTGCTGGAAGTTTCTGGAGCCAGAAGCATTGCTGAGCATGGGTAGTAGGGGCCCAGGAAGGCTTCCAAAGAGATGGGGCTGATGCAGGGCCCCAGAACAAGTTGCCCAGCCTGAGCTCATGGCCACAGTTGCTGTTATTTGCAGTTTTTGGAGTCTTACAATTTGCCCTGCCATGCTAGGCAATGGGTGACCACTGGCCACTCGCAGGCTAGACACCCTCAGATGGGGCCCAGGATTTTAAAATTTGTCAAATTAGATGCCCATTCAAAAACTGGGAGATTTCACGTGAAGTCAGAGTTTCTGACTTCTCTTGAAACATAAGAAGATAGGGCCCCATTTGAGGTGACTAACCAAGCTGGCTTCCTGGGACTCACCCAGTTTAGGCACAGAAAGTACCTTGTCCCAGGAAACCCTGGACAGGCTCCCAGAGCCCTGCAGGGCAACAGTAAACTGGAGTGGACTTGCTCACCCTCTAGGGCTCGTCAGCCCTGTTAGGGGCTAAATTGCACCCTCTTCAAATATGCATGTTGAAGTTCTAACTGCCAGTATCTCAGAATGTGACCTTATTTGGAAAGAGGGTCATTGCAGATGTAATGAGTTAAGATGAGGTCATACTGGAGTAGGGTGGGCCCCTGATCTGACTTCTGTCCTCGAAAAAGGGGAAATGGGAACACAGACACACACAGGGAAGATACCACATGCTGAAGGCAGAGACTGGGTGACGTGTCTCCAAGCCAAGGAATGCCAAAAACGGCCAGCAACCCCCAGAAACTCAGGGAGAGGCCTGGAATGGATCCTTCCCAGTGCTTTTGGAGGGAGCATGGTGCTGCTAACACCTCGATTTCAGGCTTCTGGCTTCCAGACCTGTGAGTCGACACAGTTCCATTGTTCTAAGCCACCCAGTTTGTGTGTACTTCATTACGGCGCCCTAGAAAACCAGTACACGCTCCTACCATGCCCTGCAGTTTTGTCATACATTCACCAGGCCTGCCTGGCCCCAGAGGCATTAGCCTTCTCACTTGCAGAAAATCCCCTGATGAGTTAAGCCAGATGTTGATGAGATCACTCCAGGGGTCCTGAGAGGGAAGGAGAAAGGTGGGTCTGGAGAGCATATGCCCCAGCCCTCAGGGGAGAGAGTGCTGGTGTCCCCAAGCAGCAAGTTCTCCAGTACTCACAGTATCCAGGAGGTGACCAGAGACCTGGGGGTGGGAGACAGGTGGGGCACCTGGGCTGGTACCAGGTGGCCAGCCTTGGCAGAGATCTCCCAAACTGTCGGGGACATTAGGAAACCACACCAGTGAGCTTGGGCAGCAAAGAAGCTGGGGCGACTTTGATGTACAAAAGATTAGGAGCCCTTCTGTGTGTTCAAGGCATCAGAGCCTCCTGGGTTCCGGTGGGTGAAAGGGGAGGTCCCAGTGGAGATGGAAAAGGAAATCTAGGTCAACCTTTCCAAATGACGTTGGCCTTGGAATGCGGTTGATTCAAGGGCAATAAAGAAAGTGTGTTAGGGCTGGGCGTGGTTGCTCACACCTGTAATTCCAGCACTTTGGGAGGCCGAGGTGGGTGGATCACTTGAGGTCAGGAGTTCGAGACCAGCCTGGCCAACATGGTGAAACCCCGTCTCTACCCAAAATGCAAAAATTAGCTGGGCGTAGTGGCGTGTGTCTGTAATCTTAGCTACTGGGCAGGCTGAGGCGGGGGAATTGCTTGAACCCGGGAGTCGGAGGTTGCAGATAGTGCCAAGATAGTGCCACTGCACTCCAGCCTGGGCAACAGAGTGAGACTCCATCTCAAAAAAAAAAAAAGTGTGTTATTTAATCCCCATTATACAAGTAAGGAAACTGAAGCTCGGAGCAGGTAAGGCTCCCAAGCTCACAGTGCTGGAAAGTAGCAGAGCCAAATCTCCCCCAGCCTTGGGTCACTGGAGCGGCTAGTTTCAACAAGGTCACACTGCCGCCGCCCCCACTGCAGTGGGCCGCCATGGGTCTTCTCGGTCAGCACTCACTGCCCGCTGGCTCTGCAAACCTCATTCTCAACCTGCGTTTGAACTGGAAGCTTTCGCTCTGATTCTCTCCCTGTTTCCAGGGTGGGTTTTTTTTTTTTTTTTTTTTTTTGAGATGGAGTCTCATTCTGTCACCCAGGCTGGAGTGCAGTGGTGCAATCTTGGCTCACTGCAACCTCTGCCTCCAGGGTTCAAGCAATTCTCCTTCCTCAGCCTCCCAAGTAGCTGGGATTACAGGCACCCGCTACCATGCAGGCAAATTTTTTTTTGTATTTTTAGTAGAGATGGGGTTTCACCATGTTGGCCAGGCTGGTTTTGAACTCCTGACTTCACGTGATCAGCCCACCTCGGCCTCCCAAAGTGCTAGGATTACAGGCATGAGCCACCGTGCCCGGCCTCCAGGGTGGTTTTAAGAAGGCAAGTCCGTGGGATCTGCCAAGTCATCTCATGCAGAGCGTTCAGGAAGATCATGGTCCCCCTGCCAGTTCCTGCGGTGTTCTTGAGGTCAAATAATATTCTTGTGGTTCGCTCATTCATTCATTCACTCACTCACTCAGCAAGCACTGAGGGAGTACATGAGGGACTGTGGATATGGCAGTGAACTATAGACCTGGTCCCTCCCTCCAGGAGCTTGTAGCACTTTTGTCTGGTGGCAACACGTGGTGTGGAGAAAAGAAAGCTGCTCAGCATGTTAGGGTATGCAGCAGGGTGGAGAGCTGTTGTCATTAACACAGGGAGGTCAGAGGAAGGCTCTGGTAGATGCTAGTGAAAGTCTGAAGGGTAAGGGAGTCAGCCCAGGGCTCCAGGGGGAAGGGCCTCCGAGGCAGAAGGTACCAGAAATGAAAAGGCCCTGAGTCAGGAGCACACTTCCCTGTGGCTGAAGTGATCCTGGGAGTCCACAGGAATCCATGGGAACCTGTGAGCCATCATGGAGATTTGGGAAACACGAGAGGGCTGGTCTGGCTGTGTGATGAGGGTGGTTGGGGCGGCTGGACGTGCAGGAAGGAGAGAGATGTCATGATCTACGTGAGTCGGGACAAAGGATGGACCAGGGTGGTGGCTGTGGAGGCGGGAGGAGCAGTCAGACTCTGGATGTATGTCTAAGGAGGATGAGGGCTTGGATATGGGGAGGAAGAAGGGGAGCCCTAGGTTTTTGGCATTCATCTTCTGGCAGTCTTTCCTTAACTTTCCACCACTAGGGCCAGCCTCTGAGTTCATCCTCACCAGGTTGCTGCGACAGGGAGGGCAGGCTCTGTGTCCTCATGTTTGCCTTTTGCTTTAATCCTCACTCATCTTTACTTGCTTTAGCCCATGGGCTCTGGAATGAGGGGCCCTTGGAGCCCCCCACTTCTGATCCTGAGGTGGGGGGCAGGCAGTAGAAGCTGGAAGGAGAGCCTTCCTTAGCACACAGCCCCACACCCCACTTCCCATCCTTTCTTTTGAAGAGTGGAGGGGGATCCTCTGAAAAGCAGCGATGAGGAGTGCTCCCCCATCCCCACCCCCTCTGCACTGTGCTCCAGCCAAGGCCTGAGAAAGCAGCGCAATGTCAGGGAGACCCAAGGGGTGGTGTGGCAGAGGGTGAGAGAAATGAGACAGCACCTCAGCCTGTGAAAGTGGAGGCTGCGTGGATGCCGGTGCACATAAGTGAGTGGGGAGGGGGAGGGAGAAAATCTTCCCACCACTAGACTGCCCATACCATGCAGACTCAGAGACCTGCAGCCCAGGCTCTGCCCCTCTCAGCTCTGGGCTCTCCTCCCAGTCCTGGGGGTGGCCCTGGGCCAGGGCTGTGATGCACCGCCCACCCTCACTGCACTTGAGCTCAGCTGAGAGCATATGCTGGGCACCTACCCAGTATCTAGTTTCCCCTTCTTCCTTACTAACAGCATCCTGCCTTTGGGGGGTGGCAAGGTGTCCAGCTCAACTACTTCCTTGGATCCTTTGTATGTAGTGGTGGTCATGTTGACCTAGTTCTGCCCAGTGGAATAAGAGCAGGAGTCAGTGGGTGGAAATTTACTTTTTTTTTTGTTTTATTTTTTGAGCTGGAGTTTCACTCTTGTTGCCCAGGCTGGAGTGCAATGGCGCGATCTCAGCTTACTGCAATCTCTGCCTCGTGGATTCAAGTGATTCTCCTGCCTCAGCCTCCCGAGTAGCTGGGATTACAGGCCCCCGCCACCACACCCAGCTAATTTTTTCTCTTTTTAGTAGAGATGGGGTTTTACCACGTTGGTCAGGTTGGTCTCAAACTCCTGACATCAGATGATCCACCCACCTCGGTCTCCCAAAGTCCTGGGATTATAGGCATGAGCCACCATGCCTGACTGGTGGGTGGATATTTAAAAAGAAACAGATTCAACTGGCATGCTCTTTAGCCCTTTCTCTTTGATCTTTGACTTCATCGTTTTCTCCTTCTAACTTTTTGGAAGACAGTTTGGACGCCTGGAGGTGCAGCAGCCATATTCAACCATGAGGGGAAAAGCCAGATGCTAAGTGTGGTGGAGGAGAACAGGAGGAGTCCTGATGTTGGCTGACCCCTAAGCGATGGTACCAGCCCTTGACTGCCAACTCTAAACTTCCTTTTTTGTATGAGACAAAAAAAAAAAAAAAAAAAAAAAAAAAAAAAAAAAATCCCTGTTACTCTAGTTTTTAGTTACATGCAGGTGAACACAGTCCTAATTGATACCCAGGTCATCTCATGCAAAATCTGGTAGCTACTTCTGAAAGCCCAGCACCCACCCCAGCTAGCCTAGGGCAGCCCAGCCCATGGGTGGCTGACCTTGGGCCATGCCTCTACCCTGACCCCACTGCACAGAGGTGATGGCCCGCAGGAGTACAGTGTGTGGGGCACAGGCTCAGAGAGGTTGAGTAACTTGCCCGGCATGGCTCTGCTAATAAAGAGCAGAGTCAAATGTCAGTGTCAGATCTTGTGTCTCAGAGGCACTGTCTCTGCTCTGATATCAGCGTGGGTGGAAGTGGGCAGGGAAATGGGAGTTCAAAGCCCAACAATTCTGATACGATTCCCTAGGAAGAACCATAATAGACCATAGAGCATCTCCTTGAAGGCTTTGCCAAATGTTGCCTCGATGAGGCCTGCTCTGACTACCCTGTTCAAAATGCTGGCCCTCGCTCCAGATTCCCCTTACTCTACTCTGTTATTTATTTATTTATTTGTATAGAACGTACCATCTTTTAGCACACTATATAACTTACTTTTTAGTATGTCTGACATATGATGTCTCTTGCCCCTCCCTCTACCCCCAAAATGTAAACCCCACAGGGACAAAGAATTGGGCTGCTTTGCTCATAAGCAAAGGGCCTAGAATAACGCTGGCAGAAAGAAGGTATTTGTTGTACTGAATTAAATAGTAATGTTTGCTGAGCACCAACTATTAGGGGCTCAGGAAACATTGCTATTTAGTTCAGTGCAACAAACACCTCCTTTCTGCCACCATTATTTGGTGACATTAGGGACATTAGGGTGTCCCCTAAAATTCTTATGTTGAAATCCTAGCCCCAGTACCTCACAATGTGACTGTATTTGGAGATAGGTCTTAAAGAGATAATTAAGTTAAAATGAGGTCATTAGGATGGACCCTGATTCAATATGACTGATGTCCTTATAAAAAGAGGAGATTGGCTGGGCGCGGTGGCTCATGCCTGTAATCCCAGCACTTTGAGAGGTTAAGGTGGGCAGATCACGAAGCCAGGAGATCGAGACCATCCGGGCCAACATGGTGAAACCCCGCCTCTACTAAAAATACAAAAATTAGCTGGGCGTGGTGGCACACACCTGTAGGCCCAGCTACTCGGGAGGTTGAGACAGGAGAATCGCTTGAACCCAGGAGGCGGAGGTTGCAGTGAGCCGAGATCACACCACCGTACTCCAGCCCAGGTGACAGAGTGAGACTCCATTTCAAAAGAAAAAAAAAAAAAAAAAAAGAGGAGATTAGGACACAAACGCAGGGCCGACCATGTGAAGACAGAGGGAGAAGATAGCAGTCTACAAGCCAAGGAAAGAGCTCTTAGAAGTCAACCCTGTCAACACCTGGATCTCAGACTTCCAGCCTCCAGAATCATGAGGAAGTATACTTCTGTTGCTTAAGGCACCCGGTCTGTGGATCTAGGTAATGGCAGCCCTATCAAACTAATACCACACCTATGTCTAGCTCGGTTCAAAGGATTTTGCATGGGTTGCTCATTTGAGCCTAACCACAACCCTGGTACCATACTCATTTCTCAGATGCAGGAGCTGAGTGCCAGGAAGTGGTGATAAGGGGGCTGGGGAAAGGAAGAAAGTCTAAATCTTGGGGTTCTGGACCTTGTGAGGTTAGGGAAAGGAGCTTTGGTTGCCCGATCTGCCAGGCCCTTCTACATCTGAGCTCTGTGGGGAATCAGGCCTATGGGGAACTGGGGTGCTCAAACCACACCCCTAAGCCGGCCCATGCTATAGCCCTCCATGCCCCCAGTACAGCAGTGCCCCTGTGTCTCTATTTGGAACCCTGGGATCTGAGTCGCTGCCTGGCACTACCCAAAGGGACTCATCTCTATGGTGCAGTTCCAGATACTGAGGCCAACAGGGGTGAGGAAGAGAAGTAAGACAGCCCTAGGCAGGACACATTTCCCCCGTGTGCCTCAAAGGATTTAATCATCATGCACTGACTCTCACGCCTGCCTGGAGAGTCAGATTCTCTAATATGAGATTGTGTGGAGCCCACTGGTTCTTCAACTACCATTCTCAGTCAAGTTGATAGTATGGCTAATATTTATTGAGGTCCTACTATGTGCCAGGCCCTGTCCTAAGTGCATTCCATAGAGTTTCTCATTTAATTTTCTTGGCATCCCTGTGAGATGGTCTTCAATGTTATCACTATTTTACAGATGAGGAAACCGAGGCTTAGAGAGTTCAAGTGTGGAGTTGGGATCCTGTCTGACTCCTATGCTGGCTGTCTATTTCTTTTTTTTTTTTTTTTTTGAGATGGAGTCTCATTCTGTTGCCCAGGCTGGAGTACAGTGGTGCAATCTCGGCTCACTGCAATGCCTGATATGCTGGCTGTCTTAACCATTAACTGGCACTGACTGTATACCTTGCCCTGTGCTGCCTTTGGCTATAGTTGGCTGGACATGTTCCCCAATCCCCTTGTGCTGGGCAGAGAATCAGGAAGGAAGCTGGGGTGTAAGAACGGAAACTGCCAACCAGTACCACAAAGATCTGAACTCTTATTCACGTGGTCTGTAACCTCCTGCCCGCTCTCCCTCCCCCACCCGTGGTCTCTGCCTGGGAGCTGAGATTGTCCCCTTCTGTTTAACTTGGTGTTTGACCCCGGCCACCTGCTGTTCATTTCATTCAGTTTCACCGGGACACCCAGACCAGGGCACGGGAGGTGGCCCTGTTACCAGTTCTTTGTCATCTGTAGCTGGTTGTGAAATGCCCTGGCTGATCCACACCAGAAGAAGGAGAGAAAATTTCCCTGGGGCTGGAATTGCTGGGGCCCTTCCTAGAGGAACAAGCACAGCCCAGAGACAAATCTGAAGCCACTGCCTGTACACGTGGGTTGGGAACTGCCTGTCCAGGACACCTCCTGCAGAAGACTGGCCCAAGGCCTTGTCCTTTCCTTGGCAGGGACAGTGCGGGGACGAGAGAGTCCCAGGGGGGTCATGTGAGCTCTGTTTCCGGAGTCTATCTGGGAACCTTTTCCTTCCCTGCTGGTCCACATTCCCGGAGCTCTGCGAGTCAGCATCGAGGTGAAGGTGGGCCAGCGCAGGCCCTTCCCTGTGGCCTCTGAGTCTGGGGGGGTTGCCATCCTCTGGGTCTGATGTACCCTCCTTATGTGCAGGGTGGGGGGTGCAGAAGTAGAGTAAGTGGGCCAGGCGCGGTGGCTCACGCCTGTAATCCCAGCACTTTGGGAGGCCGAGGAGGGTGGATCACGAGGTCACAAGATCGAGACCAGTCTGACCAACATGGTGAAACCCTGTCTCTGCTAAAAATACAAAAAAATTAGCTGGGCACAGTGGCACGTGCCTGTAATCGCAGCTACTCGGGTGGCTGAGGCAGGAGAATTGCTTGAACCTGGGAAGCGGAGGTTGCAGTGAGCTGAGATCACGCCACTGCACTCCAGCCTGGTGACGGAGCAAGACTCCGTCTCAAAAAAAAAAGAAGTAGAGTAATTGTGCCCAGGAGCCCAATCCATGTCTGTTAGGAGCCTGCTTCCTGCCACCGGTCCCTGGGTGGCACACTGGAAGGTGCTTGGCATAGAACGAGGGCAGTGGTGTGTCAGCAGGCCGGGCACAGAGGCAGATGGACTGGGGGCCTTGTTGAGAAGCCAGAGGCCATGTCGAGGCTGCACAAGGCCGTGACTGCCTGCTTGAGTCTGGGGAAGCTGCAGGGCTCCTGTTCCAGGTGCCCACCAGCCACTGCGCCAGGGGAAATGCCTCTGAGAGCACATCAGGGGCTTCTCAAGCTGCAGCCACAGGGGCTGGGCTTGGCACAGAGTGACGGAGGAGGGGGCTGTTCCTGCAGGTTTTGGTAAGGCGCTGCCTCCTAACCACAGCTGATCCTATGTATGGGCTGATGTCTAGGCTCTTCTTTAGAAAAATTAGCATAACTGTCTTCCCTTCCACCCCTCCGCACCCCACGACCTGCAATCCCTCTGAGCCCTTATCTTCACTTATCAGACACCCAACACTCTTCTTCTCATTTTCTGAATGACTCCACAGTTCTAGAAATTAAAGCCTGCTGTATTCTGAGAAGGTGCTTTCTGTTTCCTCTGGTGAGTGGGCAGCACATACTTTGAGACTCCGCAGGGCAGAATTAGAGGGCCCAGGTACTGAAATTGACTCACTAGGTGGGGGTGGGGAGCACTGAGACCATCTTGAGTGCTTGGAGAAAAGTTGGACAGTCAGGTGGCACAGGGGCAACCGTGGGGTCTGGAAGGGGAGCACCGGGGGATGACTGAGGGGATGGAGGAGAGTGGTAGAGGAGAGACTGGAAACCAGGGAGGGCATGGGCAGCCCTGGGAAGACTGCAGAGGTTGAAGATGTGGAGGACACACCAGGCTGGGCGGAGCGGTGCTTAGCAGGCACTAGTGAGGCAGGTTATCAAAGCAGGGACTATCCCAGGGATGTGGTCACCATGATTGTGGTCGAGGGGCCTGAAGGCATAGCTGAGCCTGCCTGGGCTCAGGCAGAGTGAAGATACAGGCCCTGCCTGCTCCTGCTCCTGCTCCTGCTCTAGAGACTGTTCCAGGGATCACCAGAGGCCTGGCAGGAAGCTGGTGGCTCATGTGCAGGTCAGGCAGGGCCAGAGGCAGGCGGATGGGGCACTTTCTTTGGGAAGAGCTTGAAGAGGGCATTGCTGATGCCTCCACCCCAGGCTGTGATGAGCACTGTACCCAGTGGGGGGCTGGTGGCTGGAGGAGGGAGTATGTCCAGGAAAGGATTTCTGCAGGGCATCTAGCCATCCTGTCACTGCAGGGCTGTGATGGAAACCTGTGGACACATGACCACTGAGGGGACTGCTGCACCAGTTTATTTGTTTATTTTATTTACTTATTTTTATTGTTTTTGAGACAGAGTCTCGCTCTGTCGCCCAGGCTGGAGTGCAGTGGTGTGATCTCAGCTTACTGCAACCTCCGCCTCCTGGGTTAAAGCAATTCTCCTGCCTCAGCCTCCCGAGTAACTGGGACTATAGGTGCATGTTGCCACACCTGGCTAATTTTTTGTATTTTAGTAGAGACGGGGTTTCACCATGTTGCCCAGGCTGGTCTCGAACCCCTGAGCTCAGGCAATCGGCCTGCCTCGGTGCCTCAAAGTGCTAGGATTACAAGCTTGAGACATTGTGCCCGGCCTGTTGCCCCAGTTTAGGACTCAGACAGAGGCTACTGTTCCTCCAGGGACCAGGGGAGCCCCATACCACTGAAGGGCTGGTTTCTTCCCTTCATGAAGCTTTTCCTTCCGGCCACCCACGGGGACCCTGACATGTGCAGGGCACCTCAGGAGAGAAAGGCAGAGCTCCGTCTTCAACTCAACACAGAAGAAAAACCCGCATTTTTCAAAGCAGCGAAGACTCAGATGGGAGCATCAGGAGGAGAGGCCATCCTGGTGGTCTGGGGCTGTGGAGCCAGGCTCTGAGGACTCAGTGGGCCACTGACTTGGGGTGAGGAGAGCAAGGGCTAGCCAGGCAGAGCCACAATAAAAATGATGACAGCTAATGGTAATTAGGGGTTGAAATTTGTACCTCCTTCGCTATGAGCATAAAGTGAGATGCTCCGAGACAGTGCGCAGGCCTGGCACCTGAGCGCACCTGCAGTTGTAGCTGTGATTATTACTACTCAGGCAGCCACAGCAAACTGAGCACTGTGCCCTGTACCCTGGGTGCCCTTTCTGACTTTCCCTGCCCCCTCACCGCCCGGTCCTTCAGCGCTGGGACCCTGTGTGACAGCGCGGCAGCCCTACACCTGTGTGGCTTGTCATGGATTCTGCCACACCACACAGTGGATTAGGATGCCTTGTTCCTTCACGTTAGCTGTGCCGTTTCTACCAGGAGACAATTAGCGAAGTAAGTGCTGTTCTGTGGTACCAGGAGAGGGTTGGGGACGACGGGCTCCCCAAAACACGGGGGCTCTGCTGAGGCCTTTGGAGAGATGTCTTCGCTGTCCAGGAGGGGGTCCTGGGTGTCCTTTCGGTTATTTTTGGGCAGCCCTGAGGCACTTTGGAGAACGTTCCAGAACACTGAGAGGAAACTCCACCCAGCCCCAATCCAGGGAAGGAGGAACCTGATTCAAATGATCTCTATGCCTCAAAATCTGTTCCTAATCTGGAGGTAACAAGTTATTAATAACCGTATTGGTTATTCATCTCCTCACCACCTTCGTGACTCCCCACCCACCCACGTGTGCATCCCCCTGACCACTGGTCCACTCCGATGCTCCCATGTCTCCCCTCCTGCCCCCACCCACCCACGTGCGTGTCCCCCCAACCACAGGTCCACTCCGATGCTCCCACGTCTTCCCTCCTGCTGGGGCCCTCACCTGCTCCCACCAGTTACTGCCTTAGCCCCTCACTGGCTGGCTCCTTCCAGGAACCCCCTCCAGGCCACTCCCACTGAGCTACACAAGAGGCTTTTAGAAATGCAGGTCCCACAGGCTTGTTTCCCTTAATGGCTTTCAATTACCTTCAAGATAAAACCCAACTTCCTGGGCTGGGCCAGCAAGGCCCACTCCTCTTGCGGACAGGTTGTTGCCTCCTACTCAGTCCTTGAAACCCCCCACCTGTGAGCCCGCTCCCCCTACCTGGAACTCCTTCCTACCCCAAACCTTTTTATCCCCCGGATTCCTACTCATCCTGAATTTTATTTTCAATGTTGATGTCACTGTCATATCTAGTTTTTTTTTTCTTTCTTTTTTTTTTTCCACGCCCTCTGCTCACTGCAACCTCCGCCTCCTGGGTTCAAATGATTCTCCTGCCTCAGCCTGCAGAGTAGCTGGGATTACAGGAGCCCAACATCATGCCCGGCCAATTTTTTGTATTTTTAGTAGAGACGGGGTTTCACCATGTTGGCCAGGCTGGTCTCGAACTCCTGACCTCAGGCGATCCACCCGCCTTGGCCTCCCAAAGTGTTGGGATTACAGGCATGAGCCATCACGCCTGGCCCACTTTCTTATATCTTGGTTTTTAAATGTTAAATAAAAATGTCTCTCGTGTTTGCTGGCTTATAGGAGGAACGCAGGATTCTGCAGCTCAAACGTCGCCGGCTCCGGATGCCTCCTCAACTCCCCCATTCTGGGTGGCCCTCAAGGGTGAGCACCAGGTGGTGTGTATGGGGTTGCTCATGGCTGCCTCTCACACAGGACCCTATGCTCCTTAGAACACATTTTTAAACATTTAATCCTCAGTGCCCAGCACAGTTCCTGAATTATATTAGGTGCTAAATGCACGGGTTAGCAGCAAGTTCTATTTCCGAGCTACAGATTCGACTTTGAATCAAAAAAGACCTTAATTATTCCACACCTCAGTCTCTATCTAAGGCCCCATTTCTGTCTCATGGTGGAATCCCACAGTCAGTTCCAGTTAATCCACCACTTCTGAGACCCCTGCCCCACAATCCACTTTACGCTCGATTTATTCCGTTTTCCTTTTCCTCACTTTTATAGCAGAGTCCAAGTTGGGGGGCCTCTGTGAGGAGTCCAGGCATCCTGGGGGGTGTTCAAGCCTTGCCGGCCTGGGCTCCTTCCTTTGTGTCGGCATCGTCCTGCAGCCTTTGCTGAGACGCATTTGCCACAGGAAGAAAGGGGACAAGCTCTGGGAGCAGGGTCAGGTGGCTTTATTACAGGAAAGGGGCCCCAATCCAGACCCCAAGAGAGGGTTCTTGGATCTCATGCAAGAAAGAATTCAGGGTGAGCCCATAAAATGAAAGCAAGTTTATTAAGAAAGTAAAGGGCCAAGTTCGGTGGCTCATGGTTGTAATCCCAGCACTTTGGGAGGCCGAGGAGGGTGGATTACCTGAGGTCAGGAGTTTGAGACCAGCCTGGTCAACATGGTGAAACCCCGCTGTCTACTAAAAACACAAAAATTAGCCAGACGAGGTGGCAGGCGCCTGTAATCCTAGGTGCTTGTGAGGCTGAGGTGGGAGAATTGCTTGAACTCAGGAGGCGGAGGTTGTAGTGAACTGAGATTGCACCATTGCACTCCAGTTTGGGCGACAGAGTGAGACTCCCGCTCAAAAAAAAAAAAAAAAAAGAAAAGTAAAGGAATAAAAGAATGGCTACTCCATAGACAGAGCAGCCCTGCTGGTTGCCCATTTTTATGGTTATTTCTTGAAGATATACTAAACAAGGAGTGGATTATTCATGCCTCCCCTTTTAGACCATGTAGGGTAACTTCCTGACATTGGCAAGGCATCTGTAAACTGTCACGGCGCTGGTGGCAGTGTAGCAGTGAGGACGATCAGAGGTCACTCTCACGGCCATCTTGGTTTTGGTGGGTTTTAGCCGGCTTCTTTACTGCAACCTGTTTTATCAGCAGGGTTTTTATGATGACCTGTATTTTGTGCTGACCTCCTATCTCATCCTGTGACTTAGAATGCCTCACCATCTGGGAATGCAGCCCAGTAGGTCTCAGCCTCATTTTAGCCAGCTCCTAATCAAGATGGAGTTGCTGTGGTTCAAACGCCTTTGACAGCTTCATTCATATCAAAGAGCCCCTTGTCTTTGCCGATCCTCCACCTCAACATCCTACCTGAAAAAACAGAGCCGTGAGTAGGAGGTGGCAATGAGGCAGGAGAATAGGGCCTGGAGGCAGGGAACCTGGAAACACTTCAGTGATGACAGCAAATATCTTCTTCATTCACAAAGAGTGTACATCGAGTAAATGACTTTGTAACTTTACTTCATCCTCTTCATTTACACAGTAACCAATGGAAACCTCTAGAGGGTATTTAAACCCCAGAAAATTCTGTAACTGGGCCTTAAGGCCGCTGGCTCAGGCCGCTCCCACCCTGTGGAGTGTGCTTTCATTTTTAATAAATCTCTGCTTTTGTTGTTTCATTCTTTCCTTGCATTTTTTGTGGGTTTTGTCCAATTCATTGTTCAAAATGCCAAGAACCTGGTAACAGTGACAGGCAGTCAGGTCCTCAGCTCCATCTCCTGCCTCACAGGTGGGGAGAGCAGGAAGAGCACCTTCTCCCAGCTTTGAATACGCAGAAAGGCCTCCTAGGTTCGGGCTGGTGTGGGAAGGAAAGGCGGGTGGTTTTTGTAGGTGTCTGCTCGTCACACTAAAGTGGGGAGGATGTTTAGGCGGTTGGGGGCAGGGCTTGTGTTGCCCACCAAGGGGTAGAGCAACTGTGTGGGAGGCTGGCAGAATGGCCGAGAGGCTCAGTAAGAAAAGGAACATCTATTTTGCCACTGGGGGTGGGCTGGGACCTGTCTGTCTTCCCAAGATTTCAATAATGTTGGCTACACCCAAGTTGGAGTGCTCGCCTGGGGAAGGAAGGGAGGTTCTTTCTATCCCAGGTTTGAAACATTTCCCACCCCCTTGCCTTTGGGGAGGCTCTGGGGAAGGCCACTGCATATACCCCAAGACTTTGGTCCCGGTGTGACCAGCAGCCAACTGACCAGTGGCCTCCGTGGAGCAGATGGTTCTGGGAAGGGTCACCTTTGAGGAGCGGAGTCACCTGTTAGACCTCAGATATGGAGGAGGCAACCACTTCACCCTCCTTTATGAACACATTAGCATTTTCAATAAGCACCTAGGGTGATTTTTATGTACACCAACAATCTGTAAAAGAGAAATTGGGCAGGTGCCGTGGCTTACGCCTGTAATCCCAGCACTTTGGGAGGCCGAGGCAGGCAGATCACTTGAGTTTAGGAGTTCGAGACCAGCCTGGCCAACATGGTGAAACCCTGTCTCTACTAATACAAAAATTAGCCGGGCATGGTGGTGGGCGCCTGTAATTCCAACTATTCGGGAGGCTGAGGCAGAATAGCTTGAACCTGGGAGGCAGAGGTTGCAGTGGGCTGAGGTTGTGCCACTGCACTCCTGCCTGGGTGACAGAGAGTGAGACTGTGTCAAAAAAAAGAAGAAAAAGAAAAGAAAAATAATTGTCCCCAAACTGGTCTGGGACAAAACTTTTTGTGTGTGATGCAATTAACAACTTCCTTCTGGGAAAAAATAATCAACATTCCTGAGGAAATGCATAAGCCATTTTTCTGATCTACTTTAATGGAATTAAAGCTGATTCTGGGAAACCAGTGCCCCTCCCATCTAGCTGCCTTGAAGAAAGGGGGGCTAGTGGACATGCCTATTTATACGTATAAGGACCTGGAAATAGCTCTTTCTCACCTCCCTCCACAAAGAGTCTATGATACTGTTATATATAAAGTTTCGGTGCCGTAAAAGAAATAGCACTCGAATATAAAATCTTCTTTTTAATTCTCAGCGAGGCAAGTTACTTCTATAGAAGGGTGCGCCCTTACAGATGGAGCAATGGTGAGCGCACACCTGGACAAGGGAGGGGAAGGGGTTCTTATCTCTGATGCACATGGCCCCTGCTGCTGTGTCATTCCCCTATTGGCTAGGGTTAGACCGCACAGGCTAAACTAATTCTGATTGGCTAATTTAAAGAGAATGATGGAGTGAGTGCTTTGGCAGGAGTCAGGGCAGAGCAGGTAGCAGGTAATAGGAATGAGTTAGGGTGGAGCAGGTGATCAGAATGAGTCAGGGTGGAGTAGGTAATTGAAAAAGCTTGCTTTATGAGGAAGTTTAAAAGTAGAAGGCAAATAATTGAACATATTGACATGTTAATTCTTTGAAAAGAAATTTATAACTCATATCTAACAATACAAAAAATATTTGCTGCAATAACAATAAAATACATGGTAGAAGGCCAGCCAGAGTTGAAGCTGAGATAGACCGAAATGGGCATGCGGCCACCTATGTGCTCAGATGGGGCCTGGAAGGGAATGCCACATCCTGAGGGGTGGGGGAGCCTGACACCAGGAGCCTGGCCCTCGGTTTCCATGTCCATATGGATGCCAGTTGCCTTGCCTTCCTTGCAGGTTGTGAAAATCAAATGAGGGAAGGATTTGATGGGAACATCCTTGGAAAAGTAGAAGGCAGCTTGCAAGTCAGGGATTATTACTACTGCCATCTTATTGAGAAATAACCTGCCCCATGCCAAAAAAGCCCAGGATGACTTCTGGGTATACACACAAAAGAACTGAAGCAAGGATACAAAGAGATACCTGTACACCCGTGTTCACAGCAGCACTACTCTCAATAGCTAAAATGTGGAAACTATCCAAGTGTCCATTGATGGATGAACGGATAAGCAAAATGTGGTCTCTCCATAGAATAGAATATTATTCAGCCTTAAAAAGGAACAAACTTTTGACAGATGCTACAACAGGGATGAGCCTTGAGGACATTATGCTAAGTGAAACAAGCCAGTCACAAAAAGACAAATACCTTCTGATTCCACTTATGGGGGTACCTAGAGTAGTCAAAGTCATAGAGACAGAAAGTACAATTGTGGTGCCAGGGGCTGGGGGAGGGGGAGAATGAGGAGTTACTATTTCATGGGTGCAGAGTTTCAGTTTTACGGGATGAAAAGTGTTCTGGAGATGGATGGTGGTGATGGGTGTGAGGCGGGAGAATAGGGTCTGGAGACAGGGAACATAAGGCCGATTCATGCTGATTTCCTAGAATGAAATCAAATGGAAACACTTCAGCTATGACAGGAAATAGGGCGTACACCAAGTAACCAGTGGAATCCTCTAGAGAGTACTTTTTTTTTTTTAATTGAGATGGAGTCTCGCTCTGTTGCCCAGGCTGGAGTGCAGTGGTGCGATCTCTGCTCACTACAAGCTCCGCCTCCTGGGTTCACGCCATTCTCCTGCCTCAGCCTCCCGAGTAGCTGGGACTACAGGCGGCTGCCACCATGCCCGGCTAATTTTTTTTGTATTTTTAGTAGAGACGGGGTTTCACCGTGTTTGCCAGGATGGTCTTGATCTCCTGACCTCATGATACGCCCGCCTCGGCCTCCCAAAGTGCTGGGATTACAGGCGTGAGCCACCGCGCCCAGCTAGAGAGTACTTAAACCCCAGAAAATTCTGTAACGGGGCTCTTGAGCCCCTATGCTTGGGGCGCTCCCACCCTGTGGAGTGTACTTTCATTTTCAATAAATCTCTGCTTTTGTTGCTTTATTCTTTCCTTGCTTTGTTTATGCGTGTTGTCCAATTCTTTGTTCAAGACGCCAAGAACTTGGACACCCTCCGCTGGTCACAGTTACACAACAAGATGAACGTAATTAACACCCACTGAACATTACACTCAAAAATTGTTAAGACGGTACATTTTATGTTCTGTGTATTTTGCCACAATAAAAAAAATAAACTTTTTAAAAAGCAAAGAAAGAAAAACTCAGGATGCATGTTTTATGCAGATCTCCTTAAAACAGGCCTTCATTTCAAGAGCATGTGATTCCCCTATCACCTGCTTCAAGATTCGTGCATCTTGCCCTCTTCATTTTCTGTATTAATTGTGTCTGCTCCTGCTTTGAAGCACTCAATCACATAGGCATCTCCGTCTTCCTGACTTTCCTCCTTGTGGCCTCGCGCCTAGAATCTCCACCATTCAGGCCACCGCTGCATCAATTTCAGCAAAGCCTGAGCCACAAGAGCTACTACTGTTCCCTGTAAGCCCTCTGTAGCCTCTCCTCTGCCTGTCCCCACCCCCAGCACAGGCACCATGTCCGTTTCTCTGCTGATTATGAGATAGTGCATGGCTGTTAGTTCTGCTTGAATAAGCTCTTTTGTCCCCGAGAATTTTCCCATGTCAAACATTTATTCTGCTGTGTTATGGGTCAGTGAACAAGGAGATAAGTCTGAATTCTTAAACAACCTTGTGGACACAAGACATCTGTCTGGAAGGCAATCAAACAACATCTGTCACACTGTCCCCAACTTTCAAATTCCTTTCTTAAAAATTAGACCATTATTTTATGCTTTCAATCCTAAAGAAATATGAAAGTCTCTCATAAATCTCCCCACTCGATCCCCTTTTCCAGCACCTATTAACGTTAGTAATTTGGTGTCTATTGCTTGGATTTTTTTTTCTGCATCTGCTAACATAGATAGTATTATTATTATCATCATCCTTATTATCATGTTACCATAGATACAGTTTTGCAACTTGCTTTTTGACTTAACATATCTTGAACTTTTTTTAGTATTAGGATCTCATTCTTTTTTTTTGTTAGATGGAGTCTCACACTGTTGCCCAGGCTGGAGTGCAGTGGCGTGATCTTGGCTCACTGCAACCTCCGCCTCCCAGGTTCAAGTGACTCTCCTGCCTCAGCCTCCTGAGTAGCTGGGTGTACAGGTGTGCGCCACCACACCCAGCTATTTTTTTGTATTTTTAGTAGAGACGGGGTTTCATTATGCTGGCCAGGCTGGTCTCAAACTCCTGACCTCAGGTTATCCACCTGCCTCGGCCTCCCAAAGTGCTGGGATTACAGGGGTGAGCCATCAAGCCCGGCTTCCTGATGGTGTTTCTCCAGCTGCTTGTAAGATTTTGTGTGAGTGGACCAACCTAGGAGAGGACTGGGGCATGAACTGTTGGTCTGGGAAGGAAGAAGGCATCAGTTGAGTGAATTCCAAGAAAGCTGGATCTGAATGGTGTGGATATCTATGAGCTTGTCTGCCTAGCACCCATCCATCTTTTGGAAACAGCACATCCCATTGGAGAGGCCTTCTTTGGGAGACCTCTCCCCACCTCCAACTCCAACCACAGGGGCCTCGTGGGAGCTGCCTATTCTATTGTTGGCCAGACAAGCCAGGGGTCAGTATTTATAATCTCTGGCTAGTTAGAAGCCTCCTTAGCAATTTTTGAATGGGATGTAAATGAAAAGAGGTCTTGTTCCAAATGAGGGGACTGGAAATATGTGCATCCAGAGTCTGCCACAGGCCATGGATTGTAGAAAAAGACATTTGGAATTAGCTGGGCATGGTGGCGCACACCTGTAATCCCAGCTACTCAGGTGGCTGAGGCAGGAGAATCGCTTGAACCTGGAACAGGGAGGCTGCAGTGAGCCAAGATTGCACCACTGCACTCCAGCCTGGGTAACAGAGGAAGACTCTGTCTCAAAAAGAAAGAAAGAAAGAAAGAAAGAAAAAGACATTTGGAGGGACTGAAGCTAACTTCTAAACAGAAGCTGAGACAAAAAGCGAAGAAAATTCCAGAGCCCAGGTGGTGACTGAGGCCCTAATTCTTGCCATCTCCAAGGCCAAGGATTTCTGGTTCCTTTCTATACTCTTGACATAGGTCAAAAAATTAGCTTTATCTATTTTTGACTTTCATATAATGGAATCATACAATTTCTACTTATTTCTCCTAGCTTCTTCCACTCAATAGTAGATGAATGAGATTTTATCCAAGTTGTCACACATAGTAGGAGTCTTTCATTGTTTTTTTGAGACGGAGTCTTGCTCTGTCGACCAGGCTAGAGTGCAGTGGTGCAATCTTCGCTCACTGAAGCCCCTGCCTCCTGGGTCCCAGCGATTCTCCTGACTCAGCCTCCTAAGCAGCTGGGATTACAGGCACCCGCCATCGCGCCCAGCTATTTTTTTTTTCTTTTTGTATTTTTGGTAGAGACGGGGTTTCACCATCTTGGCCAGGCTGGTCTTGAACTCCTGACCTCGTGATCCACTCGCCTTGGCCTCCCAAAGTGCTGGGATTATAGGTGTGAGCCACCGTGCCCAGCCAAGTCTTTCATTTTAATTGCTTCATAGTATTCCAATTATCTTGGGTAGAATTTTGGGGGCCACATGGTAACTCCGTGAACCTTTTGAAGAACCGCCAAACTGTTTTCCAAAGTAGCTGCACCAGTTTAAGCTCCTACCATCAAAATACGAAGGTTTCAATTTCTCCACAACCACACCAATACGCGTTATTGTCTGTCTTTGATTATAGTTATGCTAGTGGGTGTGGTTTTGATTTGCATTTCCCTAATGACTAATGATGTTGAACATCTTCTCGTGTGCTCGTTGGCCGTTTGTATGTCTTCTTTGGAGAAATGTCTATTCAAGTCCTTTGTCCATTTTAAAACTGGGTTACTTGTTTCTTTTATTGAGTTGTAGTAGTTCTTTAAATATTCTGGATGCTAGACCCCCCTCCCTCTTTTTTTTTCTTTGAAAGAGTCTCACTCTGTCACCCAGGCTGGAGTGCAGTGTCCCGATCTCAGCTCACTGCCACCTCCACTTCTTGGGTTCAAGCGATTCTTGTGCCCCAGCCTCTCGAGTAGGTGGGACAACAGGCACATGGCACGATGCCTGGCTAATTTTTTGTATTTTAGTAGAGAGGAGGTTTCACTGTGTTGGCCAGGCTTGTCTTGAACTCCCAACTTCAGGATGTTACAGGAAAGGGGTCAGGATTCAGACCCCAAGAGAGAGTTCTTGGATCTTGTGCAAGAAAGAATTCAGGGTGAGTCCATAAAGTAAAGGGAAAGCAAGTTTATTAGGAAAGTAAAGGAATAAAAGTATGGCTACTCCATAGACAGAGCAGCCCCGAGGGCTGCTGGTTGCTTATTTTTTATGGTTATTTCTTGATTATATGCTAAACAATGGGTGGGTTATTCATGCTTCCCCTTTTAGACCATATAGGGTAACTTCCTGACGTTGCCATGGCATCTGTAAACTGTCATGGCGCTGGTGGGAGTGTAGCAGTGAGGACCACCAGAGGTCACTCTCTTGGTCATCTTGGTTTGGGTGGGTTTTAGCTGGCTTCTTTACTGCAACCTGTTTAATCAGCAAGGTCTTTATGACCTGTATTTTGTGCTGACCTCCTGTCTCATCCAGTGACTTAGAAGGCTTAACCATCTGGGGATGCAGCCCAGTAGATTTCGGCCTTATTTTACCCGGCTCCTAATCAAGACGGAGTTGCTCTGGTTCAAACGCCTCAGACAAAGTGATCCACTCACCTTGGCCTCCGAAAGTGCTGGGATTGTCACTGCCCCGACACTTCAATACTATCTTGTTTTTTTTTTCTTATTAATATAAGAAGACAGGAATGTCAGGCCTCTGAGCCTAAGCTAAGCCATCATATCCCCAGTGACCTGCATGTACACATCCAGATGGCCTGAAGCAACTGAAGAATCACAAAAGAAGTGAAAATGGCTGGTTCCTGCCTTAACTGATGACATTGCACCATTGTGATTTGTTCCTGCCCCACCTTAACTGATCAATAAACCTTGTGAAATTCCTTAGAAGCTCCCCCACTGAGCATCTTGTGACCCCCGCCCCTGCCCGCAAGAGAAAAACCCCATTTGACTGTAATTTTCCACTACCCACCCAAATCCTATAAAACTGTCCCACCCTTATCTCCCTTTGCTTACTCTTTTTGGACTCAGCCGCCCTGGACCCAGGTGATTAAAAAGCTTTATTGCTCACACAAAGCCTGTTTGGTGGTCTCTTTACACGAACGCGCGTGACAGGGATTACAGGTATGACCCACTGCACCCAGCCTAGGCTAGACCCTTAATCACACGTGGCTTGCAGATATTTTCTCCCATTCTGGGGCCAATTTGTGTTTCTAAAAGATCTCTCTGGCTGCTAGTTGGACAGTAGATTGTGCGGAGGAAGCAGAGCTAGAAGCCGGGTGAACAGAGAGGAGTGAATGCAGTCATCTAGAGGAGAGATCACGGTGGTCAGAATAAATTTCAACCCTCTAAGGCATGAGGCACACCCTTGGGTCTGCTCTAACATCTGGGTCTGCTTCTGGCCCTGGCACTGCCTTTGACCCTGGCTTCTCCAAACCCCTAGACTCTGATGTGTTTTCCTTCCATAGTTTTGCTCACCCAAGCCTGATTTCAGTTTATGTCTGTGTCCCCATTTTCCCTTCAATTTCCTTATATATTAATTTTTTTTACAGGGTCTCGTTCTGTTACCCAAGCTGGAGTGCAGTGGCACGATCATAGCTCATTGCAGCCCCGAACTCCTGAGCTCAAGCGATCCTCCCACCTCAGCCTCCAGATAGCTGGGGCTACAGGTGTGTGCTACCATGCCTGGCTAATTTTTTTCAAAATGTTTTTGTAGAGAAGGGGTTTGTGTTTCTCAGGCTTCTTCTATATTAATTTTATCTTTCCAAATTAGGTAGTTTTGTGCATCACCTCACATCCCTTTTGTAATGAGGAATGAGAATAAAGCATGAGAAAATATAGGGGGGTAGATAGGGAACTGGAGGATGGACTTCTGGCCTCCATGGACTCACAGAAGCTGAGCCACCGCTCCTTCTCCTCGTGCCTGCCCTTCTCCCAGCTAGTCTGGCTCTAACTTAAAGTTCCATTTCCCAGATTTCCATTTGCCCATGATGCACTGGGAGCCTGGTAAGTGACTGAGGAGTGGAGAGAGGCAATAGAAAGCTTTGGGGGAAAGCCCACAGATCCTTGAAAACACAGACACTCCATGTTTTCTAGTCTGGAACATCACTTTCAGAATCTGCCTGTCACTGAGCTTTCTTAGGCATGAACCGAAGCAGGAACGTCCCACCCTTTATTCTGTGAGTTAAGACTCGGCTGCAAAAGTTGCTGGATACAAAGTCTATATATAAGAATCAATGGGATTTTTACAAACTAGAAACAAACCAGTAGAAATAATTTTTCTCGGCCGGGCGCAGTGGCTCACATGCATAATCCCAGAACTTTGGGAGGCTGAGGTGGGCGGATCACCTGATGTAGGAAGTTCGAGACCAGCCCGGCCAACATGGCGAAACTCCGTCTCTACTAAAAATACAAAAATAAGCCGGGCGTGGTGGCGCATGCCTGTAATCCCAGCTACTTGGGAGGCTGAGGCAGGAGAATCCCTTGAACCCAGGAGTTGGAGGTTGCAGTGAGCCGAGATCGTGCCACTGCACTCCAGCCTGGACAACAGAACAAGACTCCGTCTCAAAAAAAAAAAAAATTTCCCCTTTTTTTTTTTTTGAGAGAGTCTCGCCCTGTCAGCCAGGCTGGAGTGCAGTGGTACGATCTCATCTCACTGCTACCCTCTCCTCCTGGGTTCAAGTGATTCTCATGCCTGTGCCTCAGCCTCCTGAGTAGCTGGGATTACAGACACCTACAATCACACCTGGCTAATTTTCATATTTTTAGTAGAGATGGGGTTTTACCATGTTAGCCAGGCTGGTCTCGAATTCCTGATCCCAAGTGATCTGCCTGCCTCGGCCTCCCAAAGTGCTGGGATTACAGGAGTGAGCCACTGCACCTGGCCAGTCTTTCTTTCAAATTTTAGAGACAGGGTCTTGCTGTATCGCCCAGGCTGGAGTACAATAGCTCTTTACAGGCACAGTCATAGAACACTGCAGTCTTGAACTCTTGGCTTCAAGCAATCTTCCTGCCTCAGCCTCTTGAATAGCTCAGATTACAGGTGTGCACCATTGTGCCAGCCAGAAATGATTTTTTTTTTTTTTTTGGAGTCGTGCAATCGTGGCTCATTACAGCCTCAACTTCTGGGGCTCAAGTGATCCTCCCACCTCAGCCTCCTGAGTAGCTGGGATTATAGGCGTGTGCCACCATACCTGGCTAATTTTTAAGATTTTTTTGTAGAGACAAGGTCTCTGTGTTGCCCAGGCTGGTTTTGAACTCCTAGGCTCAAGAAATCTGCCCGCCTCCCAAAGTGCTGGGATTATAGGTGTGAGCCACCATGCATGCTCCAGAAATAAAAAATTTTAAGGAAGTATTATGTAGAACAACCAGGGCTGGGACTGGAATGAGGCAAGAGAGGTATCTAAGACACAAAATTGTGAGGAGGCATTCACTCTCCTCTTCTCTTGCCTCACCCTACTCCTGCACTTGAGAAACTATCAGAAAGGGTAGGGCGCAAGGGCACCATGGCTCATGCCTGTAATCCCGCCACTTTGGGAGGCCGAGGTGGGCAGATCACTTGAGGCTAGGAGTTAGAGACCAGCCTGGCCACGATGGTGAAACTCTGTCTCTGCTAAAAATACAAAAATTAGCTGGGTGTGGTGGTGAGCTCCTGTGGTCCCAGCTACTCGGGAGCCTGAGGTGGGAGGATCACCTGAGCCCAGGGAGGTCAAGGCTGCAGTGAGCCAGGATGGTGTCACTGCACTCTGGCCTTGGTGACAGAGTGAGACCCTGTCTCAAAAAAGAAAAAAAAAAAGAAAAAAGACTGAATTTTACTGTAGGTAGATTACACTTTAATTTTTAAAAAAGGAAAAAACAAAGTAAGGCCCTTGGGCTATTGGAAACTAGCTACCCTGACGTAGATCAGCCAAAGTACCCCAGCTCTATAAGCTCACTTCATGTGAGCTCGAGCCCTGTATGCACTTTGCCCCACTCTTAAAGGCACCATGGGAGGAAACGGAAAGTTCAAGAGGCAGGAAGAAGTCAGAAGAGCCATGTGATGAGTATCTAACTGTATTTAGCTTCAGTTTCAAGATGTGGTGAACATGCAGAAGAGAATGAAAAACTCCCACTGCCTCTTGTCCCCAGGTTTTAGGCAGGAAACTTGATTATGAGTAAAATAATTGAGTGATTGGTTTATTGGATAGACAAGTGACAGGAAACATCCCACCCCCGCTCCCGTGTCCCCTGCCCTCCTGCCCACTCAAACCTGCTGTTTGACATCATCTTGTCTATTTCTGCTGTCTTGGTTTGGGTGTCCCTGGAAACAGACCCTGAGACGTGAACTGGGTATAAATAGTGAGGAAGTAAGATAGGAAAGGGAATGGGCCATTAAAGAGTGAGTTTTCAGACCAGAGGTCACAGCATTATCCCGACTGAGGGGCAGGAAGCTGTGGTACTTACCCAATGACTTCCTGTCCCTCCTTGGTTGAAGACTACTTCCAGGCACTTGACCACTCCAGCACTTCCTGTTTGCCTTGCTCAAGCGTTGAGCACCCTCCCTGGCCAGATAAAAGCTGTTGGGCAGAGGCTCGGGTATTGGCAATACAAGGCCTTCCTGCGTAGGTTGAATGCCCGGGATGTGGGCACAACAGTGCTCACTAGACCTGGTTAAAATCTGGGGATGGCCCACAGTTTTTCCAGGACCTTTTAGTTATAAGAACAGACTCCTTTTAATAATTAAAAAAAGTCTTATCTCTTCTAATATTCAATATTTTATCCTACTAACGCCCTCTACCCTGCTTCAGCTGGGGCCTGTCTTAGTCCAGGAACTGTGGGGAGTGGTCTGATCGCTTTTCTGACTCTCAACCTCTGGTCTCCTTCGCCACCTGTTCTTTTGGTCTCTGCAGGACTAGAGTGGGCAGGGGAAGAGAGGTGAGGGGCAGGAAGGGCTTTGGTTGACCTGCTCTGTTGTAATTTTAAGTGGGAACTCCAGGGAACTGGATGACACCTCCTGCTGCCCAATTGATCACCAATGCAGGGTCCCTGCTTTCTGGTTCATTCCCCTGCTTTACTTGCAGCAAGTTCTCCTGGGCAGAGTCTCTCTCAAGGAGACCTGGCCCAGCTCCTTTCAGCGAGCCCATCTCTGGCCTCTGGGAGATGCACATCCATCCTTGTCCCACCAGGCTCTGGAAGTGCAGGCCCTTTCCACCACCGTCATGTCTCTTCCTGTATTTGCCAAGCAGGGTGAGTTCCAGCCATGGCCTCCAGGCTATAGATTCTTTGGGTGTGGCTTCAGTCCCGAGTCCTTCGTGTCTATCTCTCCAAGGGATTCCTTATTTTTTAATTTTTAAATTTATTTTTATTTTTTGAGATGGAGTCTCGCTCTGTAGCCCAGGCTGGAGTGCAATGGCGTGATCTTGGCTCACTGCAACCTCTACCTCCCGGGTTCAAGTGATTCTCCTGCCTCAGCCTTCCAAGTAGCTGGGATTACAGGCGTGTGCCACCATGCACAGCTGATTTTGTATTTTTAGTAGAGATGGGGTTGCATCATGTTGGTTAGGCTGGTCTCGAACTCCTGACCTCAGGTGATCCACTCGCCTCAGCCTCCTAAAGTGCTGGGATTACAGGCACGAGCCCCTGCAGCCAGCCTCCAGTGGATTCTTTTAAAGCCCCTCACTTGGCTTGAGATGGTACAATCTGCCCTGTGTTGCCAGCTTGTCAGCTGGGAAGCTTTGGGCTGCAAGAATGCCAGATCTCAGTTAAACTGGTTTAACTATAAAGCCTTTGACTGTAAGACATTCAATGTTTCAGGGCAGACTGATCTTGCGGTTTTAAGACATCTCCCATGACCCAGGACCTTTGAGTCTCTCTGCTCTGTTGCCCACCCTGTTGGCTGCATCTGAAGATGGCTGTTGCCAGATGTAATCCAAGCCTTATGCTTTCTGGTTCATGTCTAGTGGCTCACATCCTTCTCGAGGAGCCCTCTGTCCCACTATTCTAAGAGAGAGTGCTGAGAGCCACTCCGATCGGCCCAGTTAAAGATGTGTCCACCTCCAAACCAACGACTTATGGAGGATAAAATAAAAAATGCTGATTGGCTAAGCCATCTCAATGGTTTCCTGTATGCAGAAGGGGTAAACGTACAAACGAAAATTTGGGTATTGTTAGGAAGAGGGGAATGGATGCTGAGTAGACAACTGCATTAGTTTCCTGGGGCTGCCGTAACAAAGTACAGTCATGCATCGCCTAACAACGGATACGTTCTGAGAAATGCATCATGAGATTTCATCATTGTGTGAACATCATAGGTTGTATTTACACTAATCTAGATGGTGTAGCCTACTGCTGGTACCTAGCACACCTAGGCTACATGGTGTAGCCTACTGCTCCCACGCTATGAACCTGGACAGCATGTTACTGTATTGAATACTGCAGGCAATTGTAGCACAATGGTATTTTGTATATCTGTTTTCTTTTGTTTCTTTCTTTTTTTTTTTTTTAGACGGAGTCTCGCTCTGTTGCCCATGCTGTAGGGCAGTGGCGCTACCTCGGCTCACTGCAACCTCCGCCTCCCAGGTTCAAGAGATTCTCCTGCCTCAGTCTCCCGAGTAGCTGGGACTATAGGCATGCACCACCACGCCCAGCTAATTTTTGTGTTTTTAGTAGAGATAGGGTGTCACTGTGTTGGCCAGGATGGTCGTGATCTCTTGACCTCATGATCTGCCCACCTTGGCCTCCCAAAGTGCTGGGATTACAGGGGTGAGCCACCACGCCCGGCCCAATTTTTATTTTTATAGCCTATTTTTACTGTAATTTTCTATGTTTAGATATACAAAATACCACCGGGTGTGGTGGCTCACACCTGTAATCCCAGCACTTTGGGAGGCTGAGGTGGGCGGATCACGAGGGCAGGAGATCCAGACCATCCTGGCTAACATGGTGAAACCCCGTCTCTACTAAAAATACAAAAAATTAGCCGGGCTTGGCAGCAGGCGACTGTAGTCCCAGCTACTTGGGAAGCTGAGGCAGGAGAATCACTTGAACCCGGGAGGCAGAGGTTGCAGTGAGCCAAGATCACATCACTGTACTCCAGCCTGGGGACAGAGTGAGACTCCATCTCAAAATAAATACATAAATAAATAAATAAATAATAAAAATAAAATTTCGTACACCTCTATAGGGCACGTGCCATGAGTGGAGCTTCCAGGACTGGAAGTTGCTCTGGGTGAGTCGGTGAGTGACTGATAAATGAATGTGAAGGCCTAGGACATTACTGTGCACTGCTGTAGACCTTATAAACACTGTACATTCGGCTACAGTAAACTTATAAAAAATAAAGTAATTGCACAACAATGTACAATGGTTATGATATCATTAGACAATAAAAATTTTTTCAGCTTCATTATAATCTTATGGGACAAGCATTGTGTATATGATTCATTGTTAACCTAAACATTGTTACTCGGCACCAGACTGTACCCAAAACTGGGTGGCTTAAAATAATAGAGATTTATTGTTTCACAGTCCTGGAAGCTAGAAATCTGAGCTAAAGACGTCAGCAGGTGGTGCTCCCTGGGGGAGAACGCTTCCTTGTTTCTCACAGCTTCTGGTGTTGCTAGCAACCCTTGGGGGTTTTTTTTGTTTGTTTTTTTTTTGAGATCGAGTCTCCCTCTGTCACCCAGGCTAGAGTGCAATGGCGCGCTCTCAGCTCACTGCAACCTCTGCCTCCTGGGTTCAAGGGATTCTCCTGCCTCAGCCTCCTGAGTAGCTGGGACTACAGGCATGTGCCACCATGCCCAGCTAATTTTTGTATTTTTAGTAGAGACGGGATTTCACTATGTTGGCCAGGCTGGTCTTGAACTCCTGACTTCAAGTGATCCATCCGCCTTGGCCTCCGAAAGTGCTGGGATTACAGGTGTGAGCCACCACTCCCGGCCGGCAACCCTTGGCATTTCTTGTCTTGCAGCTGTACTGCTCCAGTCTCATGCCATCTTCTCCCCGTGTGTCTTCACATTATTTTCGCTCTGCATATGTCTGTGCTCACAGAGTTTTCCCTTATAGGACATCAGCCATATTGGATTAGAGGCCCGCCCTACTCAAGTATGACCTTGCCTTAACTAATCTGCAGTGACCCTATTTCCAAAACGGTTATGTTCTGAGGTAGTGGAAGTTAGGGCTTCAATATATCTTTTTTTGGGGACACAATTGAACTCATGACAACAACAAACATCTACTTAAAACTATTCTCACAGCCAGGCACTGTGGCTCATGCCTTTAATCCCAGCACTTTGGGAGGCTAAGGCAGGAGGATGGTTTGAGGCCTGGAGTTCAAGATCAGCCTGGGCAACAACATAGTAAGGTCTTGACTCGCCAAAAAAAAAAAAGCTTATGCCTGTAATCCCAGCACTTTGGGAGGCTGAGGCGGGTGGATTGCGAGGTCTGGAGTTCGAGATCAGCCTGGCCAACAAGGTGAAACCTGTCTCTACTACTACTAAAAATACAAAAAATTAGCCAGGCATGGTGGTGCGTGCCTGTAATCCCAGGTACTTGTGGGGCTGAGGCAGGGGAATCGCTTTAACTCAGGAGGCGGAGGTTGCAATGAGTGAAGATTGCACCATTGCACTCCAGCCTGGGCGACAGAACAAGACCCCGTCTCAAAAAAAAAAAAAAAAAAAAAAATTAGCCAGGTGTGGTGGTGTATGCCTGTAGTCCCAGCTATTTGGGGAGGCTGAGGAGGGAGGACTGCCTGAACCTAGAAGTTCAAGGTTACAGTGGGCCATGATTACACTATTGCACACTAGCTTGGGCAACAGAGTGAGACGCTGTCTCAAAAAAACAAAAAAGCAATTCTGGATTTAATGTGATGAATAAATTACATGATTAAATTAAACAATATTGTGACTGGGCGTGGTGGCTCCTGCCTATAATCCCAGCACTTTGGGAGGCTGAGGCGGGTGGATCACCTGAGATCGGGAGTTTGAGACCAGCCTGACCAACATGGAGAAACCCCATCTCTACTAAAAATACAAAATTAGCTGGGTGTGGTGGTGCATGCCTGTAATCCCATCTACTCAGTGGGCTGAGGCAGGAGAATTGCTTGAACCCGTGAAGCAGAGGTTGCGGTGAGCTGAGATTGCACCATTGCACTCCAGCCTGGGCAACAAGAGCGAAACTCCATCTCAAAAAACAAACAAACAAACAAACAAACAAAAAAACCCCAAAAACCCAAAACCAAAAACCACAAAACAATATTGTGCAAAATAAGCTATGTGAATCGTTTCTTTTTTTTTTGGAGACAGGGTCTTGCTCTGTCACCCAGGCTGGAGTGCAGTGGCATAATCATGGCTCGCTGCAGCCTTGAACTTCTAAGCTCCAGCAATCCTGCATCCTCCCGCCTCACCCTCTCAAGTAGTTGGGACTACAGGCATGTACCACCACACCTGGCTAACTTTTAAATTTGTTTTGTAGAGAAAAGGCCTCACTATGTTGCCCAGGCTGATCTCAAATTCCCGGGCTCAAGTGATCCTCCCACCTGGGCCTCCCAAAATGCTGAGATAATGAGTGTGAGCCACCATGCCTGACCAATCTTGTCTATTTCTTATCAGCAGTTTTACTTAAAAGAAATATTGACCATTTCTGAAGTTATTAAAAAATATATGTTATCTATTCCGAAGAGAAATTTCAAAGAGGAGTATCAAAAATATTTTTACTGGTCAGGCATGGTGGCACACGTCTGTAATCCCTACTCAGCTACTCAGCTACTCAGGAGGCTGAGGCACGAGAATCGCTTGAATCTGGGAGGTGGAGGTTTCAGTGAGCCGAGATCACACCTCTGCACTCCAGCCTGGGTGACTGAGCAAGACTCCATCTCAAAAAGCAAAACAAAACATACTTTTTATTATTGCAGCATCATTAGAATACAGGCAAAGCCTCCAAAGGGTAGCATGGTGGGCACTCATTTGGATGAATACCTTCTGGTGAGTTCGGGAATAGTCACTCATTCTCCTCCAAGAGGACCTAGAAAAAAAATCAGGAAAAAAATCTCAGTAGAGTGGTTTCAACTGCTTCTTCCCTCCTGTCTCCTAATGGATACTCTGCGTGTATTTCTCTCTTATATTATTCTTTCCTTCCCTCCCCTCCCCTCCCCTTCCCTCCCTCTCCTTTTTTTGGGACAGGGTCTCCCTGTCATCACCTAGGCAGGAGTGCAGTGGTGCGATCACAGCTCATTGCAGTCTTGACCTCCAGGGCTCAAGCAATTCTTCCGTCTCATGTTTTTGTTTGTTTGTTTGTTTGTTTCGAGATGGAGTTTCGCTCTTGTTGCCCAGAGTGCAATGGCGAGATCTCAGCTCACTGCAACCTCTGCCTCTCGGGTTCAGGTGATTCTCCTGCCTTGGCCTTTGAAGTAGCTGGGATTACAGGTGCCTGACACCACGCCTGGCTAATCTTTGTATTTTTAGTAGAGACGAGGTTTCACCATGTTGGCCAGGCTGGTCTCAAACTCCTGACCTCAAGTGATCCACCCAGCTTGCCCTCCCAAAGTGCTGGGATTACGGGTGTGAGCCACCGCACCTGGCCTTCCCGTCTCATTTTTTGACATAGAGACAAGGACTCACTATGTTGCCCAGGCTTGTCTTGAACTCCTGGGCTCAAGCAATCTTCCCACCTTGGCCTCCCAATGTGTTGGGATTATGGGCTTGAGACACTGCACCCAGCCTACATTATTTCTTTCTATCTGTCTATCCATCCATCTACTTGCCATCATTTATCTATTTGTCTATCATCATCTGTATTTCTATCCAATGTATTATTTTTTATTACATAATCACATTTTAAAATTACATAAACAAATCATGTTTCCTGTAGATCCAGTGGTTGTGGGGGGTGTGATTTTTGCACCCCAGAAGCAACATGTAACAGTCTGGAAAGATGCTATTTGTCATAGGTGGGGGTGCTACTGGCATCTAGTAGGGAGAGGCCAGAGGTGTTGCAAAACGTCCTACAAGATACAGGACAGTCCCCGGGACAAAAAAGTATTTGGTCCTAAATGCCAGTAGTGCTGAGGCTGAGAAACCCTGCTATAGAACAGTACAAAGTTCAAAGAAGCAGATGGAAAAATAATGACAGCTGGGGATTTCCACAGTGAACATTTTGGCTAAATTCTTTCAATTTTCGATGCACAAAAATATATATGGAAATAATTACAGATGTATAAAGAAAGAAATGTGATTATCATATACATGCTGCTTTGAAACCCAACTTTTTTCAGGTAATAATATTGTTCCAAGTCAGTAATTTTATATCTGTTACATCATTTTTCTCATTAAAAAACTAGCTTTTTAAAGATAAAAATATAGCATTCATGTGGTTAAAAATAAGAATTGCCAAAGTTCAAAAGAGCAAATGCGTTTTCACCGTGGTTATGTGTATTTTAGTACGTGTAAACTCTTAAACCACAAATTTGACTATGCAATGGCACTGCTGTGTATTTTGCTTTCATTATTTAATAATACATTAAATATATTAAATAATGTACTCATATGTAATTATGCTTACTTTTGCACCAGCCTAATATATTAAGTAATAAATTACATTAGGACAATTTCCATACCCACACATAGAGACCCACCCATTCTTTTTTTTTTTTGAGATGGAGTTTTGCTCTTGTTGCCCAGGCTGGAGTACAACGGTATGATCTCGGCTCACCGCACTCTCCACCTCCTGGGTTCAAGCGATTCTCCTGCCTCAATCTCCTGAGTAGGTGGGATTACAGGCCCGTGCCACCATGCCTGGCTAATTTTATATTTTTAGTAGAAATGGGGTTTCACCATGTTGGTCAGGCTGGTCTTGAACTCCTGACCTCAAGTGATCCACCTGCCTTGGCCTCCCAAAGTGCTGGTATTACAGGTGTGAGCCACTGCGCCCATCCCATCCTATTCTTTATAATGCTGCATAGCATCACTTATTATCCTATTGATAGGCAGTTGGCTCTTCCTATTTTTGCTATCACAATCACTGATGTGTGGTCATTTGTATACAACCTCTCTGCAGTCTCATGTGAGCACACCCTGAAGAACTGGAACTGGTGAATCAAAGGATACGTTCTTACATTTTCATAGCTATTGCAAAGGTGCTGTCTAAAGAGTTTGCCTTGTTTATGTCTCCCACTGCCTCTTTCCCCACAGCCTCACCAATCAAATATTTAAATGTTGCTAACCTGATTTAATAAAAATGGTATCTAGTTGTTTTCATTTGCATTTCTTTAAAAAAACTGATACATAAACATTGTACATGTTTATGGAGTACATATGATATTTTGTCTTATTTTTATTATTTTTTATCTTTGAGAAGGAGTTTCACTCTTGTCGCCCAGGTTGGAGTGCAATGGCATGATCTTGGCTCACTGTAACCTCTGCCTCCTAGGTTCAAGTGATTCTCCTGCCTCAGCCTCCTGAGTAGCTGGGATTACAGGCACCCGCCGCCACACCCGGCTAATTTTTGTATTTTTAGTAGAGATGGTGTTTCAACATGTTGACCAGGCTGGTCTTGAACCCCTGATCTCAGGTGATCCACCCGCCTCGGCCTCCCAAAGTGCTGGGATTATAGGAGTGAGCCACTGCACTTGGCCTGTTTTGTTTTTAAAAGTTTTAAAATGGCTGGGTGCGGTGGCTCACTCATGCTGTAATCTCAGCACTCTGGGAGTCCGATGTAGGTGGATTACCTGAGGTCAGGAGTTTGAGATCAGCCTGACCAAAATGGTGAAACCCATCACTACTCAAAATAGAAAAAATTAGCTGGGTGTGGTGGCGGGCACATGTAATCCCAGCTACTCGGGAGGCTGAGGCAGGAGAATCCCTTGAACCCGGGAGGCAGACATTGCAGTCAGTGAGCCTAGATTGTGCCATTGCACTCCAGCCTGGGCAACAAGAGCAAAACTCTATCTCAAAAAAAAAAAAAAAAGTTTTAAAACTTACCATGTTGCTCAGGCTGGATTCAAACTCCTAGCCTCAAGTGACTTCTCAGCCCTCAGAGCAGCTGGGAATACAGGTGCACCACTGTGCCTGGCTTACCATGCTTACAAGCATTACACATGCATACAATGTGTAATGATCTAATGATGGTACTTAGCATATCAACCACCTCAAACACTTACCATTTCTTTGTGTTGGGAACATTCCAAATCTCTTCTAAGCTATTTTTTTTTTTTTTTTTGAGACAGAGTCTTGCTCTATCACCCAGGCTGGAGGGCAGTGGCGCCATCTCGGCTCACTCCAACCTCCGCCTCCCAGGTTCAAGCAATTCTCCTGATTTAGCCTCACGAGTAGCTGGGATTACATGTGCCCGCCACCATCCCCCAGCTAATTTTTGTATATTTTGTAGAGACAGGGTTTTACCATGTTGGCCAGGCTAGTCTCAAACTCCTGGCCTCAGGTGATCTGCCTCAGTGATCCACCTGCTTCAGCCTCCCAAAGTGCTGGGATTACAGTCATGAGCCACCATACCCAGCCTGCTATCTTGAAATATACAATAAATTATTAACTATAGTCGCCTGTATTCCTTTAATTACTAAAGTTATGTATTTTTTTCATGCTTAATGGCTGTTTTTATTGTTTCCTATCAAGTATTCATTCCTTTACCCATTTTTTTTCCACTTGGGTTATCTCTTATATGTTGATTATTAAGACTTTATTGGATTTAAGTAAAGTAGCCATACATCTGTAAATACTTTCTCCTGGTTTGTCCTTTTCTTGAAGAAGTCTAAAGTTTTTATTTAGACAAAAATGAAACAAAATTTTCCTTTTATGGTGTCTGAATATATCGTGCTACAAAGGCCTTCTCTATGCCAAGAGTATAACTAAATTCATATGTTTTCCTCTTTTATGACTTAAGTTTTGCATTACATTAAAAAAATCTATCTTAAATTTATCCTGGAGGTAAGAACAATATCCCTGAGACCATTTATTGAGTCATGTATCCTACCCTACTAATTTAAAATGATACCTTCCTCTTATTCTTTATCCCATATGCACTTGGTGGCTATTTCTGGGCTTTCTGTTTTATTTCATAGATTGGTCTATTTTTGCTCTGATGACAAACTTTTAATTACTTGTGCTTTATAATGTGCTTTTATATATAGCAAGTCTAATCCTCTCATTTTTCTTCCTTTTCAAAAATTTTCTGAATAATTTAAATATTTGTTTAAAAATAATTATATAGGCTGGGTGTAGTGGCTCACACTTGTAATCTCAGCACTTTGGGAGGCCTAGGTGGGAAGATTGCTTGGGGCCAGGGGTTCAAGACCAGCCTGGGCAACATAGTAAGACCCTGTCTCTACCAAAAATTAAAAAATTAGCTGGCTGTGCCTGGTGGTTCACGTCTGTAATCCCAGAACTTTAGGAGGCCGAGGTGGGTGGATCACCTGAGGTCAGGAGCTCAAGACCAGCCTGGCCAACAGGGTGAAACCCCATCCCTACTAAAAATACAAAAAAATCAGCTGGGCGTGGTGGCGTGTGCCTGTAATCCCAGCTACTCGGGAGCCTGAGGCAGGAGAATCGCTTGAACCTGGGAGGTGGAGGTTTCAGTGAGCTGAGATCACACCACTGTACTTCAGCCTGGGCGACAGAGCAAGACTTAGTCTTAAAAAAAAAAAAATTAGCTGGGTGTGGTGTCATGTGCCTGTAGTCCCTGCTACTTGAAAGGCTGAGGTGAGAGGATTGCTTGAGCTCAGGAGGTCAAGGCTGCAGTGAGCCATGATTGTGCCACTGCGCTCAATGTGGGCAGCAGAGTGAGACTCTGTCTCAAATAATAATAATAACAACAATAATAAAATAACAATGTAATACATCAAATATATAAAAATGTATAGAGAAAAATATAATGAACAGCCACTTAAAAAAATAAACATTAATGGCTGGGTGCGGTGGCTCACGCCTGTAATCCCAGCACTTCGGGAGGCTGAGGTGGGTGGATCACCTGAGGCCAGGAGTTCGAGACCAGCCTGACCAATATGGTGAAATCCCGTCTCTACTAAAAATACAAAAATTAGCTGGATATCATGGCGTGTGCCTGTAGTCCCAGCTACTTGGGAAGCTGAGACAGGAGAATTGCTCGAGCCCAGGAGGCGGAGGTTACAGTGAGCCGAGGTCGTGCCATTGCACTTCAGCCTGGGCGACAGAGCAAGACTCCATCTCAAAAAAAAAAAAAGAATTACTAATACAACTGAGGCTTCCTAGACCACATCTCCTGCCGCTTCTTTCAGTGGCAACAATATTTCTGAATCTAGTGTTTAGCATTCTCATTGATTTGTTTATACTTTTAACTACTCTCTGTATTTATCCTTAAGACTATTAAATATATGCAGTACTTTCACTCTGTCAGGGTGGAATGGCTGTAGACACAGTCAAATTTTCAAATCTTTGGTGATATCCAGAGCCTCCAGCCATCAGAGGCGGGATAGGCCCTCCCCCTGGCTTGGACCTTGGGCAGTTCCCCACCAGAGGCTGTGGAGGTCTCCAACATCCGGCAACATCCTTCCCAAGTGCCTGGCTCAACCCTTCTGTGCCTGGGAGTTTTCTCAGATGCCATGGGGGCTTGCAGGACTGCAAGCTGGAGAAAGAGAAACTCCCAACAGTTATGGCCCCCGGAACAACCACCAACCAGGGAAGGATGGGAGAGAGCACAAAGAGGCTCAGCAGCCTGCACCCCCCGCCCCCCACCGCCACAGGTGGGTTCTAGATGCTTACCCAGAGGGTTCCCGGTGGGAGGAACCCCACGTGTCCACCCCCTCACAAATGGGCCGTCTGATGGCTTTTCTCCTACTCCCATCATATGTGGGTCCTGAATTTGTCTTTCACATAAGTGCCTGGCTCCCAAGCCCTTGCTCAGGCCTGTCTGGGGAGCGGGGAAACTGAACTAGGCCAGCCTTAGTCTCCCACTCCTCCTAACGCTCTTACAATGAAGCAGGTCTTCAATGAATCCAGAGCGGGTCACAGAAGTACAGGGAGGGGGCCTTGTAGATCATTTGGATGACTTTGGTGTTGACTTTGAGCAAGGTGGGAGCTGTTAGAGGATTTTTTTTTTAATGCCTTAATAGACTTTTTATTTTAAAATTTAATTTATTAATTTATTTAAGACAGAGTCTCACTCTGACACCCAGGCTGGAGTGCAGTGGTGCGATCTTGGCTAACTGCAACCTCCACCTCCTTGGTTCAAGTGATTCTCATGCTTCAGTCTTCCTAGTAGCTGGGATTACAGGCACATGCAACCACGCCCAGCTAATTTTTGTATTTTTAGTAGAGACAGGGTCTCATGATGTTGGCCAGCCTGGTCTTGAACTCCTGACCTCAAATGATCCACTTGACTCGGTCTCCCAAAGTGCTGGGATTACAGGCATGAGCCACCACACCGGGCCAAATAAACTTTAGTTTTTAGAGCAGTTTTAGGTTCACAGAAAAATTGAGCAGAATGTACAGAGATATTTCATATACCCCATGGCCTCACACATGTACAACCTCCCCCACTGTCAATATCCTCCACTAGGGGGTATATTTGTTAGAAGTGACGAACCTACAATGATAATCATAATCACCTAGAGTCCATAGTTTTAAATTAGGGTTTACTCTTGGTGTACATTTTATGGGCTTAGACAAATGTACGATAACATGTATCCACTATATAGTATCATACAGACTAGTTTCACTGTCCTGCAAATCCTCTGGGCCCCAACTCTTTATCTCTCTCTCCTGTCTAAACTTTGGTAAGCATTAATCTTTTTGTTTGTTTGTTTTTGTTTTTTGAGACTGAGTCTTGCTCTATTGCCCAGGCCGGAGCAGAGTGGCACGATCTCGGCTCACTGCAACCTCCGCCTCCCGAGTTCAAGCAATTCTCCTACCTCAGCCTCCTGAGTAGCTGGGATTACAGGCACCCAACACCACCCTAGTTACTTTTTGTGTTTTTAGTAGAGATGGGGTTTCACCATGTTGACCAGGCTGGTCTTAAGCTCCTGACCTCAGGTGATCCACCTGCCTCAGACTCCCAAAGTGCTGGGATTACAGGCGTGAGCCACCGTGCCCGGCCACTGTTGATATTTTCACTGTCTCCATGTGTTGCCTTTTTCAGAATGTCATATAGTTGGAATCATGCAGTACATGGCCTTTTCAGATTGGCTTCTTTCGCTTGGTGATATGCATTTAAGTTTCCTCCTTGTCTTTTCATGGCTTGACAGTTTGTTTTTAAGCTCTGAATAGTATTTTAGTGTCTGGATGTACCACAGTTTATTTACCCATTTACCTACTGAAGGACATCTTGTTTGCTTCCAAGTTTTGGCAGTTATGAATAAAGCTGCTATAAATATTGGTGTGCAGACTTTTGTGTAGACATAAGTCTTCAACTCCTTTGGGTAAATACCAAGGAGCATGATTGCTAGATTTTATGTTAAGAGTAAGTTTAGTTTTGTGTAAAAGACTATGTTTAGTATGTTTAGAAACCACCAAACTGTCTTCCAAGGCAATAGTACTATTTTGCATTTCCACGAGTAATGAATGAGAGTTCCTATTGCTCCACTCCCTTGCCTGCATTTGGTGTTGTCAGTGTTCTGGATTTGGGTTATTCTAATAGCTGTATAAAGGTGTCTCATGGTTTTAATTTGCATTTTCCTGATGACATATGATGTGAGCCCATTTTTGTATACTTATTTGCCACCTCTTCTTTGGTGAGGTGTCTGCTAAAGTCTTTGGCTCATTTTTCAATTGGGTTCTATATAAAATATATAAATTTTGAGCCAGGGACAGTGGCTCATGCCTGTAATCCCAGCACTTTGATAGGCCGAGGCGGGTAGATCACCTGAGGTCATGAGTTCAAGATCAGCCTGGCCAACATGGTGAAACCCCGTCTCTACTAAAAATAAAAAAAAATTAGTCAGGTGTGGTGGCACGCACCTGTAGTCCCAGCTACATGGGAGGCTGAGGCACGAGAATTGCTTAAGCCCAGGAGGCAGAGGTTGCAGTGAGCCAAGATTGCGCCATTGCACTCCAGCCTGGGCAAAAAGAGCAAAACTCCATTTCAAAAAAAAAAAAATATATATATATATATATGTGTGTGTATATATACGTATATATATGTATATATGTGTATATATGTGTATATGTGTATATATGTGTATATATGTATATATGTGTATATGTGTATATATGTGTATATGTGTATATATGTATATATGTGTATATATGTGCATATATATGTGAATATATGTATATATGTGTATATATATGTATATATGTATATATGTGTGTGTATATATGTATATATATGTACATATATATATGTGTGTATGTGTGTGTGTATATATATATATATATAAAGTTTGGAAACAGTCCTTTATCAGATCTGTCTTTTGCAAATATTTTCTCCCAGTCTGTGGCTTCTGTTTTTATTCTCTTGACAGTGTTTTTCACAGAGCAGAAACTTTTAATTTTAGTGAAATCCAGCTTATCAATTATTTCTTTTATGAATTGTGCCTTTTGTGATATATCTAAAAAAATAATTGCCAAACCCTAGGTCATCTAGATTTTCTCCTATCTTCTAGGAGTGTCTTAGTTCACTTTCTGTTGCTCATAACTGGATAACTAAAACTGGGAAATGTATAAAGAAAAGGAATGTATTTCTTACAGTTATAGAGGCTGAGAAGTCATAACCTGAAGGGTTGCATCTGGTGAGGGCCTTCTTGCTGTGGGGACTCTCCATAGAGTCCCAAGGTGGTGCACAGCATCACATGGTGAGGGGCCTGAATGTGCTAGATCAAGTCTCTCCTCTCCTTTTAAAGCCACCAGTCTCATTCTCATAGTAACACATTAATCCATTAACCCTTTAATCCATTAATCCATGAATGGATTAATTCATTCATGAGAGCAGAACCTTCATGACACAATCACCTCTTAAAGGCCCCAATACTGCCACATTGGGGATTCAGTTTCAACAGGAATTTTGGAGGGTGCAAACACCTAAATCATAGGAAGAAGTTTTACAGTGTTCCGTTTTCCGTTTAGGGCTGTGATCTATTTCAAGCTAATTTTTGTGAAGGCTGTAAGATCTGTGTCTGGATTCATTTTTTGTAAGTGGATTGTATTATTCTGTTCTCACACTGCTATGAGGAAATACCTGAGACTGGATAATTGATAAAGGAAAGAGGTTTCATTGACTCATAGTTTCTCATTGCTGGGGAAGCCTCAGGAAACTTATAATCATGGTGGAAGGCAAAGGAGAAGCAGACACTTTTTTCACAGGGCAGCAAGATGGAGTGAGTGCGAGCAGGAGAAATGCCAGAGGCTTATAAAACCATCAGATCTTGTGAGACTCACTCATTATCAGGAGAACAGCATGGAGGAAACCTCCCCCGTCATTTGATTACCTCCACCTGCTCCCACCCTTGACACATGGGGATTATTACAATTCAAGGTGAGATCTGGGTGGGCACACAGAGCCAGACTATATCATGGATATACCATTGTTCCAGCACCATTTGTTAAAAAGACTATCTTTGCCTCACTGTGTTGCCATTGGAGGATTTGAAGCAAAGGAGTGATGAGATACAAATCACACTTTAAAGGATCACTCTGGCTCCAGGTGGAGATGTTAAGTAAGCAGTGGATGTTCAGGTGAGCGGTCTGGCCAGCTGACGTGGGTTTGAGACTCATCAGCACGGAGCTGGAACCTACAGCTGTGAGGCTGGATGAGGTCTCTGAAAAAGAAGTATAGTCAGGAAAGGGAAGAGGTCCAAAAAGTGAGGCCGGGACACCTCCGCATTTAGAGGTCAGGGGTTTAGAGAAGAACCAGCAAAAGAGACTGAAGAAAAAAAAAGCCCAGCTGGTGAGATGGGAGGAATTCAGGAGGGGTGACGTCCTGGAAGCCAAATGCAAACAATATGTGAGGAGGAGGGAGTGGCTGGTTCTGTCAAGTGCTGCCAAGAGCTTCAGTCAGATAAAGGATGAAAGTCAACCACAGGACTCAGCAATATGAAGTTTGCTCGTGACCTTGACAAGAGTGGTATTGGTGAGTGGTGGGAGCAAGCAGGGAGAGGAGGAATTGGAGGAAATAAACAGAGGCCTCTTTTGGGAGCAGCTGGCTATAAAGGCAAGGAGAGAAAAGAGGGAGGGGCTGGGGAAGGTTTTTTTTTTGAGACGGAGTCTTGCTCTGTCGCCAGGCTGGAGTGCAGTGGAGTGCATCTCGGCTCACTGCAGGTTCCGCCTCCCGGGTTCAAGCGATTCTCCTGCTTCAGCCTCCTGAGTAGCTGGGACTATAGGCATGCGCCACCACGCCCAGCTAATTTTTGTATTTTTAGTAGAGACGAGGTTTCACCATGTTGGCCAGGATAGTCTTGAGCTCTTGACCTCGTGATCTGCCCGCCTTGGCCTCCCAAAGTGCTGGGATTACAGGCGTGAGCCACCTCACCCGGCCGGAAGGTGTTTTTACGATGGGAGACTATAACAGCATGCTACAAAGAGCTGCCTGCTCTACAGATAACCCCAAACTGCTGGGATGATTTTCTTTTAAAAAATTCATTTCACTGCTCAAGTGTTGCTTACCTCTGTTATTTATTTATTTATTTATTGAGATGGAGTCTCACTCTGTTGCCCAGGGTGGAGTGCAGTGGCGCAGTCTTGGCTCACTGCAACCTCTGCCTCCCAGGTTCAAACTATTCTCCTACCTAAGCCTCCTGAGTAGCGGAGATTTCAGGTGTGTGCCACCACGCCCAGATAATGTTTTTTGTATTTTTAGTAGAGACGGGGTTTTACCATGTTGGCCAAGCTGGTCTTGAACTCCTGATCTTAGGTGATCTGCCTGCCTTGGCCTCCCAGAGTGCTGGGATTACAGGTGTGAGCCACTGCACCCATTCTATCTATCTATCTATCTATCTATCTATCTATCTATCTATCTATCTATCTATCTATCTATCTATCTCACTCTGTCACTCAGGCTGGAGTGCAGTGGCACAATCATAGCTCACTGCAGCCTTGAATTCCTGGGCTTAAGTGATACTCTTACCTTAGCCTCCCGAGTAGCTGGAACTACAGGTACACACTACCATGCCTGGCTAATTGAAAAACATTTTTTTTTTTTTTTATAGAGACGGGGTCTCGCTATGTTACCCAGGCTGGTCTCAAATTCCTGGACTGAAGCGATCCTCCCACCTTGGCCTCCCCAAGTGCTGAGATTACAGGCATGAGCCACTGCATCCAGGCAAGTGTTACCTCCTTAAAGAGATCTTCCCAACCTCTGCAGCCTATCAGTCACCCCTTTTTCTTGTCTTCCTAGCCCTATTCACCATTCGAAAATAGCTTGTGAATCAATCAATCAATCAATCAATCAATTCTTTGATCTTTCCCTTCTATAACATATGCTCTTCTAGGGTTATAACCTTGTCTGTTTTGCTCATTGCTCTTTTCTCAGTATCCAAAAGAGTGGCTGGCCAGGGGTTAGTGGCAAACCAACTCTCTGAGGGGAAAAAAGTTCTGATTTGTAGCATTTGCCAATTACTATGGTGCCAATATTCCTACCATGGCTGACTTCAAACTACCAACATGACATGACTAAACGTGGAGTTGGGAAGGAATGTGCACAATTGGTTTTCCTGCACTGGTGCACATTGGCTGGACTGTACTTAGCATGTAGGTGGCACTCAGTTAATATTGGTTGAATAAAAGGGTGAATGAATAATCATTAGCTTGAGCCATTATTCCACTAATAGTAGGCCCCTGGATATTCTTGGAAGGTTTATATTTTTCCTGTTGCTCCTTAGTCCTCTATCTTTTCCTCCCCTGGGAAGTTCTGCCTGTCTCCCACACTGCCTTGTTGAAAACTACCCATAATGCTGCATGTACCAAACTTATACTGAAGGTTCGAGGCAGTGGAGGGGAGTTCTGTCGGGTCCTGAGCCAGGGAGCATCTTCCCAGTTGTCTCTGCATAGAGTGCCAGGTGGCTGGCTGGGCTCCTTCCTTTTCTTCTCCACCAGCTGCCTCGTAAGAAATGAAATGTTTTCCTCCAGTTCATCTCTCTTCAGGCCCACCAGACTAAGCATAGATACCTATCTTTCTGTAACCAAAACCCCTTTAATATGTCCCTTCACCCTAAAGCGCATCTCTTTATTCAGTATCTTCTAGCATCACAGTGCAGTAGGAGAAACCCTGCAGGTTTTTGTTTTGTCCTGGGTAGGGTTAAATTTGTCAGCAGGGTTGCTTCCCTGGTTCCCCACTCCTCACTATTCCTCAGTAATTTTACACAGCTTAGATGACAAAAAGCCTTCAGTGACATTATTTTTTCTTCACTGTAAAAAAGTCCCTTCTCTTCCCTTCCCTTTTCCTTCCCTTCCCTTCCCTTCCCTTTTCCTTCCCTTCCTTTCCCTTTTCCTTCCCTTCCCTTTTCCTTCCTCTCTCTCTCCCTCTCTCTCTCTCTTTCTTTCTTTCACTTTAAGTTCTAGGGTACATGTGCACAATGTGCAGGTTTGTTACAAAGGTATACATGTGCCATGTTGGTTTGCTGCACCCACCAACTCGTCATTTACATTAGTTATTTCTCCAAATGCTATCCCTCCCTGAGCCTCCCAAACCCTGACCAGCCCCAGTGTGTGATGTTCCCTGCCCTGTGTCCACGTATTCTCATTGTTCAATTCCCACCTATGAGTGAGAACATGTGGTGTTTGGTTTTCTGTCCATGTGATAGTTTGCTTAGAATGATGGTTTCCAGCTTCATCCATATCCCTGCAAGGGACATGAACTCATCCTTTTTTACGGCTGCATAGTATTCCATCGTGTATATGTGCCACATTTTCTTAATCCAGTCTATCATTGATGGACATTTGGGTTGGTTCCAAGTCTTTGCTATTGTGAATAGTGCCACAATAAACATACGTGTGTATGTGTCTTTATCATAGAATGATTTATAATCTTTTGGGTATATACCCAGTAATGGGATTGCTGGATCAAATGGTACTTCTAGTTCTAGATCCGTGAGGAATCGCCACACTGTCTTCCACAATGGTTGAACTAATTTACAGTCCCACAACAGTGTAAAAGCATTCCTATTTCTCCACATCCTCTCCAGCACCTGTTGTTTCCTGACTTTTGATGATCGCCATTCTAACTGGTGTGAGATAGTATCTCACTGTGGTTTTGATTTCCATTTCTCTAATGACCAGTGATGATGAGCTTTTTTTCATATGTCTGTTGGCTGCATAAATGTCTTCTTCTGAGAAGTGTGTTCATAGCCTTTGCCCACTTTTTGATGGGGTTGTTTGTTTTTTTCTTGTACATTTGTTTATGTTCTTTGTAGATTCTGGATATTAGCCCTTTGTCAAATGGATAGATTGAAAAATTTTTCTCCCATTCTGTAGGTTGCCTGTTCACTCTGGTGATAGTTTCTTTTGCTCTGCAGAAGCTCTTTAATTAGATCCCATTTGTCAATTTTGGCTTTTGTTGCCATTATTTTTAGTGTTTCAGTCATGAAGTCTTTGCCCATGCCTACGTCCTGAATGGTATTGCCTAGGTTTTCTTCTAGGATTTTTATGGTGTTAGGTCTTACATTTAAGTCTTTAATCCATCTTGAGTTAATTTTTGGATAAGGTGTAAGGAAGGGATCCAGTATCAGCTTTCTATATATAGCTAGCCAGTTTTCCCAGCACCATTTATCAAATAGGGAATCCTTTCCCCCATTTCTTGTTTTTGTCAGGTTTGTCAAAGATCAGATGGTTGTAGATGTGTGGTGTTATTTCTGAGGCCTCTGTTCTGTTCCATTGGTCTATATATCTGTTTTGGTAGCAGTACCATGCTGTTTTGGTTATGGTAGACTTGTACTATAGTTTGAAGTCAGGCAGCGTGATGCCTCCAGTTTGTTCTTTTTGCTTAGGATTGTCTTGGCTATGTAGGCTCTTTTTTGGTTCCATATGAACTTTAAGTAGTTTTTTTCCAATTCTGTGAAGAAAGTCAGTGGTAGCTTGATGGGGATAGCATTGAATCTATAAATTACTTTGGGCAGTATGGCCATTTTCATGATACTGATTCTTCCTATCCATGAGCATGGAATGTTCTTCCATTTGTTTGTGTCCTCTTTCATTTCATTGAGCAGTGGTTTGTAGTTCTCCTTGAAGAGATCCTTCACATCCCTTGTAAGTTGGATTCCTAGTTATTTTATTCTATTTGTAGTAATTGTGAATGGGAGTTCACTCATGATTTGGCTCTCTGTCTGTTATTGGTGTATAGGAGTGCTTGTGATTTTTGCACATTGATTTTGTATCCTGAGACTTTGCTGAAGTTGCTTAACAGCTTAAGGAGATTTTGGGCTGAAACGATGGGGTTTTCTAAATATACAATCATGTCATCTGCAAAGAGAGACAATTTGACTTCCTCTTTTCCTAATTGAATACCCTTTATTTCTTTCTCTTGACTGATTGCCCTAGCCAGAACTTCCAACACTATGTTGAACAAGAGTGGTGAGAGAGGGCATCCTTGTCTTGTGCTGGTTTTCAAAGGGAATGCTTCCAGTTTTTTCCCATTCAGTATGATATTGGCTGTGGGTTTGTCATAAATAGCTCTTATTATTTTGAGATGCGTTCCATCAATACCTAGTTTATTGAGAGTTTTTAGCATGGAAGGCTGTTGAATTTTGTCAAAGGCCTTTTCTGCATCTATTGAGACAATCATGTGGTTTTTGCCATTGGATCTGTTTATGTGATGGATTATGTTTATTGATTTGCATATGTTGAACCAGCCTTGCATGCTGGGGATGAAGCCAACTTGATTTTGTTGGATAAGCTTTTTGATGCACTGCTGGATTTGGTTTACTGGTATTTTATTGAGGATTTTCACATCAATGTTCATCAGGGATATTGGCGTAAAATTCTCTTTTTTTTTGTTGTGTCTCTGCCAGGCTTTGGTATCAGGATGATGCTGGCCTCATAAAATGAGTTAGGGAAGATTCCCCCTTTTTCTATTGATTGAAACAGTTTCAGAAGGAATGGTACCAGCTCCTCTTTGTACCTCTGGTAGAATTTGGCTGTGAATCCATCTGGTCCTGGACTTTTTTTGGTTGGTAGGCTATTAATTATTGCTTCAATTTCAGAACCTTTTATTGGTCTATTCAGATATTCAACTTCTTCCTGGTTTAGTCTTGAGAGGGTGTATGTGTCCAGGAACTTATCCATTTCTTCTAGATTTTCTAGTTTATTTCCATAGAGGTGTTTATAGTATTTTCTGATGAAGTAGTTTGTATTTCTGTGGGATTGGTGGTGATATCCCCTGTATCATTTTTTATTGTGTCTATTTGATTCTTCTCTCTTTTCTTCCTTATTAGTCTTGCTAGCAGTCTTTTTGTTGATCTTTTCTAAAAACCAGCTCCTGGATTCATTGATTTTTTGAAGGGTTTTTTGTGTCTTTATCTCCTGCAGTTCTGCTCTGATCTTAGTTATTTCTTGCCTTCTGCTAGCTTTTTAATTTGTTTGCTCTTGCTTCTCTAGTTCTTTTAATTGTGATGTTAAAGTGTCAATTTTAGCTCTTTCCTGCTTTCTCCTGTGGACATTTAGTGCTATAAATTTCCCTCTACACACTGCTTTAAATGTGTCCTAGAGATACTGGTATGTTGTGTCTTTGTTCTCATTGGTTTCAAAGAACATATTTATTTCTGCCTTCATTTTGTTATTTACCCAGTAGTCATTCAGGAGCAGGTTGTTCAGTTTTCATGTAGTTGTGTGGTTTTGATTGATTGAATTTCTTTTTTTTTTTTTTTTTTTTTTTGAGACGGAGTCTCGCTCTGTCGCCCAGGCCGGACTGCGGACTGCAGTGGCGCAATCTCGGCTCACTGCAAGCTCTGCCTCCCGGGTTTACGCCATTCTCCTGCCTCAGCCTCCCGAGTAGCTGGGACTACAGGCGCCCGCCACTGCGCCCGGCTAATTTTTTGTATTTTTAGTAGAGACGGGGTTTCACCCTGTTAGCCAGGATGGTCTCGATCTCCTGACCTCATGATCCACCCGCCTCGGCCTCCCAAAGTGCTGGGACTACAGGCGTGAGCCACCGCGCCCGGCCGATTGATTGAATTTCTTAATCCTGAGTTCTAATTTGATTGCTCTGTGGTCTGAGGGACAGTTTGTTGTGATTTCTGTTCTTTTACATTTGCTGAGGAGTATTTTACTACCAATTATGTGGTCAATTTTAGAATAAGTGTGATGTGGTGCTTGGAAGAAGTTATAGTCTGTTGATTTGGGGTGGAGAGTTCTGTAGATGTCTATTACGTCTGCTTGGTCCAGAGCTGAGTTCAAGTCCTGGATATCCTTGTTAACTTTCTGTTTCATTGATCTGTCTAATATAGACAGTGGGGTGTTAAAGTCTCCCATTATTATTGTGTGGGAGTCTAAGTCTCTTTGTAGGTCTCTACGGACTTACTTTATGAATCTGGGTGCTCCTGTATTGGGTGCATATATAGTTAGGATACTTAGCTCTTCTTGTTGAATTGATCCCTTTACCATTATGTAGTGGCCTTCTTTGTCTCTTTTGATCTTTGTTTTGGTTATGGTTAAAGTCTGTTTTATCAGAGACTAGGATTGCAAACCCTGCTTTTCTTTTTGCTTTCCATTTGCTTGGTAGATCTTCCACCATCCCTTTATTAGAGCCTATGTGTGTCTCTGCATGTGAGATGGGTCTCCTGAATACAGCACACCGATGGGTCTTGACTCTTTATCCACTTTGCCAGTCTGTGTCTCTTAATTGGGACATTTAGCCCAATTTACATTTAAGGCTAATATTGTTATGTTTGAATTTGATCCTGTCATTATGATGTTAGCTGGTTATTTTGCCCGTTAATTGATGCAGTTTCTTCATAGCGTCGATAGTCTTTACCATTTGTCATGTTTTTGCAGTGGCTGGTACTGGTTGTTGCCTTCCATGTTTAGTGCTTTCTTCAGAAGCTCTTGTAAGGCAGGCCTGGTGGTGACAAAATCTCTCAGCATTTGCTTGTCTGTAAAGGATTTTATTTCTCCTTTGCTTATGAAGCTTAGTTTGGCTGGATATGAGATTCTGGTTTGAAAATTGTTTTTTTTTTTTTTTAAGAATGTTGAATATTGGCCCCCACTGTCTTTTGGCTTGTAGGGTTTCAGCCGAGAGATCCACTCTTAGTCTGATGGGCTTCCCTTTGTGGGTAACCCAGCCTTTCTCTCTGGCTGCCCTTAACTTTTTTTCCTTCATTTCAACCTTGGTGAATCTGACAATTATGTGTCTCGGGGTTGCTCTTCTGGAGGAGTATCTTTGTGGTGTTCTCTGTATTTCCTGAATTTGAATGTTGGCCTGCCTTGCTAGGTTAGGGAAGTTCTCCTGGATAATATCCTGAAGAGTGTTTTTTAACTTGGTTCCCTTCTCCCTGTCACTTTCCAGTACAGTAATCAAATGTATATTTGGTCTTTTCACATAGTCTCATATTTCTTGGAGGCTTTATTCGTTTGTCTTCACTCATTTTTCTCTAATCTTGTCTTCTTGCTTTATTTCATTAATTTGATCTTCAATCACTGATATCCTTTCTTCCATTTGATCGAATCAGCTATTGAAGCTTGTGCATGCATCACGAAGTTCTCGTGCCATGGTTTTCAGCTCCATCAGGTCATTTAAGGTATTCTCTAGTATTTATTCTAGTTAGCCATTCATCTAACCTTTTTTCAAGGTTTTTAGCTTCCTTGCAATGGGTTAGAACACGCTCCTTTAGCTTGGAGAAGTTTGTTATTACTGACCTTCTAAAGCCTACTTCTGTCAACTCTTCAAAATCATTCCCTGTCCAGTTTTGTTCCCTTGCTAGCGAGGAGCTGCGATCCTTTGGAGGAGAAGAGGCGCTCTGTTTTTTGGAATTTTTAGCTTTTTTGCTCTGGTTTCTCCCCATCTTTGTGGTTTTATCTACCTTTGGTCTTTGATGTTGGTGACCTACAGATGGGGTTTTGGTGTGCATGTCCTTTGTGTTGATGTTGATGCTATTTTTTTCATTTGTTAGTTTTCCTTCTAACAATCAGACCCCTCAGCTGCAGGTGTGTTGGAGTTTGCTGGAGGTCCACTCCAGGCCCTGTTTGCCTGGGTATCACCAGCAGAGGCTGCAGAACAGCAAATATTGCTGCCTGATCCTTCCTCTGGAAGCTTTGTCCCAGAGGGGCACCCGCCTGTTTGAGGTGTCTGTTGGCCCCTACTGGGAGGTGTTCCCCAGTCAGGCTACATGGGGGTCAGGGACCTAACTGAGGAGGTAGTCTGTCTGTTCTTGGTGTTCAAATGCCATGCTGTGAGAACCACTGCTTTCTTCAGAGCTGTCACACAGGGACATTTAAGCCTGCAGAAGCTGTCTGCTGCCTTTTGTTCTATTATGCCATGCCCCCGGAGGTGGAATCTATAGAGGCAGTAGGCCTTGCTGAGCTGAGGTGGGCTCCGCCCGGTTCATGTTTCCAGGCCTCTTTGTTTATACTGTGAGCTAGTCAAGCCTCAGCAATGACGGACTCCCCTCCGCTCGTCCAGCTACAGCATCGCAGGTTGATCTCACACTGTTGTGCTAGCAGTGAGCAAGGCTCTGTTGGCATGGGACCCGCTGAGCCAGGCATGGGAGGGTATCTGCTGGTTTGCCAGTTGCTAGGACTGTGGGCATAGTGCAGTATTTGGTCAGAAGTATACCATTTCTCCAGGTACAGTCTGTCATATGGCTTCCCTTGGCTAGGAAGGAGAAATCCCCCAACCCCTTGCACTTCCCAGGTGAGGCGACACCCTGCCCTGCATCAGCTCACCCTCCATGGGCTGTATCCACTGTCCAACCAGTCCCAGTGAGATGAACCAGGTACCTCAGTTGGAAATGCAGACATCAACCGTCTTCTGCATTGATCTCGCTAGGGGCTGCAGACTGGAGCTGTTGCTATTTGGCCATCTTGGAAGTGACCTTCTCTTCTCTTCTCTTCTCTTCTCTTCTCTTCTCTTCTCTTCTCTTCTCTTCTCTTCTCTTCTCTTCTCTTCTCCCCTCCCCTCCCCTCCCGTCCTCTCCCCTCCTCTCCTCTCCCCTCCCCTCCCCTCCCTTTCCTTTCTCTTTTTTTCTTTCTCTCTCTTCCTTTCCTTTCCCTTTCTTTCTTCCTTTGTTTCCCCTTCATTTCCTTCCTTCCTTCCTTACCTCCCTCCGTCCCTCCTTCCTTCCCTCCCTCCCTCCCTTCTCTTTCTCTCTCTTTCTTTCCTTTCTCTCTCTCTCTCTTCCTTCTCCTTTCCTTTCCTTTCCCTTCCCTTCTCTTCCTTCTCTTTTCTTCTCTTTCTCTTTCTTCTGGGCTTCACTCTTTTGACCAGACTGGAGTGCAGTGGCATGATCACAGCTCACTGAAACCTGCCTCCCAGCCTCAAGCAATCCTCCCACCTCAGCCTCCTGAGTAGCTGGGCCACAGTTGTGAACTGCCATGCCAAGCTAATTTTTGTATTTTTTGTAGAGACAGGGTTTTGCCATGTTGTCCAGGATGGTGTTGAGCTCCTGGACTCAAGAAATCTGCCTGCCTCGGCCTCCTAAAGTGCTGGGATTACAGGTGTGAGCCACTGCAGCCAGCCAAAAAATCTCTTCTTATAAGAAGAAAGAGTGTAAATGGGTTGAGAATGACAATTGCAAAAGGAGTCACTGGGTGTCATATTGAAATGACTTCACAGTTTGGGCTGCAAGTGTTTTGATGGTGTCTCTGGTCAATATGTCTGTCTTAGCCATGACCTGGAAAGTTCTCTAACTTAAGAGTTTAAGACAACAAGTCCAGGCGCAGTGGCTCATGTCTGTAATCCCAGCACTTTGGGAAGCTGAAGTGGGCAGATCACTTGAGGCCAGGAGTTCAAGACCATCCTGGCCAACATGGTGAAACCTTGTCTCTACTAAAAATACAAAAATTAGCTGGGCATGGTGGCAGGCACCTGTAGCTCCAGCTACTTGGGACGCTGAGGTGGGAGGATTGCTTGAACCCGGGAGGCGGAGGTTGCGGTGAGCTGAGATCACGCACTCCAGCCTGGGTGACAGAGTGAGACTCTGTCTCAAAAAAAAAAAAAAAAAAGACAACAGAAAATTAATAGATATAGGAAGCCCCAAGATGAACTTCTGATTTCTGATTCTTCTTGAGTCAAAACTCACCTGAGCAGGGCTTTGGAATAGTTACTTCTCTGGTCCCACCTGGATTTCTCTTTCATTCTGTTCCAGTTCAGCCCATTTGGTTCCAGGTGTCCTACAGAGATGCTGCCCTGCCCTGTGTAGCTGGGAACTCCCTAACTCAATGTTCAATGGCAGGAACATTTCAGTCTCTGTGCCTGCAGCTGTTCCAAGTTAAATAAAACCCTTTTTCAGCTGTGATGGAGAGTACTTTGCTCTAGTGCTTTCTGCAAAAATACTTGTTGCCAGTTATTTATAAGTTTGGAAATGAAATGATTTTTTTTTCTTTTTTCTTTTTTTTCCAGACGGAGTCTCGCTCTGTCACCCAGGCTTGAGTGCAGTGGCGCCATCTCAGCTCACTGCAACCTCCACCACCCGGGCTCAAGAGATTCTCCTGCCTCAGCGTCCTTAGTAGCTGGGATTATGGGCATGTGCCATCACGCCCGGCTAATTTTTGTGTTTTTAGTGGAGACAAAGTTTCACCATATTGGCCAGGCTGGTCTTGAACTCCTGACCTCAGATGATCCGCCCGCCTCGGTCTCCCAAAGTGCTGGGATTACAGGCGTGAGCCACCCCGCCCGGCTAAGGGAATTCCTTTCTTATGATGTGTGTTTATTACACACAAATATAAAGGGCATTAAACTTCCTGTGTAACTCCCTTAAGCTTCTTCCCTAAGGCTTGGAGATTTTCTCTTTTAGCATTTTACTCTTGTGAGCTGTTAAAGTCCCCTGGCAACTTTATGAACTGATTAAACACTCTCTTCAACTTTTCATTTCTTCTCCAAACAACAGTGAAAATGGAAATAATGGCAAAAATAGTTACCATTTATAGAGTACTTACCACAGGCCAAGAATTCTGTTCTTTTCACATACTTTTAAAAATTTATCTTTCAGAAAAATGCTATAGTTATTTATATTCTCATATAAGGAAACAAGCATGCAGAAAGTAATGTACCCTAGGCCAGGTGTGGTGACTCACACCTCTAATCCCAGCACTCTGGGAGGCCGAGGTGGGCGACTCACCTGAGGTCAGGAGTTTGAGACCAGCGTGACCAACATGGAGAAACCCCATCTCTACTAAAAATACAAAAATTAGCTGGGCGTGGTGGTGTGCACCTGTAATCCCAGCTACTTGGGAGGCTGAGGCAGGAGAATTGCTTGAACCCAGGAGGTGGATGTTGCAGTGAGCTGAGGTAGCACGATGACACTCTAGCCTGGGCAACTGAATGAGACTCCATTTCAAAAAAACAAAACAAAACAAAACAAAAACCACACACACTCACAAAAATGAAAGTAATGTGCCCTAGGCCACTCAAAGTAAATGACAGTTTTAGAAATCCAACCAATGGCTGCCTGACTCCAAGGTGCCTTGATTCTAACCTCAGTAAATTTTCAGATCTGTCTCTTCCAGGGCTCACTGCAGCCAGAATACTTTCTGAGCTGGAGCGATAGTGACCAGAGCCAAATTCACCTTCATTGTAATGAAATTAAGTCAAGGGCTAGTGTTGCCCAGTGGATGGAGGATTTCCGCCTTCAGATAGCAAGCGCTCTAATGACCTCTGTTTCACTGATCAGTGCCCATCGAGGTTGCCTCTTTAAAAATTATTTACAGGGGCCGGGCGTGGTGGCTCATGCCTGTAATCCCAGCACTTTGGGAGGCCGAGGCAGGTGGATCATGGGGTCAGGTGATTGATACCATCCTGGCTAACATGGTGAAACCATGTCTCTACTAAAAATACAAAAAAAATTAGCTGGGCATGGTGGCCGGCACCTGTAGTCCCAGCTACTCGGGAGGCTGAGGCAGGAGAATGGCATGAACCCGGGAGGCGGAGCTGGCAGTGAGCTGAGACTGCGCCACTGCACTCTAGCCTGGGTGACAGAGCGAGACTCCATCTCAAAAAAAAAAAAAAAATTATTTACAGGGGCCAGGTGCGGTGGCTCATGCCTGTAATCCTAGCACTTTGGGAGGCCGAGGCAGGCAGATCACCTGAGGTCAGGAGTTCGAGATCAGCCTGGCCAATGTAGTGAAACCCCCTTTCTACTAAAAATACGAAAAAAAATTAGCCAGTCATGGTGACTGGTGCCTGTAATCCCAGCGACTCTGGAGGCTGAGGCAGGAGAATTGCTTGAACCCAGAAGGGGGAGGTTGCAGTGAGCCGAGATCTCGCCACTGCACTCCCACCTTGGTGACAGAGTGAAACTCCATCTCAAGAAGAAAAAAAAAAATTATTTACAGGGAGGTCCAAGAGATATCCAGCATCATGGAAAGAATTTATTGCTCTGCATTAGATAGTCTCAGATGACTAATGCCAGTGAAATGGATGCATCTCATGATGATGAATTTTTTTTTTTTTTTTTTTTGAGATGGAGTCTCGCTCTGTCGCCCAGGCTGGGGTGCAGTGGCGCAAGCTCTGCTCACTGTAAGCTCTGCCTCCCAGGTTCACACCATTCTCCTGCCTCAGCCTCCCGAGTAGCTGAGTAGCTGGGACTACAGGCGTCCGCCACCATGCCCGGCTAATTTTTTGTATTTTTTAATAGAGACGGGGTTTCACAGTGTTAGCCAGGATGGTCTCAATCTCATGACCTCGTGATCCACCCACCTCAGCCTTCCAAAGTGCTGGGACTACAGGCGTGAGCCACTGCGCCCGGCCAATGATGATGATTTTTTTTAGGTGGAGCTTATTTCTTGACTTTGTAACCAAAATGTCAGAATCTTAGACTTTTCTTAAAAGATGTTTTTATTCCTCTGGTGGGTACAAGGAGCCATCTTTCCTGGTTACACTCTGCTTGTAATGAAAAGCCCTTTTCTCAAAACTTGACTAGACTCCAGATGTACCTTCTTCTTTGGGAACTTGAAAGAAATGCAAATTCTTTGGCCTCGAACCAGATGTACTGAATCTGAGACTTAGGGGGCGGGGCCCCACAATCTGTGTTTTGAGAAGCCCTCCAGGTGAGTGAGCTGTGCGCTCAAGTTTGAGAAGCACAGGGTGTAGTCACTCACACAGCTCCTCTTGCCCACTCACCCTCCCAGGCAACGTCAGCCACCCCCGAGGCTTCAGTGGCTTCCAGATCTGATCTGCAGCCCAGGCTGCCTTTCTTTTTTTTTTTTTTTTTTTGAGACGGAGTCTCACTCTGTCGCCCAGGCTGGAGTGCAATGGCACGATCTCGGCTCACTGCAACCTCCGCCTCCTGGGTTCAAGCAATTCTCCTGCCTCAGCCTCCAGAGTCGCTGGGATTACAGGCCTGTGCCACCACACCCGGCTAATTTTGTATTTTTAATAGAAACTGGGTTTCTTCATGTTGGTCAGGCTGGTCTCAAACTCCTGACCTCAGGTGATCTGCCCGCCTCGTCCTCCCAAAGTGCTGGGATTACAGGCGTGAGCCACCGCGCCCGACCCGGGCTGGCTTTCTGAGCTGTAGACTTATTATAAACACCTGTCCAATGACACTGCTACTTGGATATGTCACAAGGACCTCAAATTCAGCATCTTAGTAAGTATTTATGTTTCAACTTAAGTGGTGTTTTCTCATTGGACTAGGTTTGTCTGACTTGCCATCTCTGCTATTACCCTGTATTAAAATTCCTTATGTAAACTATGCGTTCCACCACACCAGGAGCTCCGTGAAGGCAGGGATGGGATCGGTTTAGGTATGGCTCACTTAGGATCACAGCTAATATTAACTGTGTGAATGAATGAAAGCTCCTGTATTCTCTCTACCAGAGGTAGACAAATTGTGGTCCATATGCCAAATCCAGCCCATGGCCTGTTTTGTAAATAAAGTTTTATTGGAACACGGCCGTGCCCATTTATTCATATGTGGTCTAAGGCTGCTTTTGCGCTACAGTGGCAGAGTTGAGTAGTTGCTACAGAAACTTTACGACCTGCAAAGTCTAAAATATTTACTATCTGGTCCTGTATAGAAAAAGTTTGCTCCAAGGGCCTCCCTGATATGTCTCCAGGAAGGCCAGGCCCAGGTACTCTTCTGTGTTGTGATTACACTGAACTCTCTAGAATGCCAGCCTGGCTTGCCAGGACTTCAAGCTGCCTCCTAGCTAGCAGAAATGCACCTGAGCAAAACCCAGTTTTATAGGGGAAAAACTACTGAGGGGCTCAGAACTTATAAAGGAGCTTTGGCATTTACATAAACCCCATTTCCAGAGAGGAGAAGGCTGGAGACTAATGGCCCAGTTCCTTAACACATCAAGTCCACACACTTTAATGTATACATTTTCAAGAAGAATTAACAGATTACTGAGATTACCAGATGCGGTGGTGCATGCCTGTAATCCCAGCACTTTGGGAGGCCTAGGCGGGTGGATCACCTGAGGTTAGGAGTTTGAGACCAGCCTGGCCAACATGGTGAAACCCCGTCTCTACTAAAAATACAAAAATTAGCCGGGTGTGGTGGTGGGCACCTGTAATCCCAGCTACTCGAGAGGCTGAGGCAGGAGAATTGCTTGAACCCCGGAGACGGAGGTTGCAGTGAGCCGAGATTGCGCCACTGCACTCCAGCCTGGGTGACAAAGTGAGACTCCATCTCAAAATAAAATAAAATAAAATAAAATAAAATAAAATAAAATAAAATAAAATAAAATAAAATAAAATAATATCAAATAAAATAAAAGAGATGACTGAGTATTCCTTCAATGCAGTGGTTGCTATGTAATTTTGATTAACTTTATTAGCCAGGGTATTTTACAACTCTAAGAGGTAGAGGTTAACTTGCAGAAAAGGAATAATAATATGAAGATTCTTATTTGAAGGTTTTGTAAATGATTCTAGCCCATAACAATGAAAATGCATTTTGCATTGGAGAGATATAATTTTTTACTGTCTTGTAGAAAAGATGATTTATATAGTTTGTTGTGTAGTAGTATATTAACCAGCTTTGCATATATTAGCAAATTTGTTTCAGCATTCCTTTGACTGGACTGACAATGTAAATCTCAATTCTTCAAGTTCTCCTTTGAACCAGTTTTAACCTATTTCTGGTTCCCTTGTTTAATGAATGATTTGAATCAAACCATTGACATGTTCATTTTATATTTGTATGTTTCTAAAGTTTTTGAAAATTATAAATATAACCTAGTGATCCTTTCATGATTTGCTGTGGGCAGCTGAGCAGGAAGGGCCTCATGGCAGGCAGGGAGGGAAGATGACGCTGTGTGACACTCAGCAGCGGTGGGAAGGTGAAGCACTGCGGTCCGAAGTCAACATTCTTCAAAAAGGCCACGTGAAAAGAGTACTGATCATGAACATTTGAAAGCGGTCACAGTCTTCATCTAGTAAACATTTAGGATTTATGAACGATTCTGTGTTGGTGCTGGGAAGAAACGTTAAGATTTCTTTGTCGCTTGGGATTTTTAACTTTCAGGATTTGTGACATGAAGTTCTCTTGTTTATGGCGGCTGCTTCTTTTTCCACAAAACGGGGATACAGGGCAACTCCAGGTGCTGTTGTACTTGCTGCGAACGCTTAGTTGCCCCGGCAGACACTATGGCTAGATATTTCCTAGGGCTGGAGCTGTGAGGCCATCTTAGCCATGGCTATCAGTCTGAGAAGATACATCTTGTTCTGTATATGGGACCCCCACAAGTGTTTGAGGTGTTTGGTTCTATGTCTGCCAGAGAGAGCTCCCATTGGTGAGGGGGCCCTTTCAAAGCCATCTCTGCCTGGGATCCATTTCCACATCCATCACCTCCGGAGCAACGGTCAGATGGCAGGCATTAATCCACACTGTGGGGATGAATCACCTCCCCAAGACGGCATCCACTTACAACAACCCACTTCTCATCTCCCCTCATAAAGACAACTGTCTGCCGTGGTTAAACTCACTCCATAACCTAGTATTTTCTTCTCTGTTCAGGCCACCTCTGAGCCTGCACTGGAAGGATGCCCTCACAATGTGAGAATCTACAGGGCAGGCCAGGGAAGCTGACAGGCTCTGTGCTCCAGTGGAGGCCGTACAGTTGGGTATCTAGGTGCCACCTTACTTCTCTGCAACTTCAATGTCCCCTGCATCACTGCTGTGTGCCCTTAGAAGTCTGAGTTGCTCTGGAGGCTACACTTCAGAGCATTCTAGCCTAGAGGGAAATCCAGGGTGGGCAGAAATACATTGTTTGTGGAGACCCCTAGGTCCCCAGGGACCTAGGAGGATGGAAAGGTCATAAAGGGGATGGAAGAGCATCAAAGACACAGTATCCACCTAGCAATTTGAATTAAGGGTTCTCTGCGTAGGCCATAAACCCATTTGTGGGCACGTGAACTGCCACATATCAAAACCATCTCATGCACCTATTCTTTATGTTATTCCACCGTCATTTAGAAGTAAATAATGGCACTCTGACCTTGATTTTGTGATCTTCGTTTAGAAGGTTGAGAAGAATTCTATTTTTCCAGGATGGACAACAGGATGACTGACAAGAAGAAACGTTACAGGATGCTTTGAAAGGAGACTGTGCAATAGCAACATTATGCCACCAGAGGGCAGTGTAGACTTTCTGGAGAATCTGGAGAGGGGAATCAGGTTGGGGCGAGTATGGAAATTTTAGGGGAGAGAACCCGTGGTCAGACGCAAATTTCAAGTAGAGTTTTACTTGCTAAAATCAGAATAAAAAACCAACCTTCGCAGGAGAGCCCTGCCTTTCATTCTGTTCTGTGTGCTCCTACGGATCAGAACTGAGACCTGCGAAGTCAGGAGCAGGTTTCAGGAGGATTCCTGACATCAGGTTGCCGACTGGGAAGGTCTAGGGAGGGTGTCCAGGGCAGCAGAGGGTGGAGGGAGAACCTTGAAGGGTGTGTGTGGAGAAGAATTTCCCTCTACACTCTAAGGAGTTGGTAGCTGAGTCTATGAAATAAACTATCAGGCCCTGCACGGTGGCTCATGCCTGTAATCCCAGCACTTTGGGAGGCTGAGGTGGAAGGATGGCTTGAGCCTAGCTGTTTGAGACCGGCTTGGGTAACATCGTGAGACCCTGTCTCTACAAAAACCAAAAAAATTAGTGGGCTGGTGGTACATGCCTATAGTCCCAGCTACCTGGGAGGCTGAGGTGGGAGGATTACTTGAGCCCAGGATTTCCAGGCTGTCGTAAGCTATGATGGCACCACTGCACTCCAGCCTTGGCAACAAAGCAAGACCCTGTCTCTAAAAAAAATTTAAAAAATAGGTTGGAGGCAGTGACTCATACCTATAATCCCAGCACTTTGGGAGGCTGAGGTGGGAGGATCGCTTGAGTCCAGGAGTTTGAGACCAGCCTGGGCAACATAGTAAGATCACTTCTTTAACAAAAAAATAAATAGCCGGGCGGGGTGGTGGCGTGCTGTAGTCCCAGGTACTCAGGAACCTGAGGCGGGAGGATCATCTGATCCTGGGATGTTGAGGCTTCAGTGAGCTGCGATTGTGCCACTGCACTCCAGCCTGGGTAACAGAGCAAGACCTTGTCTCAAAAACAAAAACAAACAAACAAACAAACAAGCAAACACCTGCCAGGCTCATACCTGCAATCCTAACATCTAATACTTTTGGAAGGCTGAGGTTGGAAGATCACTTAAGGCTGGGAATTTGAGACCAGCCTGGGCAACAAAGTGAAACCCCATTTACACACACACACACACAGCAGGTGAATTACATGAGCAAAGGCACACAAATTTATTATGTGCACTGGGGCATCACAGGAAAGAAAAGGGAACACTTTCAAACCAGTGAGACTGAGGAGCTTGAATACCCTCCTCATGGTGGAGAGGGGTGGGGAGGTGCAGGCAACTTAGAGGAGAATTAATGGTTTTGGGGAGAGATGAATTGGACCTCAGAAGCAGAGATAATGGTTTGTGACAAAGTTTGTCCAGCTCTGGGGTATTCTTGTCTCCTCTCCTGGGATAGAAGTTAATCCTCCTTAGTCCCTATTTATTTATTTTTTATTCTTTAAGTTCTGGGATACATGTGCAGAACATGCAGGTTTGTTACATAGGTATACACGTGCCATGGTGGTTTGCTGCACCCATCAACCCGTCATCAACATTAGGTATTTCTCCTGATGCTCTCCCTCCCCCAGCCCCCACACCTCAACAGGCCCTGGTGTGTGATATTCCCCTCCCTGTGTCCATGTGCTCTCATTGTACATCTCCCACTTATGAGTGAGAACATGTGGTGTTTGGTTTTCTGTTCCTGAGTTAGTTTGTTGAGAATGATGGTTTCCAGCTTCATTCATGTCCCTGCAAAGAACATGAACTTATCCTTTTTTATGACTGCATGGTATTTCATGGTATATATGTGCCACACTTTCTTTATCTGGTCTATCGTTAATGGGCGTTTGGATTGGTTCCAAGTCTTTGCTATTGTGAACAGTGTTGCAATAAACATACATGTGCATGTGTCTTTATAGTAGAATGATTTATAATTCTTTGGGTATGTACCCAGTAATGGTATGACCCAGTAATGGCTGAGTCAAATGGTATTTCTGGTTCTGGATCCTTGAGGAATTGCCACACTGTCTTCCACAATGGTTAAACTAATTTACAGTCCCACCAACAGTGTAAAAGTGTTCATATTTCTCCACATCCTCTCCAGCATCTGTTGTTTCCTGACTTTTTAATGATCGCCATTCTAACTGGCGTGAGATGGTATCTCATCGTGGTTTTCATTTGCATTTTTCTGATGACCAGTGGTGATGAGCATTTTTTCGTATGTTTGTTGGCTGCATAAATGTCTTCTTTTGAGAAGTGTCTGTTCATACTCTTTGCCCACTTTTTGATGGGGTTGTTTTTTTCTTGTTAATTTATGTTCTTTGTAGATTCTGGATATGAGCCCTTTGTCAGGTGGATAGATTGCAAAATTTTTCTCCCATTCTCTAGGTTGCCTGTACACTCTGATGATAGTTTCTTTTGCTGTGCAGAAGCTCTTTAGTTTAATTAGATCCCATTTGTCAAATCTGGTTTTTGTTTCCATTGCTTTCGGTGTTTTAGTCATGAAGTCTTTGCCCATGCCTATGTCCTGAATGGTATTGCTATGTTTTCTTCCAGGGTTTTTATGGTTTTAGGTCTTACATTTAAGTCTTTAATCCGTGTTGAGTTAATTTTTTTTAAGGTGTAAGGAATGGGTCCAGTTTCAGTTTTCTGCATATGGCTAGCTAGTTTTCCCAACACCATTTATTAAATAGAGAATCCTTTCCCCATTGCTTGCTTTTGTCAGGTTTTTCAAAGATCAGATGGTTGTAGATGTGTGGCGTTATTTCTGAGGCCTCTGTTCTGTTCCACTGATCTATATATCTGTTTTGGTACCAGTACCATGCTGTTTTGGTTACCATAGGCTTGTAGTATTGTTTAAAGTCAGGTAGTGTGATGCCTTCAGCTTTGTTCTTTTTGCTTAGGATTATCTTGGCTATACGGGCTCTTTTATGGTTCCACATGAGATTTAAAGTAGTTTTTTCTAATTCTGTGAAGAAAGTCAATGGTAGCTGGATGGGGATAGCATTGAATCTATAAATTACTTTGGGCAGTATGGCCATTTTCATGATATTGATTCTTCCTACCCATGAGCATGGAATGTTCTTCCATTTGTTTGTGTCTTCTTTTATTTCATTGAGAAGTGGTTTGTAATTCTCCTTGAAAAGGTCCTTCACATCCCTTGTAAGTTGGATTCCTAGGTATTTTATTCTTTTTGTAGCAATCGTGAATGGGAGTTCACTCATAATTTGGCTCTCTGTTTGTCTATTATTGGTGTGTAGGAATGCTTGTGATTTTTGCACATTGATTTTGTATCCTGAGACTTTGCTGAAGTTGCTTATCAGCTTAAGGAGATTTTGGGCTGAGATGATGGGGTTTTCTAAATATACAATCATGTCATTTGCAGAGACAATTTGACTTCCTCTCTTCTTATTTGAATACCCTTTCTTTCTTTCTTTTTTTTTTTGAGACGGAGTTTCACTCTTGTTCCCCAGGCTGGAGTGCAATGGCGCGATCTCGGCTCACTGCAACCTCTGCCTCCTGGGTTCAAGTGATTCCCCTGCCTCAGCCTCCCGAGTAGCTGGGATTCCAGGCATGCACCACCATGCCTGGCTAATTTTGTATTTTTTTTAGTACAGACAGGGTTTCTCCATGTTGGTCAGGCTGGTCTCAAACTCCCGACCTCAGGTGATCCGCCTGCCTCGGCCTCCCAAAGTGCTGGGATTACAGGCATGAGCCACCGCGCCTGGCTGAGTACCCTTCATTTCTTTCTCTTGTCTGATTTCCCTGGCCAGAACTTCCAATACTATGTTGAATAGGAGTGGTGAGAGAGGGCATGCTTGTCTTAGACTGGTTTTCAAAGGCAATGCTTCCAGCTTTTGCCCATTCAGTATGATATTGGCTGTGGGTTTGTCATAAATATTGTTTATGACACTCTTATTGTTTTGAGATACGTCCCATTGATATCTATTTTATTGAGAGTTTTTAGCATGAAGTGGTGTTAAATTTTATTGAAGGGCTTTTCTGCATCTATTGAGATAGTCATGTGGTTTTTGTCATTGGTTCTGTTTATGTGATGGATTACGTTTATTGATTTGTGTATATTGAACCAGACTTGCATCCCAGGGATGAAGCCAACTTGACTGTGGTGGATAAACTTTTTGATGTGCTGCTGGATTCGGTGTGCCAGTATTTTATTGAGGATTTTTGCATCGATGTTCACCAGGGATATTGGCCTGAAATTTCCTTTTTTGTTGTTGTTGTTGTTGTGTCGCTGCCAGGTTTTGGTATCAGGATGATGCTGCCCTCATAAAATGAGTTGGGGAGGAGTCCCTCTTTTTCTATTGTTTGGAATAGCTTCAGAAATAGTGGTACCAGCTCCTCTTTGTATCTCTGGTAGAATTTGACTGTGAATCCATCTGGTCCTGGGCTTTTTTTGGTTGGTAGCCTATTAATTACTGCCTCAATTTCAGAACCTGTTATTGGTCTATTCAGGGATTCGACTTCTTCCTGGTTTAGTCCTGGGAGAGTGTATGTGTCCAGGAATTTATCCATTTCTTCTCGATTTTCTATTATATTTGTGTAGAGATGTCTATAGTATTCTCTGATGGTAGTTTGTATTTCTGTGGGATCGGTGATGATATCCCGTTTATCGTTTTTTATTGTGTCTATTTGATTCTTCTCTGTTTTCTTCTTTATAAGTCTGGCTTGTGGTCTGTTTTGTTGATCTTTTCAAAAAACCAGCTCCTGGATTCACTGATTTTTTGAAGGATTTTTCGTGTCTGTATCTCCTTCAGTTCTGCTGTGATCTTAGTTATATCTTGTCTTCTGCTAGCTTTTGAATTTGTTTGCTCTTGCTTCTCTAGTTCTTTTAATTGTGATGTTAGGGTATCAGTTTTTGATCTTTCCTGCTTTCTCCTGTGGGCATTTAATGGTATACATTTCCCTCTAAATACTGCTTTAGCTGTGTCCCAGAGATTATGGTGCATTGTGTCTTTGTTCTCATTTATTTATTTATAAGTTCTCATTAAGAACTTATTTATTTCTGCTTTAATTTCGTTATTTACTGAGTAGTCATTCAGGAGCAGGTTGTCCAGTTTCCATGTAGTTGTGCAGTTTTCAGTGAGTTTCTTAATCCTGAGTTCTAATTTGATTCCACTGTGGTCTGAGAGACTGTTTGTTATGATTTCCGTTCTTTTGCAGTTGCTGAGGAGTGTTTTACTTCCAATTATGTGGTCAATTTTAGAATAAGTGTGATGTGGTGCTGAGAAGAATGTATATTCTGTTGATTTGGGGTGGAGAGTTCTGTAGATGTCTATTAGGTCCACTTGGTCCAGAGCTGTGTTCAAGTCCTGAATATCCTTGTTAATTTTCTGTCTTGTCAATCTGTCTAATATTGACAGTGGGGTGTTAAAATCTCCCACTGTCATTGTGTGGGAGTCTAAGTCTCTTTGTAGGTCTCTAAGAACTTGCTTTATGATTCTGGGTGCTCCTGTTTTGGGTGCATATATGTTTAGGATAGCTAGCTCTTCTTGTTGCATTGATCCCTTTACCATTATGTAGTGCCCTTCTTTGTCTTTTTTGATCTTTGTTGGTTTAAAGTTTGTTTTATCAGAGACTAGGATTGCAACCCCTGCTTTTTTTTTTGCTTTCCATTTGCTTGGTAGATATTCCTTCATCCCTTTATGTAGAGCCTATGTGTGTCTCTGCACATGAGATGGGTCTCCTGAATATAGCACACCAATGGGTCTTGACTCTCTATCCAATTTGCCAGTCTGTATCTTTTAATTGGGGCATTTAGCCCATTTACATTTAAGGTTAATATTGTTATGTGTGAATTTGATTCTTTCATTGTGATGCTAGCTGGTTATTTTGCCTGTTAGTTGATGCAGTTTCTTCATAGTGTCAATGGTCTTTACAATTTAGTATGTTTTTGCAGTAGCTGGTACCGGTTTTTTCTTTCCATATTTAGTGCTTCCTTCAGGAGCTCTTGTAAGGCTGGCCAGGTCGTGACAAAATATCTCAGCATTTGCTTGTCTGTAAAGGATTTTATTTCTCCTTCACTTATGAAGCTTAATTTGGCTGGATATGAGATTCTGGGTTGAAAATTATTTTCTTTAAGAATGTTGAATAATGCCCCCCACTCTATCCTGGCTTGTAGGGTTTCTGCAGAGAGATCCGTTGTTAGTCTGATGGGCTTCTCTTTGCGGGTAACCTGATCTTTCTCTCTGACTGCCCTTAACATTTTTTCCTTTATTTCAACGTTGGTGAATCTGACGATTATGGGTCTTGGGGTTGCTCTTCTCGAGGAGTATTTTTGTGGTATTCTCTGTATTTCCTGGATTTGAATGTTGGCCTGTCTTGCTAGGTTGGGGGAAGTTCTTCTGGATAATATCTTGAAGAGTGTTTTCCAACTTGGTTCCATTCTCCCTGTCACTTTCAGGTACACTAATCAAATGTAGATTTGGTCTTTTCACATAGTCCCATATTTCTTTTCATTCTTTTTTCTCTAATCTTGTCTTCACACTTTATTTCATTAAGTTGATCTTCAATCTCTGATATCCTCTCTTCCACTTCATCGATTTGGCTGTTGATACTTGTGTATGCTTCACAAAGTTCTCGTGCTGTGTTTTTCAGCTCCATCAGGCCATTTATGTTCTCTGGTTATTGTAGTTAGCAATTCCTCTAACCTTTTTTCAAGGTTCTTAGCTTCCTTGGATTGGGTTAGAACATGCTCCTATAGCTTGGAGGAGTTTGTTATCACTCACCTTCTGGAGCCTACTTCTGTCAATTTGTCATACTCCTTCTTTTTCCAGTTTTGTGCCCTGGCTGGTGAGGAGTTGTGATCCTTTGGAGGAGAAGAGGCATTCTGGTTTTTGGAATTTTCAGCCTTTTTGTGCTGGTTTTTCCTCATCTTTGTGGATTCATCTACCTTTTGTCTTTGATGTTGGTGACCTTCGCATGGGGTTTCTGTGTGGTTGTCCTTTGTGTTGATGTTGATGCTATTGCATTCTGTTTGTTAGTTTTCCTTCTAACAGTCAGGTCCCTCTTCTGCAGGTCTGCTGGAGTTTGCTGGAGGTCCACTCCAGACCCTGATTGTCTGGGTATCACCAGCAGAGGCTGCAGAACAGCAAAGATTGCTTCCTGTTCCTTCCTCTGGAAGCTTCATCCCAGAGAGGCACCTGCCAGATGCCAGCCAGAGCTCTCCTGTATGAAGTGTCTGTCGACCCCTGCTGGGGGGTATCTCCCAGTCAGGAGGCACAGGGGTCAGGGACTCACTTGAGGAGGCTGTCTGTCCCTTAGCAGAGCTTGAGTGCTGTTCTGGGAGATCTGCTGGTCTCTTCAGAGCCAGTAGGCAGGAATGTTTAAGTCTGCTGAAGCTGCGCCCACAGCCGTCCCTTCCCCCAGGTGCTCTATCCCAGGGAGGTCAGAGTTTTATCTATAAGCCTCTGACTGGGGCTGCTGCCTTTCTTTCAGAGATGCCCTGCCCAGAGAGGAGCAATCTAGAGAGGCAGTCTGGCTACAACAGCTTTGCTGAGCTGTGGTGGGCTCCACCTATTCCGAACTTCCCAGTGGCTTTGTTTACACTGTGAGGGAAAACCCACCTACTCAAGCCTTAGTAATGGTGGACGCCCCTCCTCCCACCAAGCTCAAGTGTCCCAGGTCAACTTCAGATGGCTGTGCTGCCAGCAAGAATTTCAAGCCAGTCAATCTTAGCTTGCTGGCCTCCATGGGGGTGGGATCTGCTGAGCTAGACCACTTGGCTCCCTGGCTTCAGCCCCCTTTCCAGAGGAGTGAATGGTTCTGTCTCACTGGCATTCCAGGCGCCACTGGGTTATGGAAAGACAAACTCCTGCAGCTAGCTCGGTGTCTGCCCAAATGGCTGCTCAGTTTTGTGCTTGAAACCCAGGGCCCTTGTGGTGTAGGCACCTGAGGGAATCTCCTGGTCTGCAGGTTGCAAAGACCATGGGAAAAGTGTAGTATCTGGGCTGGAGTGCACTGTTTCTCATGGCACAGTCCCTCATGTCTTCCCTTGGCTAGGGGAGGGAGTTTCCTGACCTCTTGGGTGTTGAAGTGACACCCCACCCTGCTTTGGCTCACCCTCTGTGGGCTGCACCCACTGTCTAACCAGTCCCAATGAGATGAGCCAGGTACCTCAGTTGGAAATGCAGAAATTACCTGCCTTCCATGTTGATCTTGCTGGGAGCTGCAGACTGGAACTGTTCCTATTTGGCCATTTTGCCAGCCACCCCCACCTAATCCCTATTTTTAATTTTTTGAGGAAACTTCACACTGTTTTACGGAATGGCAGCACCAATTTACATTCCTACCAACAACATATATGTGTTTTCTCTACATCCTTGCCAAGACCTGTTACCTTTTCACCTTTTGATGCTAGCCATCTAACAGGTGTGAGATGGTATCTCACTGTGGTTTTGATTTTCATTTCCCCGAAACTCCCTGGGAGGGGATTGGGGATCTGTCTTTAGGCAGACAGGGGGAGTTCAGGGAAAACGTCTCTCTGCCTTTGGTCTTTCTCAAGTGTCTTCAGCTCAAAGTGATCGGCACACCAAAGCAGCATATTTTGGGGTGGCATTTCCTGAGCTCTTTCAACGGGCTCAGGGCAGTGGCTTTTCCCTAACTGGGTTAAAAGCGTGTTAATGCTTCAGTACTGTGTAGGGCTTTAGTGTAGCACCCTAGCTGGACATCAGCCCCACCAGGTATGGGTGGGGTTCTGGGAAAGGGCCTGGGCTCTCAGGTGGCTGCACTTGTGATAGCAGCTGACTTCCTGTAAGTGCACTGGTGCAGGAAGTGAGCCCTGCTTCCTGTCTGTGTTGCTGGGGGTGGGTGGGGGTGTGGGGGCGGGGAACAGAGGGGAAGCCAGGCCCTTGAACTTGAACTTTTGTCATGCAGGCACTGCAGCTGGGGGTTGGTGGCCTCCTGGAGGGTGCCTGAAAGGGACTCTGGCAGTGCAGCTCCTTCCTCGGGGCAAGAACCCTGAGCTGGGGCAGTGATTTCCCTCCCCTTGATTTCCTCACTTTTGTTTTGTTTTCTCTTTTTTTTTTGAGACGGAGTTTTGCTCTTGTCACCCAGGCTGGAGTGCAGTGGCATGATCTTGGCTCACTGCAACCTCCGCCTCCCGGGTTCAAGTGATTTTCCTGCTTCAGTTGCCCAAGTAGCTGGGATAACAGGTGTGCACCACCACGCCTGGCTAGTTTTTGTATTTTTAGTAGAGATGGGGTTTCACCATGTTGGTCAGGCTGGTCTTGAACTCCTGACCTCAAGTGATCCACTAGCCTTGGCCTCCCAAAGTGCTGGGGTTACAGGTGTGAGCCACTGTGCCTGGCCTCATATTCTCTTAAACCATTAAATTGGACGGGTGCGGTGGCTCACGCCTGTAATCCCAGCACTTTGGGAGGCCGAGTCAGGTGGATCACTTGAGGTCAGGAGTTTGAGACCAGCCTGGCCAACATGGTGAAACCTCCATCTCTCCTAAAATACAAAAATTAGCCGGACATGGTGGCGGGGCCTGTAATCCCAGCTACTGGGAAGGCGGAGGCAGGAGAATCGCTTGAACCCGGGAGGTGGAGGTTGCAGTGAGCCAAGATCATGTCACTGCACTCCAGCCTGGGACACAGAGTGAGACTCGGTCTCAAAAAACAAAAAACAAAAACCCCCAAACCCCCCAAACTATTAAGTTTTGCAGCCAAACCTCATTCGTCCTGGGTGTGGCTGAATCCAGGGAGGAGGGGAAAGCTCCATTATGCGGGCTTCAGGCCCACACCTGTGCCACTGTTTTGCCGTCACCTGAAACCAGCAGAAAAAGCAGCTCAACTGTGGCTCTGAGAAACTTCTGATATTGGTCATGACATTCATTCTCTACAAAATCCCACTCTCAACTAAGCTGAGCCTCCCTGCCCCCGCCAATTTATTTTTCTGTCCCCAGTTATGCTCAGCGCTATTGTCTGTCCCCACGCTCCAGAGAGCAGCATGTGATAGCTTAGTTGGACTAATTAACACGAAGCTCCACATTCAAATAACATGAGTCCTCTCCCATTATCATTATTATTATTATTTATTGTAGCAAAGTATACATAATAGTTATCATTTCATTGTTAATATATATGACTATTTAGCATTATCAATTTCTCATTTAGTCATTTGTAAGTGTGCAATTCAGTGGTATTAAATACATTCACAATACATTCGTGTAAACGTCACCACTATTTCCAAAACTTTTTTGTCATTCCCAATGTAAACTCTCTACCCGTTATACAAATAACACCACATTCCTTCCCCCTCCTCCCATCCCCTGGTGACCTCGATTCTATTCTCTGTTTCTATGAATTTGCTTATTCTAGGTACCTCAGATCAGTGGAATCACACATTTGTCCTTCCATGTCTGGCTACTTTCACTTAGCCCAGTGTTTTCAAGGTCCATCTACACTGCAGCACATATCAATATTTTATTCCCTTTTCATGGCTGAATACCATGCCATTGTGCATGGCCACTGAATGCTCTTGTAAACATGGGTATGCAAATATCCAAGGTAATGCTTTCACTTTTTACGGCTATACCGTATAACTAGAAGTGTTGGGATTTATAGGGTTAAGCCACTGTGCCTGTCCTTAATTTACTTTGGATATATACCCGGTAGTGGGAATTGATGGATCCTATGGTAGTTTTTTTTTTTTTTTTTTTTTTTGAGACTGAGTCTTGCTCTGTCACCCAGGCTGGAGTGCAGTGGTGCGATCTCGGCTCTCTGCAACCTCTGCCTTCCGAGTTCAAATGGTTCTCCTACCTCAGCCTCCCGAGTAGGTGGGACTACAGGTGCATGCCACCACGCCTGGCTAATTTTTATATTTTCAGTACAGATGGGCATTTCACCGTGTTGGTCAGGCTGGTCTGAAACTCCTGCCTTGGCCTCCCAAAGTGCTGAGATTACAGACCTGAGCCACCGTGCCCCGCCCGTATTTTTTATTTTTTGAAGAACCTTCACGCTGTTTTTCAGAATGGCTGCAGGAATTTACATTCCCACCAACAACATTTAAGTGTTTTCTTTTCTTTACATCCTTGCCAACACTTGTTATCTTTTGACCTTTTGGTGATAGCCATCTAACAGGTGTGAGATGATATCTCATTGTGGTTTTGACTAGCATTTCCCCGATGTTTAGTAATGTTGAGCACCTTTTCATAAACCCCTTAACCATTTGTATATCTTTTTTGGAAAAATGTCTATTCAGGTCCTTTGCCCATTTTTCAATTGGGTTATGTGTTTTTTTTTTTTTTTTGCTATTGAGTTGCATGAATTCTTTATATATTTTAGATATTTAATCCTTATCATACACCATAAATACCCCTACTCTGTACTCACAAAAATTAAATTAAGTATATTTAAAAAAGATATTAAAACTAAAGAAAAAACACTTATCAGATATATGGCTTGCAAATATTTTCTCCATTCTGTAGGTTGCTTTTTCATTTTGTTGATTATTTCCTTGGCCGCTCTGAAGTGTTTTAGTTTGTGGAAAATCCCCTTGTCTATTTTTGCTTTTGCTGCCTGCGCTTTTGGTGTCATATCAAAAAAACTTTGCCAAGACCAATGACATGGAGCTTTTCTCTTCTTTTCTTCTAGAATTTTACAGTTTTGGATCTTACCTTTAACTCTTTAATCTATTTTGAGTTAATTTCTGTGTATTGTGTAAGATAAAGATCCAATTTCATTCTTGTTGCATATGGATATTTCATTTTTCCAACATGATTTATTGAAGATACCATCATTTTCTCGTTGTGTATTCTTGGTGCCTTTGCTGAAGGCTAGTTGACCATGTATATATGGGTGTATTTCTGAACTTTCTATTGGGTTCCATTGGTCTATGGGCCTGTTTTATTTATTTATTTATTTATTTTTTTGAGACGGAATCTCACTCTGTTGTCTAGGCTGGAGGGCAATGGAGTAATCTTGACTCACTGCAACCTCCGCCTCCCAGGTTCAAGCGATTCTCGTGCCTCAGCCTTCCAAGTAGCTAGGATTACAGGTGCCCACCACCATGCTCGGCTAATTTTTGTATTTTTAGTAGAGATGTGGTTTCATCATGTTGGCCAGGCTGGTCTCGAAATTCAGACCTCAGGTGATCCACCTGCCTCAGCCTTCCAAAGTGCTGGGATTACAGGCATGAGCCACCATGCCCGGCCTATGTGTCTGTTTTTTATACAAGTACTATACTGTTTTAATTACAATATCTTTGTAATATACTTTGAAATCAGGAAGTGTGATGCCTCCATCTTCATTCTTCTTTCTCAAGATTGCCTAAGCTATTTGGGGTCTTTTTTGGCTCCACACAAATTTTAGGATTTTAAAAAAATTTCTGTGAAATACATCATTGAAATTTTCATAGGGATTGCCTGAATCTGCAGATCACTTTGTATAGCATGAGCATTTTAATGGTATTAATTATTCTGTTTGTGTCTTCTACAATTTCTTTCATCTGTGTTTTATAGTTCTTATTGTACAAATCTTTTACCTCCTTCGTTAAACTTATTCTTAAGTATTTTATTCTTTTTGATGCCAGTGTAAATGGGAATGTTTTCTTAATTTCATTTTCAAGCTGTTTGTTGTTAGTATATATTATAGAAATGCAACTAATTTTTTATTTTTATTTTTTCTTTTTCAAACTTTATTTTAGATTTGGTGGTGGGGGGTAGATGTGCAAGTTTGTTACAAAGGTCTATTGTGTGATGCTGAGGTTTGCAGTACGATTGTATCTGTCATCTAGGTAGTGAGCTTAGTACCCAATAGGTGGTTTTTTAACCCTGGCCCTCCTCCCTCCCCTCTCTTTAGTCCCGAGTGTCTACTGTTCCCATCTTTATGTCCAAGTGTGTCCAATGTTCAGCTCCCACTTATAAGTGAGAACATGTAGCATTTGGTTTTCTGTTTCTGCATTAGTTTGCTTAGGATAATGATCTCCAGCTGACCATGTGGAGAATCATTTCTTATTGCTGTGTAGTATTCCATGGTGTATGTGTACTACAGTTTCTTTATCCAGTCCACCACTGATGGGCACCTGGGTTGATTCCATGGCTTTGCTATTGTAAATAGTGCTGCAGTGAACATATGGGTGCATGTGTCTTTTTGGTAGAATGATTTATTTTCCTCTGGGTGTATACCCAGTAATGGGATTGCTGGGTTGAATGATAATTCTGTTTTTAGTGTTTTGAGAAGTCTCCAAACCACTTTCCAGAGTGGCTGAAGTAATTTACACTCCCAAGAACAATGTGTAAGCCTTCTCTTTTCTCTGCAGCCCTGGCCAACATCTCTTATTTTTCTTTTTTGAATAATAGCCATTCTGACTGGTGTGAGATGGTATCTCATTGTGGTTTTAATTTGCATTTCTCTGATGATTAGTGATGATGAACATTTTTTCATGTGTTTGTTGGCTACTTGTATGTCTTTTTTTGAGAAGTGTCTGTTCATGTCCTTTGCCCACTCTTTAATAGGATTATGATTATGTAAAAAAATATTTATTTGAGACAGTGTCTTGCTCTTCACCCAGGCTGCCGTGCAGTGGCACAATCTCAGCTCACTGCAGCCTCGACTTCCCAGGCTCCAGCCATCCTCCTGCTTCAGCCTCCTGAGTAGCTGGGACCACAGGCGCATAATGTCATCTTTGTCATTTCTGATTGTGCTCATTTGAATCTTCTGTTTTTCTTTGTTAATCTAGCTAGCAGTCTATCTATCTTGTGTATCCTTTCAAAGAACCAATTTTTTGTTTTATCAGTCCTTTGTATACATTTTTGGATCTCAATTTTGTTTGATTTTGCCCTGATTTTAGTTATTTCTTTTCTTCGCCAGTTTTGGCGTTTTGTTCTTGTTCTTCTAGTTCCTCTAGGTGCAATGTGAAATTGTTAATGTGAGCTCTTTTTAAATTCTTAATGTAGGTGTTTAGCATAATAAACTTTCTTCTTAATGCTGCTTTTGCTATATTCCAAAGATTTTGGTATGTTGTGTCTCTGTTTTCATTAATTTCAAATACTTTTTTGATTTCTGCCTTAGTTTTGTTGTTTACTCAAAAGTCATTCAAAAGCAAGTTGTTTAATTGCCATGTAATTGTGTAGTTTTGAGATATCTTCTTGGTATTGATTTATATTTTTATTTCACTGTGATCTGAGAGTCTACTTGGTATGGTTTTGATTTTTTTGAATTTATTGAGACTGACTTTATGGCCAAACGTGGTTAATCTTTTTTTGTTTTGTTTTGTTTTGTTTTGTTTTGTTTGAAATGAAGTCTCACTCTGTTGTCCAAGCTGGAGTGCAGTGGCATGATCTTGGCTCACTGCAACCTCCACCTCCCGGGTTCAAGCGATTCTCCTGCCTCAGCCTCCTGACTGGCTGGGACTACAGGCATGCACTGCCATGCCTGGCTAATTTTTGTATTTTTAGTAGAGATGGGGTTTTACTATGTTGTCCAGGCTGGTCTTGAACTCTTGACCTTGTGATCTACCTGCCTTGGCCTCCCAAAGTGCTGGGATTACAGGTATGAGCCACTGTGCCCGGCCATGGTTAATCTTAGAGTATGTTCCCTGTGCAGATTGAAAGAATGTATACTCTGGTTGCTGGGTAGTGTATCCTGTAGAAGTCTGTTAGGTCCAATTGGTAAAGTGTCAAATTTAAGTCTAGAATTTCTTTGTTAGTTTTCTGTCTTGATGATATGTTTAAAGTTGTCAGTGGGGTGTTTAAGTACTTCACTGTTATTATGTGGCTGTCTACATCTTTTTGTAGGCTAGAAGTACTTGTTTTATGAATGCTGGTGCTCCAGTGTTGGGTGCATGTATATTTAGGACAATTAAGTCTTGTTGAATTAAACCCTTTATCATTATGTAATGCCCTTCTTTGTTCTTTTTTACTGTTGTTAGTTTAAAGTCTGTTTTATCTGATGTGTGATAGCAACTCTTGCTTTTTTGTTTTCTGTTTGCATGATAGATCTTTCTCCATCCCTTTACTTTTAACCCATGACTGTTGTTGCATGTAACATGGGTCTCATGGAAACAGCAGACAGTTGGGTCTTTTTTTCAATCCAATTTGCCACTCGGTGACTTCTTTCTTTTCTTTTTTTCTTTTCTTTTTTTTTTTGAGACAGAGTTTCGCTCTTGTTGCCCAGGCTGGAGTGCAGTGGCGCGATCTTGGCTCACTGCAACCTCTGCCTCCTGGGTTCAAGTGATTCTCCTGCCTTAGCCTCCCTAGTAGCTGGGATTACAGGCAGCTGCCACCATGCCCGGCTAATTTCTGTATTTTTAGTAGAGATGAGGTTTTGCCATGTTGACCAGGCTGGTCTCGAACTCCTAACCTCAGGTGATCTGCCTGTCTTGGCCTCCCAAAGTACTGTGTTTACAGGTGTGAGTCACCATGCCTGGCCCACTCTGTGACTTTTAAGGGGGGATATTTAGACTGTTTACATCCAAGGTTAATATTGACATGTGAGATTTTGTTCCTGTCATGATGTTGTTAGCTGGTTGCTTTGTAGTCTTGATTGTGTAGTTGTTTTACAAGGCCTGTGGCCTAAGAATGTAAGGGTGTTTTTGTAGTAGGAGGTATTGTTCTTTCATTTCCGTGTTTAAAACTCCCTTAAGGATCTTTTGTAAGCTTGGTTTAGTGGTAATGAATTCCCTTAGCATTTACTTGTCTGCAAAGGATTTTATTTCTCCTTTGCTTATGAAGCTTAGTTTGATGGGATATGAAATTCTTGGTTGGAATTTCTTTTCTTTAAGAATGCTGAAAATAGGTCCCCACTCTTCTGGCTTGGAAGGTTTCTGCTGAGAAGCCTGCTGTTAGACTGATGGGGTTCCCTTTGTACATGATCTGACCCTTTCCTCTAGCTGCCTTTAAGATTGTCATTGTTGCATTGACTTTGGCTATGTGTCTTGGGTATGGTTGTCTTGTATAGTATCTTGCAGGGGTTCTCTGAATTTCTTGAATTTGCATGTTGACCTCTCTAGTGAGATTGGAGAACTTCTCATGAATAGTATCCTCAAATATGTTTTCCAAGTTGCTTACTCTTTCTTCTTTTCTCTCAGGAATGCCAGTGAGTTATAGGTTTGGTCTTTTTATATAATCCCATATTTCTCAGAAGTTTTGTTTAATAAAAATTTTTTTTTCTTTATTTTTTCTGACTGGGTTGATTCAAAGGGTCAGTCTTCAAGCTCTGAAATTCCTTCCTCAGCTTGGTCTAGTCTGTTGTTAAGGCTCCCAATTGTATTTTGAAATTCCTGTAGTAAATTTTTCAATTCTACAAGTTCAGTTTGATTCTTTCTTAAAATAACTGTTATTTTTCAATTCTTGGATTGTTTTACTGGCTTACTTGGATTGGGTTTCCACTTTCTCTTGAATCTTCCTTGTCATCCAGATTCTGAACTCTATCTATATCTGTCATTTCAGACATTTCAATCCATTGCTGGGGAGCTAGTGTAAACCTCTGGAGGCAAGGAAATACTCTGACTTTATGAATTGCCAGAGTTCTTGTGCTGATTCTTTCTCATTGGAGAAGGCTGGTGTTTCTTTATCTTTTTGAAGTTGCTGTCATCTGCATAGGGCTTTTTGTTTATATATTCTGTTTTTCCCGTGAGGGTTGACTGTGGTGTATATTGTGTATAGTTGATTGACTTTGTTTCTGGGTGCTTCCATGGGGCCAAAGCTCTGTACTTGTTTCTTAGTTGTGGCTAATTTCCTGTATTTTGTTTCACAGGCGATGTGTGTTGAAGGAATTTATTTTTGTTTGGTGGTGTAATTCAGGCTGTGATCCAGTCAATGGTGCTTAAGAGTAAGGGCCAGCAGACAGGTCTTACTCAGCTATGTGCTTTTTTTTGTATTTCAGTGTGTTTGCTGCAGTGCTCTGGGGAAGGGGAGTTGGGGGGATGAGAAATGACCCTCTCACCAAGTTTATTTCTGGGCCTTGGCTCCAAGGCCCAGGAGGGCTGTACTTCCCCCTTAGGGGTGGTCCAAGCTAAAGGTTAGGTCACCGGGAGACCTGGAAACTTCCTGGGGGCCTGCTGGTTCTCTGTGCTTGGCAGAGTCAGGGCAGGTTGTAGGTATGTCTGTGGGTGGTCTGTTGATGCAGTGGGTCAGGGCGGAGGATTCCCTGGCAGGGTGGTTGTGCTGTGTGTGGGCAGCTGGTTGGCGCCTGTGGCCTGGGGTTTTTACCCAGCAGACTGTTGTGGGACTGTGCAGCTCATGCTCCCCCAGATGGATCACCCACCACTGTCTGCCCCTGGGGCAGGCCTGACCAGCTAGTTTTACCCTTAGCCTTTTGTGCTCAGATCACTGGGTTATTAGGTGTTCTGGGCCATGGGGCTCCCTTGGGCAGAGGCTGCGGCTGACCTACACCCTACCTGGATGGGTCTTGTGAGGGATACATGCCAAGCTCCTGCACTGGTGCACGAACCTGTGCCTTCCTCTTCTCAGTGTCTGAGAGTGGGGGCTCCTCTACCACTCGAGCTCAGGCTACAGATCCCAGCTCAATACCCCTGAGCAGTGTACTCAAACCCTGGGCAACTGGGGCCAGGACCGTGGCTTTGTCCTCTAGTTCCTCTAGGTTGAGCACCGGCTGAGCTGGGGGCTGAACTGCTCCCAGGCCACCAGCCAAACACTCGGGCAGGGCAGTGGAGGCTGTGTTGTGTGCATACTCTTGTGGGAGCAGTGAGGCAGCGGCCCCGGGAGGGGCCAGTATACAAAGGGGCATGTAGATCAGATGCACTTCAGTCCTGCGGAAAAGGCCCTGCTCTCTCCCAGGCTGGTGGTCCTCAGGGTCTACCGTCATTCAGAGCAAGATTGAGAGCCTTGGGGGATAGGTGCCTATGGTTGTGTATCGCTGCAGCTGCCCCACAAGCAAAACCTTCTGGACTCCACAGAGGTTCCAACTCTGCCTCTGCCTACTCTTCAGACAGTTCCTCCTGCCAGTTCAAATGTCTGTGGGGGTCGCTGTGTTCTCCTGTGGCTAGGATCCCAGAGGCCTGCAACAGGAAAATGGTGCCCCACAGTTCCTTTCTTAGGTCCTGTTCAGGACTAGGATCTGGTCCTGATACTCGACAATCCCATGCAGGCTTCCCAGCTTCCTCCCTCTTCAGCCTCGATGTCTGTGTTGCCTCTCTATCCACTTTCAGTATTTTCTCTCAGAAAATCAATCCAAGATGTGATGGTTTACATGATATCTTGGTTTCTGTCAGTGGGAGAAATGTTTCCTGGCTGCATCTAGTTGGCTGTCTTGTCCTCACTCCCACAATGAACTTTTAATGTTGATTTTGTATCCTGCGATTTTATGAAATTCGTTTATTAGTTCTAACAGTTTTTTGATGGTGTTTTTAGGGTTTTCTATATGTAAGATCATGTCATTTACAAACAGACAATTTTTCTTCTTCCCAAGCCTGGTTCTTAAACGGATCCTATTTTTTCCTGTTTCTTTTTATTTCCTCCCAACCCTTTGCTTCTCACATAATCAACTCTGAAGATTTTTAAAGTTAGGATCTACAAGTTAACAAATATCTTGACTCAAGTTGGCCTAAATAATGAGAATATGTTCACCCTGAGGTTGGTGGTTCCTCTCGTGGTCATAAGATGACTGCTGGCAGCAGCTCAGAGACAGGGCCTTGTTTAGAGCCGCAGGGTGAGGAAGACTGGCTGGTTTTGCACAGAAGCTCCAGGAAAACTCCTTGCATGTCATCAGTGCAAACTGGCTTAGTCCTGACCATCCATGAGCGAGTGACCAGGGAGGAAGACAGATGACCACAACTGGCTTGGAGCAGTCATCTGAGGCAGAGGGGATTTGCAGAGTCAACCAGAGTGTCCTCTCTCTTTAAGCCAAGTGCTCTGTCATAGGTCTTTTACTCGCCTTACCACTTAGGTTTGTGTTTATTCTGAATCTTAACCAAGAATCTGATATGTTCCCCATAGTGTAAAGATCCTCATTCCTTTTTTTTGAGATGGAGTCTTGCTCTTGTCACTGACTGGAGTGTAATGACATGATCTCGGCTCACTGCAACTTCCGCCTCCCAGGTTCAAGTGATTCTCCTGCCTCAGCCTCCTGAGTAGCTGGGATTACAGGTGCACACCACCACACCTGGCTAATTTTTGTATTTTTAGTAGAGATGGGGTTTCACCATGTTGGCCAGGCTGATCTTGAACTCCTGACCTCAAGTGATCCTCCCACCTCGGCCTCCCAAAGTGCTGGGATTATAGGCATGAGCCACTGTGCCTGGCCTGGAATGATTTTTTTGAAAGACTCCAGGAAGGAGTACTATTGACTAGGGCATGGGGTTTAGAATCAAAGGGTTATTTCTGAACCACAAGAGTTCTAATCCTCCCAACAGCCATCTGAGGAACACCAAAGTGCTTTGTTCTTTCAAGGGAGTCAGAGAAGTCAGCACATTTGGGCCACTCTCTTGCTTAGGTTAACTTGCCCCATAATGGTTGGGAGCAAAAGAGAGCAGCACTCTGGAGAGATGGTTCTGCTGGGAGGGAGCACATCCTGCTTCAGTGAGACGTGTGACACACAAGTGACAAGTCAGAGCCAGAGAGAGAGGGTGGGGGAGGGAGAGAGAGGGAGAGGGAGGGAGAAGGCAGAGAGAGGGAGAGACCCACGCATGTGCAGGACCTGCATGTGCCTGTCCACCGGTGAAGATGTCCTCATTGGCGTGCTGGGATGTGTACCCAATTTGTGGGGAGAGAAACGCAAGAACGCAAGCCAGGGGTGGGGGGTGCAGGAGAAGAAGGATAGAAGCCTCGTTGACCCACATTTTTCATTATTTGGGCACAGAACCCTTATGTCCTGGGATTCCTCTTAAACAGTCAGCCAGGCGCAGTGTCTCACACCCGTAATCCCAGCACTTTGGGAGGCTGAGGTGGGTGGATTGCCTGAGGTTAGGAGTTTGAGACCAGTCTGGCCAACATGGTGAAACCCCATCTCTACTAAAAATACAAGAAAAATTAGCCAGATGTGGTGGCGTGTGACTGTAGTCCCAGCTACTCGGGAGGCTGAGGCAGGGGAATTGCTTGAACCAGAGAGGTAGAGGTTGCAGTTAGCCAAGATCATGCCACTGCACTACAGCCTGGGTGACAGAGCGAGACTCTGTATCAAAAACAAAACAAAACATAACAAACAAACCAAAAAACAGTCAGAAGTCAGATTCAGTGGAACATGATTTGGAAAGCATCATTCTGGATCACGGTACCCCTGGGGCCCCTGAATCCTCACCTGCTTTTGGGCTCTGCTCACCTTAAGCCCTAGATTCTAGCATCCCTGGGGCTCCCAGCTGCCTCCCTGTCTCTGCCCCACAGTTCGGCTCAGAGTTCTGGTCCCTGGTTTTAGTTCATGTCCTACTTTCATTCTCTCTTTGCTCCAATTTATCTTTAACTTTGTACTGATACATTTCAGTATTTTAAAAAGTCACTTCAAATCTTTCTTGAATAATATCAGAGTATGAGTGAAAAAAATCACTGTGTACAAACATAAATGTAGCTGGATCTTCATCTCACCCCTTAAGACCTAGATAATCTTGGTTCTCATCCTCTTGGCCCATCCCATGAGAATCATTTCTGAGCTCCACTGCCTGGACATCTCTAGGTCATTGATTTTGTTAGGTACATTTTCTACTTCCCCATGACTGCAGGTGAGAGTTTTACAGAACTTTTACTACTATATAACAAGGGTCTCCTTCCTCCAGATTCCACTAGTGTTTCTCTCGCTTTCTCATACACTGCACTGACATCTTCTGGAACACCTTTAGGCTTCCATCCACTGCTCTGTCCCACAGCCAAATGCCCCATGTTTTATGTTTTTGTTATAACTGCATCCTACTTCAAAATCTGTTCTAGTTATACTACTGTGAAAAAAAAAACTACCCTAAAGCAGTGATTTAAAACAATAAAAGTCTTATTTTATTTCGTGATACACCTGCAGTTTGGACAGAGCTCAGTGGAGATGGTGTGTGTCTGCTCTAGATGGGTATCTCCTGGCAGCTCGACCAGGGCTGCAGCATCAACTTCCAATATGGCGCACCACATGGCTGGCTGGCTGGCTGGGGCCCTCCTGTGGTTTAAGACCTGGTCTTAATATCAGCATAGCATTGCTTCTGCCATATTCAAACATTCTGTTGGTCAAGCAGTCACATATCCCAGATTAAAGGAAAGGGGACACAGACTCCACCTGTCAATGGGAGGAGTGTCAAATTCTGGGGATATTTTTTAAAAGCCTTATATCTGTACTATCTTTAAAAGCTTGGCTATTTTTACCAACTTGGCTCCTGCCTCTGGCCCCAGTGGTCCAGAGGTTTCTCTTTTTCCTCCCTGCCTGCTTTCCAGAAATTTCTAAGGGCATTCCCCTGACTTTATGATGTAGAGCATTTCAGCTTCCTCCAACCTATATCCAAATGCTTGGGGTCTAACTTGTCCAGTCAAGGTCACAATGTGCCCCACCAACTCATAGGCCTGAGAAAGGCTTGGAAGTTTCTGTCTTTCCCTTTTTTTTTTTTTTCCCATGGCCATGTCTGCAAGGGGAGGAGGCAAACAGAGTTTTACTTCTCTCTAACATCAACTATGTTACTTCACCTAGAAACAACTTCAGTCAGCTTTGGTCAAATAGAGTTTTCTGCCCTCTTTCCTTTGCATAAACACATGATCCCCTGACTTCCATGGACTTCTTGGAGTTGGCCTCCTGTTCCTCCTCCTTGGCCTGTACCCTCTTCTGGTCCTCCAGTCATGATTCTGTAAGTCCTTCTTAATTCCCGGCTACCATATTTTCACAAGAGTTGAGAAACCCCACTATCTGTGGCCTAGTTTTCACAAATACAGAGGCATTCAGAAATATTAATACTTTCACTTCCCTTTTCTACTTTCTGGGTGAGTCAGTTCAGACTTTTTGTTCTGGTCCCTGGGAGCCATGTTGGAAAGCCCACATTGGGCCTGAGAGTTCATAGATGTTGACGGATGGTGTGTCAGCCCCCATGGGGCTCTGCAGCCTAGAAAGTAGCAGGACCAGGAAGTCAGCAGGTGGAGGTGGCAAGTGAACAGAGGATGCGTCTTTTTCTCCCTTCCTTTGTCATCTTTCTCCATGTGGGTTTTTATATTTATTTACTTATACTTAGTTTTATTCCAAAACTTCTTTGAACTGGGTCATAAAGCCAACTGCATATTGTAAAGTAGAAGAAACTAAGCTCTGAGAAATCAGGTAAAAAGTGGCAAGTGATAGCTGGTGATGGAACGCTACCTATCCTGGCTTACCCTTTTGCAAATGTTACCTGGGTGAGACAAAGACATTTGAACCCTGAGGTTTCTTGTATTGGTTTTGCTTTGTTTTTCTTGGTATAGACCTAGGAGTGTAATTGCCCGGTCATAGGGTGGCTTTAGTAGACACTGCCAGTTTTCCAAAGTGGGTGTCCTAATTGTCACTCCACTAGCCACGTATGAGTGTTTCAAACAGCATATTCTTCTCAACATTTGATGCTAGGTTTTTTTTTTTTTTGTAGATCTTAGCCATTTTGGTGAATAGATAGTGGTATCTTGGCATAGTGGTATCTCATTGAGCTTTTACTTTGCATTTCCGTGAAAAACAATGCTTTTGAGCACTTTTTGATATGTTTATTGGTCATTTGAGTATTTTGTTATGAAATGCCTGTTATTTTGCCTATTTTTTTAAAAAAAATTGGGATTTTTGTGTTCTAATTACTAGACATTCTTCCTACATGTTCTACATAGAAGTCTTCTGTTGGATATGTGTTGTGAATATCTTCACATATTCTGTGGCTTTTTTTCACTCTCTTAATAGTGTCTTTTGATGAACAAAAGTTCTTAGTTTTAAGTAAGTCTAATTTGTCAGTGGTTTCTTTCATAGTTAGTGTTTTGGGATCTTTTGCAAGAAATCTTTGCCTACCTTAAGCCAAGAAGATATTATACTACCTGCTCTAGAAGCTTTACTATTTTATCTTTCATATTTAGGTCTATGATTCATTTGAAATAAATTTTTGTGTATGGTATGAGGTAGGGTGTTCAATTGCTCCAACAATACCATTTCATGAAGTGACCATCGTTTTCCCCACTGAAATGTGGCGGTGTCTTTGTTGTAAATTTGGTGACCTTATGTGTGTGTTTCTCTTTCTTGTAGTCTCTGTTGATTTATATGTTTATCTTTATGCCCATATCATGTTGTCTTAGTTATTGTAACTTTATATGAAGTTAAAACATTGTGATTCTTTTTCAAGACTCTTTTGGCTAACTTTGGTCTTTTGCATTTTCATTTATATTTTAAAATCAATTTGTCAATTTCCACAAACAATTCCACTTGAATTTTATTAAAATTATATTGAATCTATGAATCAGTTGGGGATAACTTACATATTAATATTTAGTCTTCAATCCACAAATATACCTTTCCATTTATTTTGGCTTTCTTTAATTTCTCTCAGCAAAAGTTCTATGATTTTCAGTGTAGTGTTCTGGAACATCTTTTGTTAGATTTACCTTTATTGTTAGTGGTTTTGATGCTTTTGAAAAGGATATTGTTTTTCTATTTTTATTTAAACTTATAATTTGCTAGTATACAAAAATACAATTGATTTTTGCATATTAACCTTGAATCCAGATACTTTACTGAAGTTACTAATTAATTCTAATAGTTCATTTCTTTAGATTTTCCAAGTATATAGTCATCTGCAAATAATGGTAGTTACATTTCCTCCCTTTTGGGTTTATTCTTTTCATTTCTTTTTATCACCTGATTGCATTATCTAGGATTTCTAGTAAGTGTTAAATGGAAATGGTGACAGTAGACATTTTTGTCTTGTTCTCAAATTGAGTGGGGAAGTATTTAGTATTTCACATTTAAGTATAGTGTTAGCCATAGGGTTTTGTTTGTTTATATACTTCATTATATTAAAAAAGTTACTTTCTATTCTTAGTTTTCTGAGAGTTAAAAATCATGAACAGATATTTTATTATATTTTAGCTTTTTCTGGATCTATTGAAATTATCATATATTTTTCCCCTTTATTTTGTCAATCTGGTGATATACATTTCCTGATTTTTTTTTTTTTTTTTTTTGAGACGAGAGTCTTGCTCTGTTGCCCAGGTTGGAGTGCAATGGCACAATCTTGGCTCACTGCAACCTCCACCTCCTAGGTTCAAGCAATTCTCCTGCCTCAGCCTCCTGAGTAGCTGGGATTACAGGCACGCACCACCATGTCTGGCTAATTTTTGTATTTTTAGTAGAGACAGGGTTTCATCATGTTGGCCAGGCTGGTCTCGAACTCCTGACCTCGTGACCTGCCTCAGCCTCCCAAAGTGCTGGGATTACAGGTGTGAGCCACGGCACCCGGCCTCCTGATTTTTTTTTAATGGAGTGTTTTACAAATTTATGTGTTATCCTAGTGCAGGGGCCATGCTAATCTTCTCTGTATTGTTCCGATTTTAGTGTATGTGTTGCCGAAACAAGCATGATTTCCTGATTTTTAAATGTTAAAGAATTCTTGCATTCCTGGAATAAGTCTCACTTAGTCATGATGTATTATTCTTTTTACCTATTGCTGGATTTGACTTGCTAATGTTTTGTTGCAGTTTTCCCATCTCTGTCCACGAGAGATAGTAACCTCTACTTTTCATTTTTGTAATGCTTTTGTCAGGTTGTATATCAGAATTATGCTATCCTTCTCTAGTGAGTTAGAGTGTGTTCCTTTTTTCTTTCTTCACTGGAAGAGTTTGTGTAAGATTGGTTATTTTCTTTCTTAAATGTATGTTTTGAAGAACTTGCAAGTGAAGTCATCTGGGCCTGGAATGTTTTGGCTAGGAAAGGCATCTGGGAATCTTGATGTTTACTTTCTCTTTGTATTTTTTTTTCCTTAAGATGTTTGCAGTGGTCCAGAAGAAGGAGATTTCCTGTGAGATCTTTTCCAATCACTTCAAGGAGAATAAGGTGGAGATAGCAAATGCAATAACAAAGCCATTTCCTTTTCTTGAAAGCCTCAGAGACAATTCCTTTATCACTGAAAAAATGTATACTATAAGTGAAGTTTATTACGTCACCCACTGTAGTCCGGCCCCCACATTAATTTATATTTGGCATCCTGGATTCAAAGTTTAGTATATTGCTAACTGCCTGATAGGCCTTTTATGCCTTTTGTGGGAAGACCCTTTTCTGTTGGTTAATTATTGTATAAGGTAGAAGGTAATGGGGTAAACAGATGTCATTAAAGATGACACTTCTATTTCTTTTTCTTTTTTTTTTAGAGACAGCATCTCACTCGGTGGCCCAGGATGGAGTAAATTGGCACAATTATGGCTCACTGCAGCCTAGGTCTCCTGGGTACAAGCAAACCTCTCACCTCAGCCTCCCGGGTAGCTGGGAGATTACAGGTGCATGCCACCACATCTTTCTAATTTTTTTTTTTTTTTTGGTAGAGATGGGGTCTTGCTATGTTACTCAGGCTGGTCTCAAACTCCTAGCCTCAAGTGAACCTCCTACTTCAGCCTCCCAAAGTGTTGAGATTACAGGCGTGAGCCACCTTGCCTGGACAAGACACTCTATTTCTAACTGAAGCCCTGTTCTTTTTTTTTTTTTTTTTTTTTTTTTGAGACAGAGTCTTGCTCTGTCACCCAGGCTGGAGTGCAGTGGCACAATCTCAGCTCACTGCAATCTCTGCCTCCAGGGTTCAAGCAATTCTCCTGTCTCAGTCTCCCGAGTAGCTGGGACTACAGGCGCCCACCACCACGCCTGGCTAATTTTTGTATTTTTAGTAGTGACAGGGTTTCACCATATTGGTCAGGCCAGTGTTGAACTCCTGACCTCAGGTGATCCACCCGCCTTGGCCTCCCAAAGTGCTGGGATTACAGGCGTAAGCCACTGTGCCTGGCCACTCTGTTCTTTTGTAGCAAGTATTGGGGTGGGAGTGGATGGTAATGGTGACATGTCTGGAGTGAAATTGAAACGGATGTGCTCTACAAATATGTAGTGATTTATACAATATACAAGAATAAAACAAAATTAAGATAGCTAAGATGATGGAAGCAGTATTTCTTTGTAATGTCTATTTATGTCAGATGAAACCTCCAGAGAATTGTGCCATTATAATTGTTATCAAACAAATTTCTGCCTTGCTATTGTCTTGTCTAAAGTGTTTAAATTTTCTTGGGTAGTTCTGGAGCCTTGGAATTCAGGTGTTTTGAACAGTGCCCTGAGGTACAGAGAAGGAAGCCATGTCTTCAGTGTGTGATTGTACTCTTCCTGTTGTGTTCTTTATGGCAAGGGAAGAACCATCTCCCTATCTCTGGGAGCCTGTTCAGGACTTCTCATACCACAGGGGGAAGGTGGGGAGTGTGGGGGCAGTGACTGCTGCGCAGACAACAAAATCACCATAAGATTTATTCCCACGGCATCCTGGGCAGGATGAGAGCTCAAAAGACAAGAGGAAGGGTTGACTTGTTTTTCTAACGCAGTGGATCAAATATTTAAGGAGTTCTAGAATATTACATGAAAAATAGTAGCCTACACTGAGAACAATGGAAGTATTCTATGCAATTACATTGTCAATCTTTTTTTAACTTTAAAGCTATTATTTTGTATACTTTTACCATTGAATTTTTTAACAGTATTCTCAAGAAGCCCGTATAAACTCGATTCCTATACAGAGAGTTGTGTATCAGGTTCTCTGCCACCTGGAGAAGGTGTTTGATTGTTCAGTTCTGTCAGTCCTGTTCAGCAGGATTAACCTGAAGGAGTATCCCGATTTAATTGAGATTCATAAAAGCTTCAAAAAGGGTAATCAATTCTCTCCCCTGTCTTTTGGGGTCTAGGTCTGGTTTTCATTCTTTCACTTGGTCAGTCGCTCATTTAGCAAGTATTCATGAAATGCTCACATGCGGCCGGGCGCGGTGGCTCACACCTGTAATCCCAGCACTTTGGGAGGCCGAGGCGGGCGGATCACTTGAGGTCGGGAGCCTGACCAACATGGAGAAACTCCATCTCTACTAAAAATACAAAATTAGCCGGGCACGGTGGCACATGCCTGTAATCCCAGCTACTCGGGAGGCTGAGGCAGGAGAATCGCTTGAACCTGGGAGGCGGAGTTTGCAGTGAGCTGAGATCGCACCATTGCACTCCAGCCTGGGCAACAAAGAGTGAGACTCCTTTAAAAAAAAATAATAAAGAAATGCTTACATGTCCCAGGCCCTGTGCTAGGCGGTGTGAATATAACTAACCTGCGCCCTGGCCTCCTTTCGTTGGCAGTCTCTGAGGACCTTGGTCCAGGTGTCTCAGGACATTTCCCAGTGCTGCAATATTTGCTCCCTGATTGTAGACTTCAGAGAGTCCTCCCTTTGTTCCTTGGGTCTGGGCCACCCCTGGGGAAGTCTGTCTAGTTCCTCCACCATGTCCTCTCTCTTTGGGAGCCTCTCATCTTTCCAGACCCAATTTAGCCAAAACTCTGCTGTTTTCTAGCCCCACCTTTAAGGCTGTTGGGTTTCTCTTACCTAGAGGCATCTCTCTAGGATCTTAGCTCTTCTCCTCGGGAAATCCCTTTGTTTCTTCTGTAAGATTTGCACAGTTCACAGAGACATTCCACTTACAGAATTTGTATGGAGATAAGCTTTCACGCCTCTCTGATCATCTTGTTGGATGATTAATTATGGTTTACAATTTTTCTACTGCTCCATCATCCTTAAAACCTGAGAGGCTCATCATCTATAGGACTTCAGTGGTTTTGTGCTGTTATTTTCTTTCTTGGCTGCCTCAGAGGAAGAAACAAGCAACACCAAGTCACAAGCCACTGAGATTCAGAGTGACTGAAGGGCTAGGAGTTTCCCACTGAATTGTAAGAACACATGGTGCTTCGTTCATGTGGTCATGAGATGGAGTTCCTGGTCACTTGCTTGCAGGCCCTAATTAATTCTTTTCTTTGTTCAGTGCTCCCCTTTTCCCAGAAAAGGGATGGAAAAGAGACAACAAAAATGCCCAGCTTTCAACCAACCTGTAAACAAGGTAATAATGTCTGGACAAAAACTTTGTTTTCTGGTCTACTAAGAAGAAAAGGAGACAGGGAACCGAGGTCTGAGGGAAGACTGCACTGCTGGGGATGGTGGCAGAGCTGGTTGAGGGTCACTTTGTGTTGATTCCAAAGTGACCTGACTCCAGCTGGAATCCAAGAGCACTCTCAAGAGGTGGCAAAAACAGACTTTCCCCCCAGTAACCCGGAGGGTAGAATGAGGATCTGAGTGTGAATTACTAGTTTATAGGAGACCTTCAGTGAGAAGCGGTGAAGGGCTAAGAAGGATGTGCCTATGGCCAACAATGTCAAAGAAGATACTCTTGGTGATGCCAGAAGAAGGGGCCAATTTAAACGTGGACATGTTGTTCAGCAGCAGGAATATTCAAAGAGAAACTTAGTCATACAGAAAGACACAAAGAGGGAGTGACGCATATGCTGAGAAGAGGATGAGGGTATTTTGAGAGAGGGAGGAAGAAGGAGGGGAAATGAAAGACAGTCAAGGACAACAATAAAAATAACCGTATTATGAACAGCTCACTGTGATGGAATGCCTGCTCCGTGGCAGCTGTGGGTTTATTGCTCATGGCTGCCTTTGGAGATTAGTATTATTTATGTGCCCATTTTGCAGATTAGGAAACTGAAACCCAGAGGGACAATGTATGGGGTTGCGTAGGTCAGATGAGAAAAGATAAACCCAGAGCCTTTGTTGTTGTGTTTTTTGGGAGGGAAGGAGGTAAAATTCAGATGTTAACCATTTTAAAGTGTGGAATTCAGTGACACTTAGTATATTCACAATGTTGTACGACCTCCTGTCTCTAGTTTCAAAACGGGTTAATCATCCCAAATGGAAACCCTATGCCCATTAACCAATTATCTAATTTCCCTCTGCCCCTAATCCCTGGCAATCAGTAATCTACTTTCCGCCTCTACAAATTTGCCTACTCTGGACAGTTCATGAAAATGGAATCACACAATATGTGGCCTTCTGTGTCTGGGCTTCCTTCACTTAATAAGATGTTTCCAGGTTTTTGCCACGTGGTAACATGAATTAGTATCTCAAGTCCTTTTGATGGCTGAATAATATTCCATCATACATCTCTACCACATTTCGTTTATTCATTCATCAGTTAATGATGGGTTGTTTCTATCTTTCCGCTATTGTGACAGAAGTTACATTCTTCCTGTTACCCAGGGAATCTAATGGAAAAGATAGAAACAGAAACATGAAACAAAAATGGGGAAATACATGCAGAAAAAAAGATCCAGGGAAAAAAGAATACAAAGAGCTGGAAGAAGTGGAGGTGACCCAAACTCTGAGTCCTCATGGAAAGGCCAATGAGAAAGCATGAACAGATGTGGAGAGGGAGGGTGTTGTGTGAAAGGGGGTGGGCATGAGGCAACCAGGACTTCACAGGAACTGAGCTAAGGGCCCTGGGCAGGGTAGCTCTGGGAACAAAGGCAGTTCACTCTGCCATTGCCAGTTACCAGAATGTCTCATGGAGGACACTCAGCAGGGTTGTCTGGCCTAGGCCCTCTCAGCCAAGGGTGCAGTGACCCAGTCCCCCACTCTCAGGGCTGGAGTCTGACTTCAAGAATCAGGCGGGGCTGGGCGCGGTGGCTCACGTCTGTAATCCCAGCACTCTGGGAGGCTGAGGTGGGCAGATCGCTTGAGGCCAGGAGTTCAAGACCAGCCTGGCCGACATGGCGAAAACCCATCTCTACAAAAAAAAAAAATATAAAAATTATCCATGCTTGATGGCACGTGCCTGAAGTCCCAGCTACTTGGGAGGCTGAGGCATGAGAATCGCTTGAACCCAGGAGGTGGATGTTGCAGTGAGCTGAGATTGCGCCACTTCACCCCACCCTGGGTGACAGAGTGAGATTCTGTCTCAAAAAAAAAAAAAAAAAAAAAAAAGATCAGGCAGCATCTGCCAGCTCCAGATGGTGAAAACTCTCTCTCTCTCTCTCTCTCTATGTATGTATGTATGTATGTGTGTGTGTATATATATATATTTATTTATTTATTTATTTTTTTGAGACGGAGTCCCGCTGTCGCCCAGGCTGGAGTGCAGTGGCGCAATCTCGGCTCACTGCAGGCTCCGCCCCCCGGGGTTCACGCCATTCTCCTGCCTCAGCCTCCCGAGTAGCTGGGACTACTGGCGCCCGCCACCTTGCCTGGCTAATTTTTTGTATTTTTAGTAGAGACGGGGTTTCACCATGTTAGCCAGGATGGTCTTGATCTCCTGACCTCGTGATCCGCCCACCTCGGCCTCCCAAAGTGCTGGGATTACAGGTGTGAGCCACTGCGCCCGGCCTCTATATGTATTTTTTAAAGACAGAGCCTCCCTCTGTTGCCCAGGCTGGAGTGCAGTAGCACAGTCATAACTCACTGCAGCGGTGAACTCCTGGCCTGAAGCGATCCTCTCATCTCAGCCCCCCAGTAGCTGAGACCATAGGCATGTACCACCACGCCCAGCTAATTTTTAATTTTTTTGTAGAGATAGGGTCTCACTATATTGCCCAGGCTGGTCTTGAACTCCTGGGCTCAAACGATCCTCCTGCCTCAGCCTCCCAAAGTGCTGGGATTACAGGCTTGAGCCACTGCACCTGGCTGTGAAGACCCTTTTCAAAGCTTGACCTGGACATGCTCAGATTCCTCATCTTTTGTTGGTGTGTTCCTCTTGATTGTGCTGTGATCCTCTGCTGTTCTTGCGCCATTCTGGAACATGCTGGGGGTAAGGGAAGAGAGGGTTGCCTCTGTGTTTATGATTGCCCTGAATTTTTAGTGTTTGCATTTGCAGTGTCTCCAAGTTCAGGATTTAAATAATAAGTCCTTATCCTCCAGGTTGCCTGGGAGGACTTCTTCCTCTTACAACCCTTAAGCACGCTTGCTACTGGTTCCTGCTGGTGCTGAGCCTGCTCGTTTTACCCATGTGTCTGCTTCACAGTTTTTCTGCCTGCATCTACTTGAATCTGGCTGCTGCCTTGGTGCTTTGAGCTTACATCCAGTGATGGCCTGTGCTGTGGTGGCTGGAGGGAAATGATGGGCATGTTCCTTCTGTGGGATAGGCTTTCTTCCCTGTTGGGTCCTTCACATAGGACCATGGCACCACTGTGCCTCCCATACAAACCCTCACCCATCATTCCTGGGGCAGGCAGCTAGGAGCTACCTTTCAGGTGCCAGATGGGCCTCTTCAAAAACCCTTCAGTACTTTTGTGCCATAACTAGCTTCTGTTTCTAGATTCTCAGTCATCTTCTTGTTTCTATTTTTCCTAATGTCCCTCATCCTTAGACCATAATGTCCATAACAAATTTTATTTCTTTGTTCAGTGTTTTATGATCACTTTTTCTGAAATGACATAGAAGAAATATAAGAGAACCCTCAGAGCTGTGGAAGGTCATTCTGATGTCATTGACAATCGGGATACATGATCAAAAAGGATATTTGATTAATTTATTAATGCATTTAAATAAAAACTTTAGGTTTTGATTTATGATGTCACAGTGCCATATTTATGAAATCATAATGTCATCTAGGGGCCATCCATTCTGGAACCAGAACAGAAACCTCTGAGCCTGTCTAGGATGTGAAGTCAACATATATAAAGCCAGAATGTTCTATCCTTGGCCCAGGTGATGCTCTTGGAACACAGCAAGCAAACACATGCACCCAAGTAGGTAAGGCTGATGATGGCCAGGTGTTTGCATGGGTGACTAGTGGTAGGCGTCTGTAGCACACACAGAAGGGGGAAGGCAGTGCTGTGTCACATGCTCAGTATCTAAGGGGAGACCCCAAGGAGTCCTGAATGACAGTAGAAAGATAGACCAATGTCCACTGCAGGCAGACATTGACGTAATGGAAAGGTATGTCTTTTAGTTGCTGTGAGGAAGACAGAAAAAGACACGGAGACACAGAGAGAACAGGACTGGAGCCTGATATGTAGGTTGGAAGAGATGTAGAAGGAGAGAGTTGGGAAGGGAAAATGGAGAATGAGGAATGCATTCTCCTGCAGCATTGCTGGAGAGGAGAGAGACAGATGCACCGGAAGACAAGAGAGAAGCTGGCTAAGTCCATGATGCAGAAATGCCTTCCTAGGGCAGAAGCCTGGGGATTGGATCCTGGTGGAAGGCTGAGCAGGAGAGAGAGAGAGAACCAGGTCTGACAAGATGGGAAGAGGCAGAGCAGGGCTTGGCTGGATCTCAGCAGGGGTCCTCGGAGAGGAGCATCACTTCCCCAGGAGCATTTCACTTCTGCTCCCAACCGCAGCGCTCAGTGTGGTCACATCTCTGTCCTTTTCCCGGCCACTGGATCTGGTGTCTCATTTTATGTTCCCTCTTCAGTGCCTAGGGAACTCGAGGCTCTCCAAGTAAAAAAGGAGAGAGGGTCAGAAGAGATGCCCAGCAGACTGCCACATGGTAGACAAGGTACTGCAATTGAATCCTGCCCTTTAAGTGACCGATTACCTGATTATCTCATGGTGTGGAGGGAGGAAGGGCTTCTCTTCCTCCCCTCCCTCCCCGACAGGAGCCCAGCCTCTGGTTGCTTTCAAATTTGTGAAGGAAACAAGCAGGATGAGGCATGTGATGTGCGCGGGCTGCAACACTGTGAGAGGCACTCACTGGCAGGACCCCGAGAGTACATGCCCTAAGTCTTCCAGGCAGGAGAGAAAGGAGAGGCGAACGCCTCCCTGGAGCATGGCACCCTGGGTGGAGAAGCTGAGGAGCGCGAGTATAGAAGAGGTGGATGATTGGGCCATGGAATAGCAAGTTTTAGGAGGGAGCCCAGTTTTACCTAAGTGGACATGATGTCTAAGCTTTCCCAGGTTGGTGGAGGATTGACAAGGAAATAATGTTTGTCCTATTTGCTAGAAGTTGCCACAAGATCAGGCAAACAAGGTCTGTGACCATCATATTTGCAAGGAAGAAAGGTCATTGTAGACAACCTTCAGAATGGGGAGGGCAAGGGAAAGGGGCCCTGGAGGTAGAGTTAAAGCCAAAAAAGGAATGGAGGGACACGACTTTTCAGACAAGGAGAAGACACAGGAAGAAAATGCTTGGAAGGGTCAAGGCAGACAGAGGATCAAAGGAAGCCCCAGAAACACAGAGACATGGGGGAGGAAGTGAGAGACATGGCAGAGGAGACATAAACTAAAAACTCAAATGAGGGACAGTGAGAAAAATCATACAGAGAGAGAAACATGAGGTCAATGTAAATACCAGGAACAGAGAAAGTGAGGGAGAGGCACGAAGAAGCCAGGAAGTGAGAGTGAGTGTAAAGAGCAAATAAAAAATTGGTGGGGGTCAGTGTGGCAGCGAGAGAGGAGACACATTCTTCCATGAAACCACATCCTCATCCTTTTCCCCTTCCTCCTCCTCTTCCAGAGTTCCCTTTCTGGTAAAATGGCCATTACTGTCAAGTTTTCTCAAGCAAGAAATTCAGGAATCTTGCCAGGCAAGTGGCTCACACCTATAATCCCAGCACTTTGGAAGGCTGAGGCGGGCAGATTACCTGAGGCTGGGAGTTCGAGACCAGACTGACCAACATGGAGAAACCCTGTCTCTACTAAAAATAAAAAAATTAGCCGGGCATGGTGGTGCATGCTGGTAATCCCAGCTACTCGGGAGGCTGAGGCAGGAGAATCGCTTGAACCTGGGAGGCGGAGGTTGTGGTGAGGGGAGATCGCACCATTGCACTCCAGCCTGGGCAACAAGAGTGAAACTGTGTCTCCAAAAAAAAAAAAGAAAAACTCAAGAATCCTCCTGAGTTCTTCCCTCCCTCAACCCCTATGCCACATCAACCATCGAGCCCGGTGCACTGTACTTGGTGGCATTTGCCACCTGATCATTTTTCTCTATCTCTGATGCTATGATGCTAATCAGATCTCTGATAACTCTCCCATGAACTTCAGCTGCTATATCGTACCAAAGTTCAGGTATGTTTGTGCTGTCTTCCTGCCTAACCTCCAATGACTGGCATGATGATACCTGGGTTTAAGTTGATCCCTTTACTAGACTTCCAAGGCTGGGCAATGAGGGCCCTTCCTATTTCTCCAGCCTCTATTCTCTCACTCCAAGAAGTCACGCTGGCTTCTTTTAGTTACTCAAATTACTTTGCCCAAGCTGTCTTCTATCAGGGTCTGTTTTCTTGGCCTCTATCCTACTCATCTTCTCCCTAATCTGGCTACCTCCTGCTCACGTGATATTTCTTCCCATAGGCCTCTTCCTGTCTCTTGGACTGGCCTGTCTGTTCCAGAGCACTTCTTGCTTGCTGTGAGATAAAACTCCTGCCTCGTTGTGATCGTGTGCTTAGCATGCGCTCTCTCTGGACCACAGCTGCTTGTTCTCGCTGTGTCCTTCCAACCTAGCATGACAGTGTCTGGCACATAATAAAGAGCACACTTCATATTGTCAGGAAATGAAAGTATTCATATTTCTGTGCCCTAAAAACTGGACATATATTTTGGCGAACATGACATCACTGATGTATTTGTATGGAAAGCTTCACAAAAATAGTTCTAAGAATTATATTTATTTATTTTTAATTATTTATTTTTGAGATGGAGTCTTGCTCTGTCATCCATGCTGAAGGGCGAGTGCAGTGGTGCGATCTCGGCTCACTGCAACCTCTGCTTCCTGGGCTCAAGCAATTCTACTGCTTCAGCCTCCTGAGTAGCTGGGATTACAGGCATGCACCACTATGCCCCACAAGTTTTGTATTTTTAGTAGAGATGGAGTTTTGCCACGTTGGCCAGGCTGGTTCAAACTCCCTACCTTGGGTGATCTGCCTGCCTTGGCCTCCCAAAGTGCTGGGATAACAGGTGTGAGCCACCACACCCAGCCTAAGAATTATATTTATATGTACATGTACACGTAATAAGCTACTTTTGTGGAAATAAGTATAAGAATTAAGAACTTAAGGTCTTTATTTATTTATTTTTTAATTAATTAATTATTTTTTTTTGAGAGGGAGTCTCACTCTGTTGCCCAGGCTGGAGTACAGTGGCACAATCTCGGCTCACTGCAAGTTCCGCCTCCCGGGTTCATGCAATTCTCCTGCCTCAGCCTCCCAAGTAGCTGGGATTATAGGCGCCCGCCACCACGCCCAGCTAATTTGTTGTATTTTTAGTAGAGGCGGGGTTTCACTGTGTTAGCCAGGATGGTCTCAATCTCCTGACATCGTGATCCACCCCCCTTGGCCTCCCAAAGTGCTGGGATTACAGGCATGAGCCACTGTGCCTGGCCCTTAAGGTCTTTATTAATGATTAAGTTAATTAAGTGAAGATCACAAAATTTGGCCAAGACAATGATCAGTTAGTAAATAAGAATGACAGGTAAAGGGAAAAGAGAAAAACAAAATAGAGTTCAAGGTAAAAAGATAAACATAGAGAGACAGAAAGTAAGAAACATATCTGGAGTGAGGCAGTATAAAAGAAGGTGAAATTTAGTGACAGAGTGATCCTCTGAAGTGGGTAGAGAGAGAGGAAGAGGGGTACCACAAGGCTTTTTTGAGGGAGAAAGATGAAAATTCTTCAAGGATCACTATTTGTTCTAGGGGCAAAGCTATCCAGATCCAAAAATTGGGTGCAACCTAGTTTTGTGCTCCCGGAAGACATCCAGATGGCAAGGAAGGCGTGTAACCAAGCCCCTGAAATAATCGGTAAGGCTGGTGGAGGGTGTAATAATCGGTAAGGCTGATGCGGTGACACTGTGTGAGTCACAGCAGAAGTGACAGGCTGGGGGTGTGGTCAGAGTCCCACGTGGTGGCCCAGGGAGCCCAGATGAATGCTGGGAGACGTGGATTCTGGTGTTTAGCTCAGGGAGCTTCTGCACGACAGAGGAAAGTTGGTGGGGAAATGGAAAAGTACAGAGACACCTGGGAGAGGGAGAAGTGGCTCAGAGGAGACGTGGAGGGCAGGTATGTAATGCAAGAAAGCCAGGCGAGAGTGACAGAGGTGCAAGGAGGCAAAAGAGGCAGAAACAGAAATGCCAGAGAGGCGTTTACAGAGATTGACAAACAAAGAGGGAGAAGCTGCAAGAAAGAAGCAGGAGTGGAGAAATGGACAGAGACAATGGGAAGGGAAAGAAGAGAGAGGAAGTAAGGAAATGGAGAGCAAGACACGCAAAGCTGGCCACTATGGCCATTTGCCCCCAGCCTGAGGGTCTAGTTTCAGTGCCTGGAGCACCAGGACCCTGCGGCTCAGCATTCCGCAGGAGCACTGCAACTGTGCTGGGCAGGGACATTCCTACCTGCAAGTCACACAAGCTCCTGGGTCTTTTCTGGTGTCCCTAATTGTGCGTTTCCTGCGGTGTTGGCTCCTGCATCCCACACTGAGACCCTAAAGGATTTTGTTCCTTCGTGCAGCGATCAGCAGTGAAGACTCTGATTCCTGTGAGGCAAAGAGCCCCTGGAAGCCTCCATCTCAGCATCAATGCCCAGGCCTGGTGAGAAGGGCAAGGACCATTCGTGTGGGGCTCCAGGACCTCAGACGCCTGAGTTTAGAGTGTCTGCTTCCTAATGCATTTCAACTGGAGTGCACTCCATAGCCATGATGCAGTTATCCCTGGTGCTCTTTTTGTGCCCTCACCTCACCTGGCACTTTGGGAAATGGGAGAGGCAACCTTCATTGAATATGTGTGCTCTGGTATTGACATTAGGTTAGAAAGAAGCTAGCATATTTCTGTTGCTTTTCCCTTTCACATTGGTCTGGTTTGAATTTGTGTCCCTACCCAAATCTCATGTGGAATTGTAATCCCCAAGGTTGGAGGAGGGGCCTGGCGGGAGGTGATTGACTCATGGGGGTTGACTCCTCTCTTGCTGTTCTTATGATAGTGAGTGAGCTCTCATGAAATCTGGTTGTTTACAAGTGTGTGGCACTTCCCCCTTCACACACTCTCTCCTGCCTCACCATGTGATGATGTACCTGCTTCTCCTTCACCTTCCGCCATGATTGTAAGTTCCTAGAGGCCTCCCCAGCCGTGCTTCCTGTACAGCCTATGGAACTATGAGTTAATTAAACCTATTTTCTTCATAAATTACCTAGTCTCAGGTAGTTCTTTATAACAATGCGAGAGCAGACTAATACAGGAAATTGGTACTGGGAGAGGGGCATTGCTATAAAGATACCTGAAAATGTGGAAGCAACTTTGGAACTGGGTAATGGGCAGAGACTGGAACAGTTTGGAGAGCTTAGAAGAAGACAGGAAGATGAGAGAAAGTTTGGAACATGCTAGAGACTTGTTAAATTGTTGTGACCAAAATGCTGATCATCATATGGACAGTGAAGTCCAGGCTGAGGTGGTCTCAGAAGGAGATGAAGAACTTATTGGGAAATGGAGTAAAGGTCACTCTTGCTATGCTTTAGCAAAGAGACTGGTGGCATTGTGCCCCTGTTCTAGGAATCTATGGAACTTTGAACTTGAGAGAGGTGATTTAGGGCATCTGGTGGAATAAATTTCTAAGGAGCAAAGCATTCAATATGTGACCTGGCTGCTTCTAACAGCATACTGCCATAGGTGTGAGCAAAAAGATGATCTGAAATGGGAACTTATATTTAAAAGGGAAGCAGAGCATAAAAGTTTGGAAATTTTGCAGCCTGACCATGTGGTAGAAAAGAAAAACCCGGGAGGAGGCAGGAACCAGAGCACGAGCAGTAGCTGGGTGGGCACTGTGGCTGAGATCACCACCATCGAGGCAGTGAAGTGCAAGATCCAGGTTCTGCAGCAGCAGGCAGATGATGCAGAGGAGCGAGCTGAGCACCTCCAGCGAGAAGTTGAGGGAGAAAGGCAGGCCCGGGAAGAGGCTGAGGCTGAGGTGGCCTCCTTGAACCGTAGGATCCAGCTGGTTGAAGAAGAGCTGGACCATGCTCAGGAGTACCTGGCCACTGCCTTGCAAAAGCTGGAAGAAGCGGAAAAAGCTGCTGATGAGAGTGAGAGAGGTATGAAGGTTGTTGAAAATCGGGCCTTAAAAGATGAAGAAAAGATGGAACTCCAGGAAATCTAACTCCAAGAAGCTAAGCACATTGCAGAAGAGGCAGATAGGAAGTATGAAGAGGTGGCTCATAAGTTGGTGATCATTGAAGGAGACTTGGAAGGCACGGAGGAACGAGCTGAGCTGGGAGAGTCCCGTTGCCAAGAGATGGATGAGCAGATTAGACTGATGGACCAGAACCTGAAGTGTCTGAGTGCTGCTGAAGAAATGTACTCTCAAAAAGAAGACAAATATGAGGAAGAGATCAAGATTCTTACTGATAAACTCAAGGAGGCAGAGACCAGTGCTGAGTTTGCTGAGAGATCGGTAGCCAAGCTGGAAAAGACAATTGATGACTTGGAAGATAAACTGAAACGCACCAAAGAGGAGCACCTCTGTACACAAAGGATGCTGGACCAGACTCTGATTGACCTGAATGAGATGTAGAACGCCCCAGTCCCACCCTGCTGCTGCTCCTCCCTCTGACCCAGACTCCGCCTGAGGCCAGCCTCCTGGAAGCTGACCTTAAACTGAGGGCTGATCTTTAACTGGAAGGCTGCTTTCTCCTTTTGCCGCCCCCTCCTTCCCTGTGTCTTTTTCACCAAACTGTCTCTGCCTCTTCTCAGAGAATCCAGCTGGGCTAGAGGCTGAGCACCTTTGGAAACAACATTTAAGGGAATGTGAGCACAATGCATAATGTCTTTAAAAAGCATGTTGTGATGTACACATTTTGTTATTACCTTTTTTGTTGTTTTGTAGCAACCATTTGTAAAACATTCCAAATAATTCCACAGCCCTGAAGCAGCAATCGAATCCCTTTCTCACTTTTGGAAGGTGACTTTTCACCTTAATGCATATTCCCCTCTCCATAGAGGAGAGGAAAAGGTATAGGCCTGCCTTACTGAGAGCCAAACAGAGCCCAGGAGACTCCACTATGGGAAACCTCATTGCTCTGTACAAAGTACTAGCTAAACCAGAAAGGTGATTCCAGGAGGAGCTAGCCAAACAACAACAAAAACAAGAAATGTTCTGTTCAAGTTTTCAGCTTTAAGATATCTTTGGATAATGTTATTTCTATTTTTTATTTTTTTCATTAGAAGTGACCAAATTAAGATGGTAAGACCTCTGAGACCAAAATTTTGTCCCATCTCTACCCCCTCCCACCTGCTTACAGAATGGATCATGTCCCCCTTATGTTGAGGTGACCACTTAATTGCTTTCCTGCCTCCTTGAAAGAAACAAAGATCGTGTTTTTGCCACTGATTTAGCCATGTGAAACTCATCTCATTACCCTTTTCTGGGTTTGAAGCTGCTGTCTCTAGAAGTGCCATCTCATTGTGCTTTGTATCAGTCAGTGCTGGAGAAATCTTGAATAGCTTATGTACAAAACTTTTTAAATTTTATATTATTTTGAAACTTTGCTTCTTTGGGTTTGTGGCACCCTGGCCACCCCATGTGGCTCTAACAGCCTCTGCAGTCCGTGGGCTGGCAGTTTGTTGATCTTTTAAAGTTTCTTTCCCTACCTAGTCCCCATTTTCTGGTAAGGTTTCTAGGAGGTCTGTTAGGTGTACATCCTGCAGCTTATTGGCTTAAAATGTACTCTCCTTTTATGTGGTCTCTTTGGGGCCGATTGGGAGAAAGAGAAATCAATAGTGCAACTGTTTTGATACTGAATATTGACAAGTGTCTTTTTGAAATAAAGAACCAGTCCCTCCAAAAAAAAAAAAAAAGAAAAAGAAAAGAAAAACCCATTTTCTGCAGAGGATTTCAAGTTGGCTGCAGAAATTTGCATAAGTAAAGAGGAGCCAAATGTTGATAGCTGAGATAATAGGGAAAATGCCTCGAAGGCATTTCAGAGACCTTTGCGGTAGTCCCTCCCATCACAGGCCTGGAGGCCTAAGAGGGAAGAATGGTTCTGTGGGCCAAGTCCAGGGCCCCACTGTACTTTGCAGCCTTGGGACATGGCACCTTGCATTGCCACTGCTCCAACTCCAGCTGTGGCTAAAAGGGGCCAAGGTACTGTTCAGGGCATTGCTTCAGAGGGTACAAGCCCCAAGCCTTGGCAGCTTCCATGTGATATTAAGCCTGTGGGTACACAGAGTGCAAAAGCTGAGTCTTGGGTGCCTCTGCCCAGATCTCAGAGGATGTATGGGAAATCTGGATGTCCAGGCAGAAGGTCTGCTTTAGGGGGCAGAGCCCTTATGGAGAACCTCTACTAGGGCAGTGCAGAGGGGAATATGGGGTTGGAGCCCCCACACAGAGTTCCCACTGGGGCACTGCCTAGTGCAGCTGTGAGAGGAAGGCCACCAACCTCCAGACCCCAGAATAGTAGATCCACTGACAGCTTGCATCGTGCACATGGAGAAACCACAGGCACCCAATATCAGCCTATGAAAGCAGCTGAGGGTGTTGTACTCTGCAAAGCCACAAGGGTGGAGATGTCCAAGGCCTTGGGAGCCCACCCCTTGTATCAGTGTGGCCTGAATGTGAGACATACAGTCAAAGGAGATTATAGGTTTGAGACTGAATGACTGCCCTGTTGGGTTTCAGACTTGCATGGGATCATAGTCTCTTTGTTTTTGCCAACTTCTCCCATTTGGAATGGGAGCATTTACCCAATGCCTGTACCCCCATTGTATCTTGAAAATAACTAACTTGTTTTTGATTTTACAGGTTCATAGGCTGAAGGATCTTACCTTGTCTCATGAGAATTTGGACTATGGACTTTTGTGTTAATGCTGAAATGAGTTTAAACTGGGGGACTGTTGACTATTGAGAAGGGATAATTGTATTTTGCAATGTGAGAAGGACATGAGATTTGGGAGGGGCCAGGGAGGAATTATATGGTTTGGATTTGTGTTCCTGCCCAAATCTCATGTTGAATTGTAATCCCCAGCGTTGGAGGAGATGCCTGGAGGAAGGTGATTGGATCATGGGGGAGGACAACCCCCTTGTTGTTCTCATCATAATGAGTGAGTTCTCATGAGATTTGTTTTTTTAAAAGTGTGTAGCACTTCCCCCTTCACTCTTTCTCTCCTGCTTTACCATGGTAAAATGTATTTGCTTCCCCTTTGCCGTCTTCCATGATTGTAAGTTTCCTGAGGCTTCTTGGCTATGCCTTCTTTATAGCCTGTGGAACTATAAGTCAATTAGACCGCTTTTCTTCATAAATTACCCAGTCTCAGGTAGTCCTTTATAGCAATGCGAGAACAGACTAATACACAGGTGATCAGGCCTACTGTGGTATACTTTAAAAAATACATAGTTGATCTTTGTCCCCAGTTCCTGGCACGAAGTCCCTAAAACTCTTGGAAATTCCAGAACGATGGGTGTCTTAAAAGTACCAACCACATGATTGGAAGATTAGAATTTTCAACCCTAAACCTTGATGTCTAGGGAGAAGAGAAGGGCAGAAGATCGAGGTCGATTGCCAGTGGCAAGGGATTTAATCAATCATGCCTACATAATGAAACCTTGATAAAAACCCCTGAACAACAGGGTTCAGGGAGCTTCTGAATTGGTGAATACATTTATGTGTTGGAGGTGGGGTTGAGGCTCACCTGGAGAGGGCATGAAAGCTCTGTCCCTCCTTCCACACCTTGTGCTATATTTGGTTCTTCCTGAGGTTTTATTTTTTTCCATGCAACAAAACTTTGACTAACATTTTGATTAGGTTCAACTGTTTACTGAAACTGGTAATTTCCAAACTTAAGTTGGGGCGCAAATGGCTATAGTGCAGAGTAATGCCATCACTGGGCACTGCGAATGCGAGAGTGAAGAATAAACGTGGTTCACTTGAAGTCAGGAGTTCGAGACCAGCCTATCCAACATCATGAAACCCCATCTCTACCAAAAAAAAAAAAAAAAAAAAAAAAAAACCAGCTGTGGTGGTACACGCCCATAATCCCAGCTACTCAGGAGGCTGGGGATGCCTTCTGTATCTGGGATCTTGGCCTTCACATTTTTCATTTTTCATGGTGTCCCTGGCTCCACCTCCAGGTTGATGGTCTTGCCGATCAAGGTCCTCATGAACATTTTCATTTTGACCTGTGAGCGGATATGAGGATGCTATGAATTGCCAGTCACATCCAGCCACCAGAACACCTCCACACACTCACTCAACAAAGCCAGTCATCCCTCAGTTGTGTTCTTTATAAGAACACAACTTTATAATCAGAAGTAGAATACTTTCTGAGTTCTGTGAGTCATTCTAAGGAATTACCCAACCTGAGGGAAGTCCTGTGAACCCCTAAAGTTGTAGCCTTCTCCACAGAAATGTGGGTGGCCTGGTCACCCCATTCATGATTGTTATCTACAGTATGGCAGTCTTGTGGGACTGACATCTTAGCCTGTGGGGTCAATGCCAACTCTGGGTAGTGTCAGAGTTGGCATTGACCCCAACTTTCAGAGATTAGGGTAGGCTATGTTATATTAAATAGACCCTGAACATTTGTAATTGGTAAAATAAATAAACTGAATTGTTGGATACTCAGTTGGTTTCAGAGAAGTTAAAGAACTGATTGGTTTTGGAAGAATGTGTTTGTTGTTGGAAAAGACACCACACATTTGGTGTCAGAAAAAAACACATACCTGTTCATATTGAGGTCCTTCCTTTATGTATAGATTTCCACCCCAAACAACCCTCATCATCTAAAGATCACAAAAAAGTAATTTTTGGGCCAGGTGCTGTGGCTCACGCCTGTAATCCCAGCACTTTGGGAGGCCGAGGTGGGCAGATCACAAGGTCAGGATATGGAGACCATCCTCGCTAACATGGTGAAACCCCGTCTCTACTAAAAATACAAAAAAATTAGCCGGGCATGGTAGCCGGTGCCTGTAGTCCCAGCTACTCGGGAGGCTGAGGCAGGAGAATGGCGTGAACCTGGGAGGCAGAGCTTGCAGTGAGCCGAGATCACGCCACTGCGCTCCAGCCTGGGTGACAGAGCGAGACTCCATCTCAAAAAAAAAAAAAAAAAAGTAATTTTTGATTGCTTGATACATAATAATGTCATCAAAAATTTGAAGACCTAAAAGATCCAAACAATAGTCTTTCTGACAGGTGGTGTTCAGCATACCATTGGCTTATCTACAAACTTTTTTCAAAACAATTTTGGAAATAACATCTTTTTGTATCTTTACAACATTCATAATGGGTAGGCAGGATAACTGTCATTATCCTTGTTTTATAGATGCAGAAACATAAGCACATAAATGTTTAAAGATCTTTTACAAAGTTACATGGAGAATTGAGGGCAGAGGTAGCACCAAAAATATATATGCCCGAGTCTCAGTTCAGCGGGTGTCTGTTTTCTTCAGAAAGAAGGGAGGGAAATAGTAATCAAACATGTTTGCAGTGTTAATTGTTTCAGGATTTATAACTTTATTTTAAATTTACTATTATCTTTTATTTTTTTTTAGATGGAGTTTCACTCTTGTTGCCCAGGCTGGAGTGCAGTGGTGCAATCTTGACTCCCTGCAACCTCTGCCTCCAGGGTTCAAGTGATTCTCCTGTCTCAGCCTCCCGAGCAGCTGGGATTACAGGTACCTGCCACCACACCTGGCTAATTTTTGTATTTTTAGTAGAGATGGGGTTTCACCACGTTGGCCAGGCTGGTTTTGAACTCCTCACCTCAGGTGATCCACCCACATCAGCCTCCCAAAGTGCAGGGATTACAGATATGAGCCACCGTGCCCAGCTGATTTATAACTTTATTAACCAGCAACTGTTTCTCTTCCATGGATTTTATGAACAAAATTAATTTGGAAATACATACTAGGTATGATGTCAAATAAGGTAAGTCAATGTAAAAATGTACATATTTTTCTTACAAAAGACTCATTTTAATTGTTTGCTACATTTTTGATAAGTAAAAAAAGCATTTTTTAAATGGGAGTTTCCACCATGTTTTTTTGTTTTTGTTTTTGTTTTGAGACAGGGTCTTCTCTGTCACCCAGGCTGGAGTGCTGTAGTGTGAACATGGCTCAATGCAGCCTTGACCTTCTGGGCTCAAGTGATCCTCCCATCTCAGCCTCCTAAATAGCTGGGACCGAAGGTGCACAACACCATACCCAGCTAATTTTTCAAATTTTTGTAGATATGGGGTCTTGCTATTCTGCCCAGGCTGGTCTGAAACTTCGGGGCTCAAGCTATCCTCCCACCTTAGCCTCCCAAAGTGTTGGGATTATAGGCCTGAGCCACTGCCCCTGGACTTTACCATCTATTTTAACAGGTGTAGAATGTCTTAAATACTAGAAGTTAAGTGTTTAACCTTTACCATCTATTTTTAACAGGTGTAGAATGTCTTAAACACTAGAAGTCTATTCGTTACATATGAAAACCATTCAAATAGGTTCTATTCTGGGTTAAGGGAGGTTGAGTTGGAATGGGGGCAAGGAGGGAGGAGGAGAGATCCCCGTACCCATTCAGGGATCCATCTTCAAACATTTCCCCAGGCAAGAAACAGAGGCAGAAGAAATGTGTGTGATTTTTGACAGCAAGTTTCCTTAACAAGTAAGAAAGCAGTGTTCATTCAAAAAAGAGGATTCTGGGTAAACATATTTGATACAAAAATAAAAAGGGGGATTGTTATGACTTTTTTTTTTTTTTTTTTTTTTTTTTGCTGTGCAGCGTTTTTTTTTCTGAAACCCCCATAGTGGGGGGTTGTGACTTTATATAGCTGAAGAAAATTCTTTTTTTCTTTTCTTTTTTTTTTTTTTTGAGATGGATTCTCGCTCTGTAGCCCAGGCTGGAGTGCAGTGGTGCCATCTCGGCTCACTGCAACCTCTGCCTCCTGGGTCCTTGTCCAAGCAATTCTCCTGCCTAAGCCTCCTGAGTACCTGGGATTACAGGCATGTGCCAGCATGCCCAGCTAATTTTTGTATTTTTAGTAGAGACGGGGTTTCACCATGTTGGCCAGGCTGGTCTTGAACTCCTGACCTCGTGATCTGCCTGCCTCAGCCTCCCAAAGTGCTGGGATTACAGGCATGAGCCACAGCACCTGGCTTATCTGCAGCAAGTTCTTAGGAGAAATATTGTTTCCTGTTAACTTTGCAACTGACTTTGTATCTATTAATCCAGTCTCATAAATAACAGCGCAGATTTTTACTTTATATTTTCTCATTTTACTTTTTATTTGTCATTGAACACGTGGTGGTTTATCAAAAGGTTTTGCAAAAAACTCTGATTTTAACTTTACAACAATCATGAAATGTAAGCAGAATGAATTACTGATTGCCCTGTTTTATACATGACAAAACGAAAGCCCACAGATGCTTAAGGTGACTTTTCCCTTGTCTTTTTACAATGCCAAATAGGGAATTAAAGGAAGAGCTGGAATTACCACCTTTGATTGCTAGAATTCATTTTTATAGCTGTCATTTTCCTTAGAAAGGTAGAGATACACAGAGAGAAATGATCATCCCGTGATTTTGTTTCTGTTTTCCTCTCATTGCTTTATAGTTAACTGGTTGCTGGGGAGAAATCTCTGAAAATACATGTTAGGAAAAGAAGTATGTCCAAATCAGAATTCTTGGTACACAAATGAACATAAAAAAATTTCTATGAAACATTAAATCTGATTGTGAAATCATTCACAAGTAAAACAAAAAGTTCTGAAGAGTCCAGATTAATCTTTTTTGTTAGTTAGGGTACGCTATGTTATATTAAATAGACCCTGAACTTTTGTAATTGCTAAACTAAATAGAAATTAATTCTTGCTTTGTGGACAATCTACAGTGTTCCAGGTCATGAGTGGAGTTGTGGGGGCTTTGGGAGAGAGGCTAGGGGACTGTGACCCCCATAGTCATTCAGACACCTAGGATGCTGGAGGCTCTGCCATTTTTAACATTTTAACAGTTATCTTCCAAGATGATCCATGGTAAGAAAAAGAATAAGAGTCAGAAGAGATGTGTAGACAAGCAGGAAGGGTAAGTAGCAGAATGGTAGTGAGGTGTAGGAACATGGCAAGCAGGTTGACAAAGCAGAACTGCCTGTGGTAGGTAAAATTTTCTCTGTCTCTGGCAACAGTGCTGCTGCCACATTAACCTCTGCTGGTGAGATGCGTCTGAGAGTCACACCAGGGCGGTGTCAGGTGGGCCTGGTCCTACTCCTGAGTTCCTGGAGCTCCCCGGGTGCCCCTAGTCTTGTTACGTGATTTCCTTTTCTGTTGGCTCACTGGGCACCACTAAAACCTCCAAGGGGTTTTATTTCTGTTTGGAGTTCAGTAGGGCTTACTCTGCAAGTGACTAATAGAGTAATAGGAAACCTCTAGCTCAGCACCAAGAAGTGGTCCAGGCAAGGAAGATGCCAAATGGCCACAAACAGGGCTTGAAATTAGAACTACTGTTTCCCGATTAAGTTTACTCTGATTGCAATTCATATTATCTGGGTATCTTAGTTTTTTTTTTTTTTTTTTTTTTCCCCTGCTGCTATAAAAGAATACCCGAGACTAGGTAATTTGTAACGAAAAGAAATTTATTTCTTAATTCTGGAGGCCAGGAAGTCCAATATCAAGGTGCTGGCATCTGGTGAGGGTCTTCTTGCTATGTCATTCTGTGGTGGAAGGCGGAAGGGGAAGAGAATGTGAAAGAGAAAGGGGAAGTGAGCAGAAACTGTGCTATTATCAGGAACTCATTCTCAAGATAACTAACCTACTCCCAGGATAACGGAATTAATCCATTCATTAAAAACAGAGCCTCGTGACCTAATTACTTCTTAAAGGTCCCAGTTCTCAACACTGTTGCATTGGGATTAAGTTTCCAACACGTGAACTTTGGTGGACACAGTCAAACCATAGCACTAGGTGTTTGGGGAAAATAATGATAAACAATAAACAACTTTAAACTCATGTTAACAGAATGATTTCTATTGTCATTTAGTCACAACCTTGAAAAGGTCTCAAAAGACAGCTGAAATTACTATCTAGAATTTACAGAAAGAAATGTTTTAGATGAATCACTTTCAGACAGATACAATGGTTTTGATACATGTCATTATATAATAATTTTAATAATAATTTTTAAATTTGTTTTGCCTTGTAAAAAACACATTTTTTATTGAAGTATAACATACTAAAAAGCGTACAAACCATAAGCCTACAGAATAATTGTCACACAATGAACATACCCATGCTACCACTACAGAAATCAAGATAGAAACCGATCACCCCAGAAACCACTCTGTGACCCCTCCCAACCACCAGACTCCTCCTCCTTTCCAAAGACAAAAACACGATCCTGATTCCCAACAATAGAAGCCTGCCACGATGTGGATGAATCTCACAAATGTTAAGTTCAAGTGAAAGAAGTCAGACATAGAAGATTACTTTTTATAAATTCCACTTATATATTAAAATGTACCACAGTGTTTTTACCCATTCTACTGTTGATAGACCTTTGGATTAATTTCAGTACTGAGGTATTATGAATAGTATTATTATGAATATTTGCAAACATGCCTGCATTCCTGTTGACTATGTATGCCTGAGTGAAATTGCTGAATTATAGAGTATATGCATGTCCAACTTTAAAAGATTATGCCAGTTTTCCAGTGTGATTGCACCAACTGACACTACCACTATCAGTTTATAGAAGTTCCAATTTTTTCATATCCTTGCCAACATTTGGTATTGGCAATTTTTTTTTTAGCCAATTTAGGTGTGTAGTGATATTTCACTGTGATTTGAATTTGCATTTCCCTAACTGCTAATGAGAGAGCACTTTCATGTGTTTAGACTGACCTTTGGAATATCTACTTTTGTGAAGTTCCTATTCAAGTATCTTTACTTCTGGGATTCACTGCATTTCTTATATTGAAGTATAAGGGTCCTTTAGATACTCTGAATATGAGCCCTTGTTTGGATAAATAGGTTTCAAAAATCTTTGTCTACTCTTCGGTTTGCATTTTCATGATCTTAATGGTATCTTTGAGTGAAGGAAATTTTTTAATTTTAGTGTAGTCCAGTATATAAATTATTTCCTTTAGGGTTAAGTGCTTTTTGCATTCTGTTTAAGAAATCTGGCCAGGTGCAATGGCTCACAGCTACAATCCCAGCACTTTGGGAGGCCGAGGCGGGCAGATCACCCAAGGTCAAGAATTCAAGACCAGTCTGGCCAATGTGACAAAACCCCGTCCCTACTCAAAATACAAAAATTAGCCAGGTGTGGAGGTGCACACCTGTAATCCCAGCTACTTGGCAGGCTGAGGCATGAGAATTGCTTGAACCTGGGAGGCAGAGGCTGCAGTGAGCTGAGATCGTGCCACTGCACTCCAGCCTGGGCAACAGAGGAGACTCCATCTCAAAAAAAAAAAAAAAATCTTTCCCTACCCACCCAGAGTTTATGAAGATATTATTTTAGGTTATCTTCTCAAAATGCTATTGTTTTATCTTTTTACATTTTTATCTAAAATCCACCAGTAATTGCTTGGTGTGGATTAGAGGGCCTGGATTTCTTTTTCTTCAAGATTTATTAGATGTAGGTATCCAAGTAACTGAGTATTGTCTTTGCCACACAGTTTTGCCATGTCACCTTTGTAGTAAATCAACCGCCCAAATAGGCATGAGTCTTTTCTTTCAACTGGCTTATTTTTCTATCTTTGAGACAATACCATTTAATTAGAGTAGCTTTATTTAAATCTTGATATCTTGTAGTGAAGTCCTTTAGTTGTGTTCACCTTTTTCAAATTGTCTGGGTTATTTCCAGTTCTTTGTGTTCCAATATTACATGTTAGAATCAACTGGTCAATTTCCACAAAAATGCTGTTGATGTTTAAAATGGAAACAACATGGGTTGTTTCTGTAGATCATTTTGAGGAGAATGGACAATATTCATCTTCCAATCCCTGAACATAATATATCCTTCCATTTACTCAGGTATTCTTTAATGTTTCTTAACAATGTTCTAGAATTTTCTGTATAGATTTTTACATATCATTTATTAGATTTGTTTTCCTATATTCTTTTCAGTAGTATGGTAAATGTATATTTCAACACTTCGTGTAGTAACTGTTTTTGGTTTGTAAAATGCATTTCATTTTTGTAACTTGACACAGATCTAGAAAACCTGCCAAACTACTTATTAATTTTAGTGATTTACTGATAGGTTCTTTTGGATTTTCAGTGTATTCAATTTCACCATCTGTGAAAAATAAGTTTCATATCTTTGTTTTCGATTCTTTAACATATATTTCTTTTCTTTGAGTTTCTGCACCAGCAAAGACCTCCAGTACGATGCTGAATAAAAGGGGTAATAGGAGCACTTGGTCTTGGTCTCAACTTGCTTGAGCACTTTGTCTTGGTCTCAAGCAATCATCAGAAAGCTTTCAACTTTCCATCATTGAGTGTGAAGTATGCTGTAGGTATATATATATATATTTTTTGGAGGGGGATGGAGTCTCGCTCTGTCACCCAGGCTGGAGTGCAGTGGTGTGGTCTCAGTTCACTGCAAGCTCCATCTCCTGAGTTCAAGTGATTCTCCTGCCTCAGCCTCCTGAGTGGCTAGGATTACAGGTGCCACCACGCCCGGCTAATTTTTCTATTTTTAGTAGAGAAGGGGTTTCACCATGTTAGGCTGGTCTCAAACTCCTGATCTCGTGATCTGCCTGCCTCTGCTTCCCAAAGTGCTGGGATTACAGGCATGAGCTACCGTGCCTGGCTATGCTGTAAGTATTTTATGGATGCCCTCTACTAAATTAGGGAAGTGTCCTTCAATTCCTAGTTTGCTAAGTTTTTCTTAATCATGAATGGATATTGATTTTTTTTTTTTCCAGACAGAGTCTCACTCTGTCACCCAGGCTGGAGTGCAGTGACACCATCATGGCTCACTGCAACCTCTGCCTCCCAGGCTCAGGTGATCCTCCCGCCTCAGCCTCCTGAGTTGCAGGAACCACAGGTGTGCACCACCAAACTCAGCTAATTTTTTCTTTGTATTTTTTGTAGAGATGGGGTTTCATCATGTTGCCCAGGCTGGTCTCAAACTCCTAGACTCAAGTGATCCACCTGCCTCTGCCTCCCAAAATGCTGGGAGTATAGGTGTGAGTCACCGTGCCCATCTTGATTTTTATTGAATGTTTTTCTGGACCTATGAACATGATCAAATTGCTTTTTTCCTGTAATCTGTTAATGCATTTTATTACATTTATTTATTTATTTTTGAGACAAGGTCTTGCTCTGTTGCTCAGGCTGGAGTGCAGTGGCATGATCTCGGCTGATTGCAACCTCCACCTCCTGGGCTCAGGTGATCCTCCTACCTCAACCTCCTGAGTAGCTGGGACTACAGGTGCATGCCACCATACCTGGCTAATTTTTGTATTTTTAGTAGAGATGGAGTTTCACCATGTTGGCCAGGCTGGTCTGGAACTTCTGACCTCAAGTGATTGGCCTGCCTTAGCCTCCCAAAGTGCTGGGATTACAGACGTAAGCCACTGCACCTGGCCCACTGATTGATTTTTGAATGTTCAACCAATCTTGCATTTCTGAAATAAACCTAGCTTGGTCATAAGAATTATACTTTTTAATATAACTGGCTTTATTTTTTATGTTGGGGAGTTTTACAACTGTATTCATGAAAGAGATTCTTGTTTGAAATCATTAGGTTCTTGTTTTGCCCCCTCAGAGTTTGGAATTATGGTTATACTGGTCTCACAAAATAATCAGTAGTTATTTCTTCTGTTTCTATTCTATGGAAGTGGTTGATAAAATTTGGTGTATTATCTTCCTTAAATGCTTGGTAAATACATCACTTAAGCCATCTGGCCTGAAAATTTTATTGAAGAGAGGTTTTAAATTATACATTCAATTTTTTAATAGTTACAGAACAATTACAGAAAAAGTAGAAAAAATTTATATTTTTTGCATTTGCCTATATTGTAAATTGTGTTTTTAATTTAAACTTTCCAATTGTTTGGCATAAAGCTGATCATAGTATCCTGAGATATTTTAATGTCTTTAGAATATGTATTGACATATTCTTTTTCCCCCTAATATTTGTTCTTGTGACCCTTGTCTTAAAAAAAGTCTAGTCTTATTAGGAGCTTGTTAATTTTATAGCTGTTTCAAAGAGATAACTTTAGACTTTAACTGCTGATCCCCTTTCTTGAATGCTTGTTTTCTATATCAGTTTCTTTCTTAACTTTTTTCATATCTCTACCTTTGGATGCTTAGATCATTGATTTTTAGCTTTTCTTTTTTTTTTTTCTCAGACCTTGCAGGGATGGATCTTCTTTTCTAAGAAATGCATTTAAGGCTATAATTTTTTCCTTCTTAAGTTTTGCTTTTGGTGAATCTCATAAGTTTTGATATGTCATATTTTTATTATCATTCAGGAATTGTTTTCTGAATTCAATTATAATTTTTTCTTTGATCTATGAGGTGTTTATTGGTTTATTTCTTAATTTCCATTTACATGGGGAATTTTCTTCTTGTTATTGATTTTTAGTTTTGTTTCTTATTGTCAGAGGATGTACTTGGCACAATTTTAGTTTTTTGAAATTTGAGATTTACTATATGTCCCAACATTTATCATTTTTATGTGTTCCATGTGTACTTAAAAAGAATGCACATTTGAAGTTGTTGGGTATGTTGTTTTATCTATGTCAATTAAGTCAAGTTTGTTAATCACATGGTTCAGATTTTCTACATCCTTACTGATTTTTTGCTTGTGCCATCAGCGACTGAGGTGAGTTACAAGCTTCTACTTTGGTAGTGGATTTGTCTATTTCTCCTTTTAATCTTGTCAATCTTTGCTTTATATATTTTGTGGCTTTTCTGTTAGGTACCAATAAATGTAGAATTATCTTTTGTGTGTGTTGAATTTCTTATCATTGTGTAACGTCCCTCTTTATCCCTAATGGTGTTTTTTGCTTAAAAGTCTACACCAGTGTAGAAAAAATTTTTTTTTCTTTACTCTCTTAGGTTTAATGCCTGGGACCTATAAATTAAACTGACAAAAGACAGATTAACAGGAGAAAAAGCACAGAAATTTTATTTAATATTAGTATTTTTACATGGCAAAGGAAACATCATAGCAAGAAATAAAAACCCCAAATAAATGAATTGACTGGAGGCTTATATACTATTTTAACACAGAGCAATAACTTGTGGAGATGTAACAATACAAAGGAAAAAAGGATTTGGGCTAAGAGTGGTAAATTATGGGAAAGTGACTAAGAAATATATGGAGAAAACTAATGGGAGATAAGGGTTATTTTAGTGAGGTTTGTTTGTACAGATTCATCATGGCTTCAACTCCTTGACTCTGGTGATAAGAATGTTCTATTCCTGGTACAGGGATGGCACTTTTCTTAGGCATAAAGGTGTAAGAAAGAGACCCCTTTCTGCATCTGCTGTTTCTCAATTGCCTTCAGCTCAAAATAATCAACATGGCAAAGTGGCATATTATGGGGTGATATGTTCTGATACCATTCACCGGCTTTATATTTTTTTGAGACGACTTAGTGTTTGCATATCTTATTCCATCTTTTTATTTTTAACTTATATATCTTCGTATATTCAATCATGTCTCTTGCAAGCAGCCTATAGGTTTTCTTTAATCCAGTATGACAATGTTTGCCTTTTTTTTGTCTGTTTTTGAGACGGAGTCTTGCTCTGTCACCCAGGCTGGAGTGCAGTGGCATGATCTCGGCTCACTGCAACCTCCACCTCCTGGGTTCAAGCAATTCTCATGCCTTGACCTCCCGAGTAGTTGGGACTACAGGCACACGCCACCATGCCTACCTAATTTTTTTGTATTTTTAGTAGAGATGGGGGTCTCACCATATTGGCCGGGCTGGTCTCGAACTCCTGACCTCATGATCCACCTGCCTCAGCCTCCCAAAGTGCTGGGATTACAGGCATGAGCCACTGTGCCTGGGCTATGTTTGGCTTTTAATTGGAGAAATTGTTTCATTTACTTTCCATGTAACTACTGATATATTTAGGTTTAAATCTACCATCTTCCTGCTTGTTTTCTATTTGTCTTACCTGTTTTATGTTCCTTTTCTTCTTCTTACTTCTTTATTGGATTACATTAAAATTACATTATTATAGTCATTTTTGGTTTATCAATGCCTAGTAAACATTAATACTCTTACCATTTTCTAGACAACATAAGGACTTTACACATTCCTATTTTAGATTTCTCCTGCCATTTTATAAATCTTATAGATATTAGAAGTAAATATACTTTGGGAAAAGCCACTTGGAAAACAGAAAAGCCAATAAAACTCTTAATATTCATATAAACATATTTTTCTTTACAAAAGAATTATTCTAATTGTTTGCTGCATATGTTACAAATAGAAAATAATTCCTTTTGATTTTGGAAGATTCATGTAATAGTAGTAGTTAGCTTGCTTTGTAGTAGTTAAATTAGGCTATCTGCTCTAACAAATAGACCCCAATATATATAACATCCTCAAACAAAATTTAAGTTTATTTCTTTTAAAACAGTCTAATGAGTTACAAGTTGGTGAGATGGGAGGGTTGTTGGGTTGTTGGGGGCTCTCTTCCATGTAATTATGCATGGTCTCAGACTGATGGAGGTTTTGACACTCATGGCTTCCAAGGGTGTCCTTACTTGGAGACTGCCATCCAGTTCATGGCAGAGGAAAGATTGTGGGGCAGTACGTGTAAGAAGCTTTTATGGGTCAGCCTTGGAACTAGGCACATGTCTTCCTCAGATGTTCCTCTATCTAGAACTCGGTCATAGGCCACTCATACCTGCAGGAATTCCTGGAAAATATAGTTTAACTGTGTGCCCTGGAAGAAGAGGAAAATACAGTTTGGGTAAGCAGCTAGCTGTCTCTCCTATACACTTTCTATCTTGTCCTCAAGTATCACCCTTCTTCCGATCTTCCCACATATAGAACCCCTTACCCTCTTTCTTCCTGCCCCTCCCTTACAGGAGATAACACAAACTCCCATATAATTACTGCACACAGGCCAATATCCACTTACTTTGTGTGAAGTACAGTTCTCCCTATCAGGTCTGGATGATGTTCTTGATGTTTTGGTGACCTTTTAATAAGTTTGTCTTCCCTTACTGTACTTCCAATATACAATGTTTGATGAGTGACAGAGTAATCCCAATACAACTACTATCTAGGAAGTGGAAAAATGGGAGACAAACAGTGGCCAATGGTCTATTATCTAAATCTACCAGGCTGTGATTAAAGGGGTCCCTCTCCTCTAGCAGTGGAGGAATTTGGAAATTTCTTGACTTTGATTCTGCTCTTTTGAAATAATTCTCCTGACCGTGCCCTCTATTTTTTTTTTTTTTTCATTTTCTCTTTCAATTTCCTTCTTGGCCACCTCTGAAGTATCCACTGGGGGACACACCCTTCTATAGCACTGTATGTATTCACAGCTTTTTTCTGCATGTTTAAGTTTGGATGACTAAGGGTTTTATTAAGGCTTGAACAGTACTTGAAAAGTACTTTATGTTCAGGTTTATGGTTCTTTCAGTGATTTTATTAAAGCTTGGTTGGCTTTTCATTGATTTATTGTCCATGAATTCCACATATTTATAACAACATCTAGAGTTCTGTTCTAAACTTAATCCATAAGCCTGATTTATTTCTTAACTTTTCCCTCCCAAACCAAATTTCTCTCTTAGTTGAATGGTACTCCCTTGAGGCTATCTGATGCCAGGTGGTTAGGTGTCAAGGCTTTGCTTACTTTGAAATTTACCTCAGTGCTCAATTCCTCTGTTTAATCGAGAAACCCTAACTAGCTTTTTGTTGCTCAAAGCCTCTTTCAGTCTCATCTCTTACTCTTCGGAGTTCTTTTGGCTTCTCCAACCCTACGAGAACCCACTTTTCTGTACTCTCTTGAGTCCCATTCACTTTTGTTCTCAAATGAATCAATTATTGCTGGAGCTGATCTCTTAACTGTAATAAGCCTTCAAACCCAGTGAGTGGTAACCAACAGACTCTATTGTTAGTGTTTTCCAATTCCTTTTCCTAGAGCTACAGGACTTAGAGGCATTAAAAAAATGTTTACCTTTTGTGATATATCTTGCAAGAAATCTGTCATGTTTTGCCATTGCCTAATAAAGGAAACCATTTTCCATGCTCTGATATAAAATTCCTGATCACTAAGCCATTTTTATTATGGCAACACCTCACTTCCAGTACTAGTTTCTTTCTATTTATTTATTTATTTATTTATTTAGAGACAGGGTTTTGCTCTGTCACCCAGGTTGGAGTACAGTGGCGCCATCCTAGCTCACTGCAGCCTCGAACTCCTGGACTCAAGCAATCCTCCTGGCTCAGCTGGAATTACAAGCATGGGCCACAGCATTCTCATCACCAGTGCCAGTTTTCATTATGACTTCTATATTCAATGTTATAGGATAATAGCTGTTAAATGGACCAAAAACTATGTAACAGCTCAAGCAAAATTGAGGCTTGTTTTACATTCTTGTAAACAAGGGGGTTCCATGTTGATAGAGGATGGGATGGATGGGCAAAGCTCTATTTCACCTGTTTGAGGACTGTGGTTGGTGGAGGCTGTAGTGCCTTTAACACATAGTTTCCAAGGCTTCCATATATGAGGAAAAGAGCAGAGGAAGAGGAAATGTGTAGAATGATTTGAAAGGGTAGGATATCAGAAGGGAGCAAAGTGTAAGAAGAGTTTTACAAGACAATGCAAGTTGCCTATTGTGGGTAAGTTTTTCCCAACCTTTCTGATCATCCCTCAGATGAATCAAAAAGCAGACTAATTTAGCTTGTGGGTGGGTATATTCTAGCCTGGAACTTTTCGAGGTCTTTTCTAGGTTTCTTTTTTTCTTCTTTTTTGTAATATGGCATTTTCTTCTGAGTTGGTTATCACCAAAACCCCTAAAGAATTCTATTACTTTCTCCTATGATCAGCAGTTGTTATCCTTTAGGAAATAATAATAAAGAATAGGGTCAAGAAACAAAATTCCTCACCAAGAATTTGGCCAGGTAAAGAAGAAAAAGATTGTAATTAGGAGTCTGAACTTTCTCAGTGCATCCACATGAAAGGGATCCAAGCAACTCACTGGATCCATTCTCTGCATAATTATAAAGTCCATGTTTAACAAATGGAAGCTTTGAGTCTGTGTATTCATATGTTGATATTTTATTTTAAATATGCTAGCAAAATTATGAGGCTTTTTCATTTTCATTTTAAGTTCTGGGTACATGTGCAGGATGTGCAGGTTTGTTACATAGGTAAATGTATGCCATGGTGGTTTGCTGCACCTATCAACCCATATCCTAGGTATTAAGCCCCGCATGCATTGGGTATTTTTCCTAATGCTCTCCTTCCCCTCACCCCACCCCCAACAGGTCCCAGTGTGTGTTGTTCCCCTCCCTGTATCCATGTGATCTCATTGCTCAGCTCCCACTTACAAGTGAGAACATGCGGTGTTCGGTTTTCTGTTCCTCCATTAGTTTGCTTCCAGCTCCATGCCTGTTCCTGTGAAGGACATGATCTCATTCTTTTTTATGGCTGCATAGTATTCCATGGTGTATACATACCACATTTTCTTTGTCCAGTCTTTCATTGATGGGCATTTGAGTTGATTCCATGTCTTTGCTACTGTGAATAGTGCTGTAATGAAAATACATGTGCATGTATCTTTGTAATAGAATGATTTATATTCCTTTGGGTATATACCCAGTAACTGGATTGCTGGGTCAAATGGTATTTCTGGTTCTAGATCTTTGAGGAATCACCACACCATCTTCCACAGTGGTTGAACTAATTTACATTTCCACCAACCATGTAAAAGCGTTCCTATTTCTCTGCAACCTTGCCAGCATCTGCTGTTCGTTGACTTTTTAATAATTGCCATTCTGACTGGCATGAGATGGTATCTCACTGTGGTTTTGATTTACATTTCTCTTATAATCAGTGATGTTGAGCTTTTTTGTTTGTTTGTTTGTTTGTTTGACAGAGTCTTGCTCTGTCGCCCAGGCTGGAGTGCAGTAGTGTGATCTCGGCTTACTGCAAGTTCCGCCTCCTGGGTTCATGCCATTCTCCTGCCTCAGCCTCCTGAGTAGCTGGGACTACAGGTGCCTGCCACCATGCCTGGCTAATTTTTTTCTGTTTTTTTTTTTTTTTTTTTTTTAAGTACAGATGGGGTTTCACCATGTTAGCCAGAATGGTCTCCATATCCTGACCTCGTGATTCGCCCACCTTGGCCTCCCAAAGTGCTGGGATTACAGGCGTTAGCTACTGCACCTGGTGATGCTGAGCTTTTTTAATATGTTTTTTGGCCACCTGAATGTCTTTTGAGAAGTGTCCGTTCATATCCTTTGGCCACTTTTTAATGGAGTTGATTTTTTTTTGTAAATTTGTTTACATTCCTTGTAGATTCTGGACATTAGAGCTTTGTCAGATGGATAGATTGCAAAAATTTTCTCCCACTCTTTAGGTTGCCTGTTGGCTCCGGTGATAGTTTCTTTTGTGTGCAGAAGCTCTTTAGTTTAATAGTGAAAATGTCAGTTTTTGCTTTTGTTGCAATTGCTTATGGTGATTTTGTCATGAAATCTTTGCCTGTGCCTATGTCCTGAGTGGTATTGCCTACATTTTCTTCTAGGGTTTTTATAGTTTTGAGTTTTACATTTAAATCTTTAATCTATCTTGAGTTAATTTTTGTAAGGCGTAAGGAAGGGATCCAGTTTCAATTATCTGCATATGGCTAGCCAGTTCTCCCAGCACAATGTATTAAATAGGAAATCCTTACCCCATTGCTTGTTTTTGTCAGGTTTGTTGAAGATCAGATGGTTGTAGATGTGAGGCCTTAATCCTGAGTTCTCTCTTCTGATCCGTTGGTCTATGTGTCTGTTTTTGTGCCAGTACCATGCTGTTTTGGTTACTGTAGCCTTGTAGTATAGTTTGAAGTTTGGTAGTGTGAGGCCTCCAGGATTTTTCTTTTTGCTTAGGATTGTTTTGGCTCTATGAGCTCTTTTTTTTTGTTCCATATGAATTTTAAAATACTTTCTGCTAATTTTGTGAAGAATGTCCACAGTAGTTTAGTTGGGATAGTGTTGAATCTATAAATTACGTTGGGCAGTATGGCCATTTTCACAATATTGATTCTTCCTATCCATGAGCATGAAGTGTTTTTCCATTTGTTTGTGTCCTCTCTGATTTCCTTGAGCAGTGGTTTGCAGTTCTCCTTGAAGAGGTCCTTCACTTGCCTTGTTAGCTGAATTCCTATGTATTTTATTCTTTTTGTAGTAATTGTGAATGGAAGTTCATTCATGATTTGGCTCTCTGCTTGCCTGTTGTTGGTGTATAGGAATGCTTGTGACTTTTGCACTTTGATTTTGGATCCTGAGACTTTGCTGAAGTTGCTTATCAGCTTAAGAAGCTTTTGGGCTGAGATGATGGGGTTTTCTAGACATAGGATTATGTCATCTGCAAACAAAGACAATTTGACTTCCTGTCTTCATTTGAATACCCTTTATTTCTTTCTCTTGCCTGATTGCCCTGGCTAGAACTTCCAATACTATGTTGAATAGGAGTAGTGAGAGAGGGCATCTTTGTCTTGTGCCAGTCTTCAAAGGGAATACTTCTAGCTTTTGCCCATTCAATATGATACTGGCTGTGGATTTGTCATAAATAGCTCTTATTATTTTGAGATATATTCCTTCAATACTTCGTTTTTTGAGAGTTTTAAACATGAAGGGTTGTCGAATTTTATTGAGGGCCTTTTCTGTGTCTATTGAGATAATCATGTTGTTTTTGTCTTTAGATTTGTTTATGTGATGAATTATGCTTATTGATTTGCATATGTTGAACCAGCCTTGCATCCTGGGGATGAAGCCTACTTGATCGTGGTAGATAAACTTTTTGATGTGCTGTTGTATAAATGACACATTGTCATGCCTCTTAATACTGAAGTTTTGACTTTATGGTGTGATTTCTACATCTGTTTATACCTTATCTTTTATAGAGCATAGAAAGCTAAGAATTCTACTGGTTGATAATGTCCTTTGGGCACAAATGTGGAAAAAGCCTCAAAAGACAACTGGGCCCGGGCACAGTGGCTCATGCCTATAATCCTAACACTTTGGGAGGCAGAGGCAACAGGATTGCTTCAGCCCAGGAATTCAGGACCAGTCTAGGCAATATAGGAAGACTCCGTCTCTACAACAACAAAAACCAAAATTTAGCTGGGTGTGGTGGCACATGCCTATAGTTCCAGCTACTAGGGAGGCTGAGGTGGGAGAATCGCTTGAGCCTGGGAGGTCAAAGCTGCAGTGAGTCATGATTGCATCATTGCATTTCAGCCTGGGCAACAGAGTGTGACCCTGTCTCAAAAAAAAAAAAAAAAAAAAAAAAAAAGGCAATTGCTGCATTATCTAATTAGTGCCAGAAAGAAAAGCTACATATTAAACTATTTCTAACCCAAACAGTAGCTTTGAAAAATTTCCTCCAGCATGTCATGGGCTAATGTAATAATTTTACAGAGTAATTTTGCAAATGATTAAGGTATTTTAAAAATACATTCAGAAGAATTAAGCAGGAAAATTTTTGTTCTGTCTCGTCTTTTCTTTCTTTCTTTCTTTCTCTCTTTCTTTCTTTCTTTCTTTCTTTCTTTCTCTCTCTTTCTCTCTCTCCTTCTTTCTTCCTTTCTTTCTTTCTTTCTTTCTGTCTCTCTTTCCTTTTTTTTTTTTTTTTTTGAGACGGAGTCTCGCTCTGTCGCCCAGGCTGGAGTAGAGTGGCATGATCACAGCTCACTGCAGACTTGACCTCCCAGGCTCAAGCTATCCTCCCACCTCAGTCTCCTGAGTAGCTGGGACTGTAGGTACACACCACCATGCCTGGCTAATTTTTAAATTTTCTTTTTTTTTTGAGATGGAGTCTTGCTGTGTCGCCCAGGCTGGAGTGCAGTGGCATGATCTCGGCTCACTGCAAGCTGTGCCTCCCAGGTTTATACCATTCTCCTGCCTCAGCCTCCCGAATAGCTGGGACTACAGGAGACTGCCACCACACCAGGATAATTTTTTGTATTTTTAGTAGAGACGGGGTTTCACCGTGTTAGCCAGGATGGTCTTCATCTCCTGACCTCGTGATCTGCCCGCCTCAGCCTCCCAAAGTGCTGGGATTACAGGCGTGAGCCACCTCGCCCGGCCTACATTTTTTTTTTAATAGACATGTGGGTCTCACTATGTTGCCCAGGATAGTCTTGAACTCCTGGGCTCAAGCAAACCTCCTGCCTCAGCCTCCCAAAATGCTGGGATTAGGTGTGAACCACTGTACCCAGCAATCTCTCTGTTTTATAAATGAGGAAATCATGGCATGTTACTGTTTAAGGCTATTTTTTTTGTAGTCTGAGATTTAAACAATGAGCTAGGACTAAAATCCTGGACACCCAGAACTCAATTATTAAATAGAGAAATGGCTAGATAAGACAGAAAATGATAATCAAAATGCCATTATGATCTGAATACCCTTCAAAGTGCAAATTGTTTTAAAATGTATTGCTCTTTTTTACTTAATATGTTTTTGCCTTTTTATTTCCTCTATTCTAGATTCTATGAATAGTTGAAACATATCTTCTATGGGAGGACATGTTTGGAAAAAATGTAAGCAATTATAAACTCATGATGTTACTACTGGTTTACAAAGAGTTCATTCTAATTATTTTATTTATTTTTCCCAATTGAAAAATGTTTAAATATAAATGATCCATATTTTATCTTCCTACTTAAATTCTGTATATAATATATAGCATATTTTAATTAGTTAGAGGAAGCTCTCTGCTTTAACAAATAATCTCCTTCCCACTGTGGCTCAAACATGTAGAACTTTATGCCTCACTTATATAAAAAGTCTAAGAAGGTTACAGGCCAGGTGTGATGGCTCATGCATGAAATCCCAGCACTTTGGGAGGCCAAGGCAGTCTAGTTGCTTGAATTCAGGAATTCGAGACCATCCTGGGCAACATGGTGAAATCCCATCTCTTTAAAAAATACAAAAATTAGCTGGGCATGGTGGTGTGCACCTGTAGTCCCACCTACTTGGGAAGCTGAGGTGAGAGGATCACTTGAGCCCGGCATGTGGAAGTTGCAGTGAGCTGTGATTGCACCACTGCACCCCAGCCTGGGCAGCAGAGCCAGACCCTGTCTCAAAAAAAAGAAATGTTGGAGGCAGAATATTGGGTGGCTTTTTCACACACAGTCAGTTGGGGACCTAGGTGAGGACCTAGGCTGATAGAGGCTTTGGCATTCTCATCCCATGGCTCCTGAGGTCACCTGGGGATTGGTGTTGAATTTGTGAAAGAAATACAGCAAGCACATCACCTTTGTGCATACTTCTTTGGCTAGAACTGAGGCGAATGGTCCTACCTCACTGCAAAGAAGCCTTAAAAAGATAGTTCAGCTATGTGTTCCGGGAAAAGAGGGGAAACTGGGTTTTGGTGAGCAGCTAGCAATTTTCACCTCATTTTCCCCTTCCTTTCCTGATTTGCTGCTGCATAATCTTTCCAGCCTTTGCTATGTTTCCTCTGATATGGATTCACTTTAACTTTGGATTCTATTTTCTACATTTTCTCTACCTTCACTGCCTGTTACTGAATCATGAAGCCAATGGCCTGTATTTCAGGTTTTTGTATGGCATCCTCTTCCAATACAAGCTTTTTTTTTTGTACGTCAAGTAGGGTAACTGTTGTCAGAAATAGGTCCCAAAGTGTTTATTGGCTCAAACACAAGAAGGAGATTATTTCTTGCTCACATTATCAGGATAAGGTGGTTGCTGGTTGTCAGGGTTCTTTGAGTCACACAGCCATTTAGGGATTCTGGCTGATGGGAGTCCTGCTTTCTTTGACACGTGGCTTCCAAAGTCTTCATGGTGAAACAGAGGCAGATGTATAATAAACATGTAAGGACAAGTGGGAAGGGAAAACAGGAACAAGAGGAAGGTGTAAGAGGGGAGCCAGACTGAGTGAAGATGCTCCATGCGGATGAATTGCTCTCAATTTCTGGTAATAGTGACTGGAACATAGTGACTCTCCCACCTCAGACTGCCAGCTGTGGATTGTCAGTTTATTCCCAGAGATACTGTTCTTGCAATGGGGTCACTTTAACCTGGGATTCTATTTTCTACATTTTCTTTACCTTCACTTTTAAAATGCAGGGAGACAAGAAATGTGAAGTTTTCACTTAATAGATGGGCTTTATGGACCGAATATATGTAGTCATATATTTATCTTCTTGAGAAAAGATGAGGCAAAACATTCTCTATGCCTATAAATTGAATGTATATAATGATTTCTTTTTTAAATTTTTTAAATCTTCAAGACGAGGTCTCACTCTGTTGCCCTAGCTGGAGTGCAGTGGCGTGATCACAGCTCACTGCAGCCTCTGCCTCCTGGGCTCAAGTGATTCTCCCGCCTCAGACTGCCAAGTAATGGCAACTACAGGCAAGCACCACCATACCCAGATAATTCTTTGTATTTTTAGTAGAGATGGACTTTTGCCATGTTGCCTAGGCTGGGTATATAATGATCTCTACCATCTGCTGTCTACAATGTTCTATAGAACACAGATAGCTATACTTTTTTATTAGTCAAAAACTTGAAGGAGCCATTTTAGACAAAATGTTCACTTTATTTAATTACGGCTAGAAAGATAATCTTTCAATCAGCCACTCAAAAATTTTAATTATCGCTGTTGAAAGATATCCTCCAGCGTGATATTGGCTTATTATAAGTGATTTTCCAAAGCATGTTTGCAACTAAAATCTAACACTATCACTCCAACAACCTGCCAATCGAGAAAAATGACAAGACAAGTTTCAATCATTTTAGGAGGTTTACTTGTCAAAATTAAGGACGTGTGCCCAGGAGGTCTATGCCTTTCTCCGAAGATGATTTTGAGGGCTCCAAATTTAAAGGGGAAAGGATGGGCTATTGAGAAGTACACAGTTTTCATGTAAGAGAGGGTAGGAAAAAATAGGGTAGGAAAAAATTCATGCCTTTTTCTGGCTCAGTGAATCTGCATTTTTTTAATGTAAGATGACATAGACAAAATGGGGCAGGGAAACAATCAGATATGCATTTGTGTCTGGTGGGCAGGGAGGTGACTGCACCTGTAAGGATAAGCTATCAATTTACATTGCCATGGTGAAATTTTTTTTTGAGACAGAGTTTCTCTCTGTCACCCAGGCTGGAGTGCAGTGGCACGATCTCACTGCAACCTCTCCCTCCTGGGTTCAAGCTATTCTCTAGCCTCAGCCTCCCAAGTAGCTGGGACTATAGGCCCCTGCCACCATGCCCGACCAGACTAATTTTTGTATGTTTAGTAGAGACAGGGTTTCACCATGTAGGCCAGGCTGGTCTTGAACTCCTGACATCAAGTGATCCGCCTGCCTTGGCCTCCCAAAGTGTTCGGATTACAGGCGTGAGCCACCATGCCTGGCCTGCCATGGTGAAATTTTAACAGAAATACCTTAGGGTAAAGTTGTTGGAGCTCACTAGGAATTTCCTTGTGGGAAAAATACGGGGGAGGCGTGTAGCTTTTCATCTTGTAGCCATTTTATTTAGGAACCAAAAGATGAGGCAGGTTTGCATGACCCAGATCTCAGCTTAACTTTTCACTTTGGCTTAATGAGTTTGGGGTTCCAAGATTTATTTTCCTTTCACAAACCTGAAGAGGTAGGACAGGAGAACTGTTGTCGTCCCTGCTGTTCGCCACTTTTATTCTCTAAGAGATAAACAGAAACTAGCCCTGGAAAACGAAGAATGGAAGACTTCTCTGCTGGTTTCAACCAATGGCCTGACACTGTTGGCAGACTCCCCTCCCTTTTCAAGATTTCAACATAACAGTTGACCAACTTACAAATCATTCCTTCCTGATAAATGACCACTGTCCACAGACTGGTTCTGGCAAGGTTATGGAGGCTGTGCACATAGCACCTTTATGTTCTGTTTCACCTTTTGACATATGGAGCCTAATTTTACTGCATTTTAATGTTATCTCCACCCCAAAGTGAACATGGGTCATATGTAACATATGTATTTATTTAACCTGCGTGCATGTGTGTGATCTCCCTTCAGGAATATTTATAGAGCCTCCTGTAACCTGTTGAAGATGTATACTTGGCCAACTCATTCATTTACCAAGTTGTCCAGCTCTTGATTTTTTTCTAGTTATATTGGTGAAGAAACATTCTTTATGGCTGCCTACCTATCTCACTTCTAGGAACATCATGGCATATTAGCTGTTGCCATAGATCCCCATGAGACAAGGTGAAGTCACTTGTCCTTACCTGCACACCAGGCCCATATAGTGGAAAGTATGATGTTCTATGGGTTCTATGGAATGTCTCTGAGAACAAGGTCCTTCAGGAAAACTTTGTAGCAGAAAACAACAGTTAACATAGCCCTGGGGATATGAATATGTATTCCTGTCTTTTCAATGTAAAAGTAAACTCTTTACTAATAGGGATTGAAAGAAATGTTTTTTGCCATATCAGTAGCTGGATACGAAGTGCCAAAAGGTATGTTGTTGTGTTCTAGTAATACTATCATATTTGGCACACCAGTTGCAATTGGGCTATTATAGGGTTAAATGTTCCCTGTCATCTATGTGACCCATCGGTTTGTTTTATTTTGTTTTTAACAGAGGACATACAGGTGAATTGAATGGAGATATTACAGAGGCCAGTTGATATTTTTTAGGTCTTTGAGAGTGCTAATCCCTGCAATTCCATATTTTTGCTTGGGGGATGGCAATTTCAAGGGTCTCCACTTTGCTTTTCCTACTACAATGGATATTATGTCACAAGCTAGTGAACCAATGAGGGTTCTGCTAGTTCCTAAGTGCAGTCATTAAAATTATATACACAGGGACTGGAGAAAAAATTGCAAGGTCTGTTTATGAAGCCAAAGGACACACCATGAGGCTGACTTAGGCTAGTTCTCTATTTCTCACCTGGCCTCTGTAAGAATCTATTGTGATGATCATGGAGGTGATTTACATCTCTTTATATATCTCTTTATATATCTCTTTATATATCTCTCAGCCACCTCTTTGAGAGTTATTCATCTCTCTGAGTATCTCTCATATATACACACACACATATATGCATATACATATGTGTATACATATATGTATGTATATACATGTGTGTATACATATATGTGTGTGTGTGTGTGTGTATATATATATATATATATGCTAATAAACTTCTGTTTTTCTCTTGTTAATCTGTCTTTTGTTACAGGGGCCCCAGAGGATCTGGGTAGGGGAAACTTAGAAGGGTAGTGGGAAAATTATTTTTTCCTCTTTTACACATGCAAATACACCAGGGTGCCCTGGCAGAATCATTTTCCAACAGAACCAAGAATTGTCTGGCCACGCGTGGTGGCTCACGCCTGTAATCCCAGCACTTTGGGAGGCCGAGGTGGGTGGATCACGAGGTCAAGAGATCGAGACCATCCTGGCCAACATGGTGAAACCCCGTCTCTACTAAATATACAAAAAATTAGCCGGCCGTGGTGGCAGGCACCTGTAGTCCCAGCTACTTGGGAGGCTGAGGCAGGAGAATGGCGTGAACCCAGGAGGCAGAGCTTGCAGTGAGCTGAGATTGTGCCACTGCCCTCCAGCCTGGGCTACAGAGTGAGACTCCATCTCAAAAAAAAAAAAAAGAATTGTCCGAGATTTTAGTGCTCAATGGAGGAATGCTTCCATCCCCTAAACCGAATACGATTCCATGAATTGAAAGTTGGAGGTGCTATGTAGCCACCACAGGCTTCCTGATGCCACTGGGTAAAAGGTGAAAATGATACCATCTAGTATTCAGTATGGTAATCAGTGACAAAATTACGTATAAATAACAGTAGCTTTGTGTAATAGGCAATAATCAGTAATAAAATTCAATGGGAAAAGATTGCTTTCACGGCAACAACAAAAAATACAAAACTGAATAATTGGGAAGATATAATATGATCCTTTATAGAAAGACTTTATGTTATCAGTTGTAAGTTTCGTTCCAAATTATTCAATAAGAGAACTTGATAAGACAATTTTATTATTAAAATTTTTTTTAATGATCCATTTATTTACAATTAAAAAAACTTTTAGGTTCAGGGGTATATGTGAAGGTTTGTTATATAGGGAAACTCTTGTCACGGGTTTGTTGTACAGAGTACTTCATCACCAATAGGTACTTTTTCTGCTCCTCTCCCTCTTCCCATCCTCCACCCTCAAGTAGACCCTAGTGTCTGTTCCCTTCATTGTGTTCATGAGTTCTCATCATTTAGCTCCCACTCACAACTGAGAACCTGTGGTATTTGGTTTTCTGTTCCTGAATTAGTTTGCTAAGGATAATAGCCTCCAGCTCTATCCATGTTCCTGAGACATGATCTCATTGTTTCTTATGGCTGCATACTATTCCATGGTGTATGTGTACCATATTTTCTTTATCCAATCTGTTACTGATGGGCACTTAGGTTGATTCTGTATCTTTGCTATTGTGAATAGTGCTGCAGTGGACATTTGCATGCATGTGTCTTTATGGTAGAATGATTTATATTCCTCTGGGTATGTACCCAGTAATGGGATTGCTGGGTGGAATGGCAGTTCTGCTTTTAGCACTATGAGGAGTTGCCACACTGCTTTCCACAGTGGTTGAACTAATTTACACTCCCATCAATAGTGTATAAATGTTCCCTTTTCTCCACAACCTTACTAGCTGTTATTTTTTGACTTTTTAGAAAGAGGCATTTTGACTGGTGTGAGATGGTGTCTCATTGTAGTTTTAATTTGCATGTCTCTAACGATCAGTGATATTGAGCTTTTAAAACATGCTTGTTGGCCGCATGTGTATCTTCTTTTGGAAAGTGTCTTTTCATCCGGGCATGGTGGCTGATGCCTGTAATCCCAGCACTTTGGGAGGCCGAGGTGGGTGGATCACCTGAGGTCGGGAGTTCAAGACCAGCCTGACCAATGTGGAGAAACCCCGTCTCTACTAAAATACAAAATCAGTCAGGTGGTGCATGCCTGTAATCCCAGCCACCTGGGAGGCTGAGGCAGGAGAATTGCTTGAACCCGGGAGGCAGAGGTTGTGGTGAGCCAAGATCACGCCATTGCACTCTGGCCTGGGCAACAAGAGTGAAACTCCATCTTAAAAAAAAAAAGTGTCTTTCATGTCCTTTGCCCACTTTTTAATGGGGTTATTTCTTTTTGTCTTGTAAATTTGTTTAAGTTCCCTATAGAAGCTGGCTATTAGACCTTTGTCAGATGCATAGTGTGCAAATATTTTCTCCCATTTTGTAGGTTGTCTGTTTACTCTGTTGATTGTTTCTTTTGCTGTGCAGAATCTCTTAAGTTTAATTAGATCCCATTTGTCAAATTTTGCTTTTGTTGCTATTGCTTTTGTCTTTATCATGAAATCTTTGCCTGTTCCTATGTCCAGGATGGTATTGCCTAGGTTGTCTTCCAGAGTCTTCATAGTTTTTGATTTTACATTAAGTCTTTAATTGATCTTGAGTTGATTTTTGTATATGGTGTAAGGAAGAGGTCTAGCTTCAATCTTCTATCCCAGTTATCCCAGCACCATTTATAAAATAGGGAGTCTTTTTCCCATTGCTTGTTTTTATCGACGATCAGATGGTCATAGGAGTGTGGTCTTATTCTGTGCTCTTCGTTCTGTTCCATTGGTCTATGTGGCTTTTTTTTTGGTACCAGTACCATGCTGTTTTGGTTACTGAAGCCCTGTAATATAGTTTGAAGTGGGGTAACGTGATGCCTTCAGCTTTGTTCTTTTTGCTTAGGATTGCCTTGGCTATTTGGGCTCTTTTTTGGTTCTGTATGAATTTTAAAATAGTTTTATCTAGTTCTGTGAAGAATGTCATTGGTGGTTTGATAGGAATAACATTGAACCTGTAAACTGCTTTGGGCAGTATGGTCATTTTAATGATATTGACTGTTTCTACACAGGAGCATGGGATGTTTTTCCATTTGTTTGTGTCATCTCCAATCTCTTTGAGCAGTGTTTCGTAATTCTCATTGTAGAACTCTCTCACCTCCCTGATTAGCTGTATTCCTAGGTATTTTATTCTTTTAGTGGCAATTGTGAATGAGATTGCCTTCCTGATTTGGCTCTTGGCTTGGCTATTGCTGGTGTATAGGAATACTAGTAATTTTCATATACTAATTTTGTATTCTGAAACATCTCTGAAATTGTTTATCAGCAGAAGGAGCTTCTGGGCTGAGACTAGGGGGTTTTCTAGATATAGAATCAATGTTGTGTGCAAACAGGGATAGTTTGACTTCCTCTTTGCCTATTTAGATACCCTTTATTTTTTTCTGCTTCCTGACTGCTCTGACCAGGACTTCCAATACTTTGTTGAATAGGAGTGGTGAGAGAGGGAATCCTTGTCTTGTGCTTGTTTTCAAGGGGAATGCTTCTTTTGCGCATTCCATATAATGTTGTCTGTGGGTTTGTCATAAATGGCTCTTATTATTTTGGGATATGTTCCTCAATACCTAGCTTATTGAGAATTTTTAACATGAAGGGGTGTTGAATTTTATTGAAAGCTGAAAAGACGGTTTTAAAATGGCAATGATAAATTTTGGAGAATTGTGATGTGGAGTTTCCACAGGAGCAGTCACAGATTAGTGGGACCACAGGCACATTGCGTAGCTAGCTGCCAGAGGATCTGAAGGGAGGAGATAAGAATGGCTAAATAAACATTATAATGTTCTTGCTTGTTTCCTGAATTGCAAAAATGTTTCTGAAATTCTTCTCAAAGATGTCCTGTACTTGAATTCCCAGTCTGGTGAATTTATCTTCCTAAAAAAGCAAAGAAAAAAACAATATAGCAGTTATGCAATGAGCTGAGACACCCAGTGTTGCAGATAATCTGGGGCCTCATTTTAGGTTATCCCAAATGTTAAGTGAGAATTAATCTACTTGAGTTGCTTATGTTCCTTGATAATTTAATTATTTATCTTTATCTGGAAGACAAGTCAAAATACTACTACACTGAAATCTAATTTCTGATCAAAAGCTTATGGATTAATTTAACTTTTAAAAATTCTACTTGTGTGATTTTTATGCACAGCATTTTCTGAGTAACCTTATGATAGTACAGAAATGTTTAAGGCCATTTAATAATGTCTTCCTTTTCCCTTTACTCTCACCCCTTGACATAATCCTTATTAATTTCTGAAATAGTGCCAGGAAGTTCAGATGTAAAGAAATTCAATATTTTGACATTTGAGACCTTTGATTTGGTATCTTCCTCTAGAGAAGAGAAACACTTTAAATGCCTTTAAAGTGCACTTCTATTTCCAGTAGAAACAAATGAGTCTGCAGCCTACTGTTCTCTATGGGTGAAAACAAACCATCTAGAAATGAGTCAACTCTGAGGTTATATATAGGACCATGTTTGCAATGGCACCTTCCAGTTTGTTGTTATTTTCTCCACATGCACTACAGGGCTTTTAGGATACTTCCAGGATTTGTACTTGTATGGGCTTGTCATATGATAAGGGCGATTGTAACATTTACCTGACATGAAAAGATGACAGGGAAAGTGACTTTAAAGTGATGTAATTGAAAGAGAAAAGGAAGCAGGGAGAGCCACTCACCCTGTAAAATTCCTTGTGGTTATGAAAGATGAGACGCATGTCCTGCACAAACCCTTCTACTCGGGTGTACATCTGCTCATTCAAACTTGTCTTGACTTTGTTTAACCACATGGGCTTCTGTGGGCCCTGAGACCCCTCTCTGTTCTGTTGAGTAAAAGACCAAAATGAGGCTATCAGCCCAGTGCCATAGACTCCCACTATTATGGAATAAAGGTTTGTGGAGTTCCCCCAATCCATAGGTCAAAATCCTAACCCCCCTGTGAAGGTACTAGGAGGTGGGACCTTTGGGAGGTCATGAGGTAAGAAGGGTGGAGCCCTCATGAATAGGATTAGGGCTCTTATAAAAGAGACTCTGGAGAGTTCTCTCCTTCTCTTTCTGCCACTCAAGAACACAGGGAGCAACCCTGTGTCGTCTCTGACACCTAGAAGACAGCCCTCTCCAGAACCGGACCCTACTGACACCCTGATCTTGGACATGCAGCCTCCGGGACCGTGAGAAAAACATTTCTGCTGTTTAAGCCACCTAATCTATGATAAATTTCTATAGTAGCCTGAACTAAAAACTCATCAACAAGCCAAATAGAATGGCACCTTGTGCCATGGGATTCAGATCACAGATTTGACAAATGCCAGTATAAGCATTTTTGTTTGGCTGTTACTTACATAATACGGTTCTGAGGCGAAAAAGCAGCTTTTCGAATCACAGTAGACCTTCAAGAGGAGGAATTCACATTTCTGCAAAAGATGGAGGCCATTTCAAATTAAATGCAATTTAGAGAGAAAGAGCTCATATGCTTGCCCAAAGAGAACACACGACTCCCAAACCTGTGGACTCTTTGAAACAAACATGGCATGGGGAGTTTCTTTGGACCGGGATTTTTCTTTGGAATATGAATTGTAGCGTTAGGTCATGGAGCAAAGCACACCATAGGCCAGCAGTTTGCTTTTGGGCTCCATTCCTTGAGCACTTTGTAAGACTGTGCTTCTCCTGCCCAGGTGAACAGAAAGGAAGAGGCTTCAGGTTCACATTTTTACTCACCAACTGCTCCTCAGGCAGCATCTGCCTCATCAGGACTTCAGATTCCTGATGACCTGATTGGCTTTCTGGGCATCTTTCCTGAATAGTCTTTATCCTGCAGAAGATGCAACTCCACGGGTTCCTGAGAGATGGGGCATAAAGTGAGCAATGGCAGGTTCTGTGAATCAGCCGCCATTCCTACAGTTGTTCAAGTCCTCTGCTCAAGAATGCCTAGTGGTTTCCACCTTGTATCCAACTTCTCTCTTGGAGGCCTCTGCACTAGAGCCCCATTTGGACTCAATAGCCAAAGGCATGCCCTCCCACCAATAGTGATAGCAGGGGTGATCATCTGTTGGCTGAAGTGCCCCATGAGTGACAGAATCTCATTCACCTCAAAACTTAGGGTTTCCATCTGAGCCACTGGGAACTTGATAATGAGCACGGTTTGCTACAGTTAATGGAAATGAGTACCTTAAGCACAAAGTGTTGGGCCTCTATGAGTCAATCAGATCACAGAAAAATCAGAAAACAAGTTCTTGTTTCTCAACTTTGCTGAGTAAGCAGAGAGCACAGGCTATAGGCATCCTCTCCCTTGGCCCTGCCATATCTTATACCTAGAATCTGTGCTGCAGAAACTTCTTGAAAAGGAAATCTCCAGAGAGGTGTCAGATATCTTTCATTTGTTCCTAGATTCATTCTCCAACCTTCTCTACTAGGCTGTCTGTGCTAGGAGGCTTTTGATAATCAGGCAAGCACAATGACCCATCCTAGTGATGCCAGCATCCCCTTGGCCATGTAGTGCTTGCTCAAGGAGCCTGTTACAAAGTGCTCCTTTGAGAGCACTTTGCATCTCTGGTGCAGAGATAGGGGCTATACAAGGGCTCAACCAAAAAGCTGGTTTTTCTTCTGCCTCTGCAGATTGGCCAACTGGTCAAAAGCAGAGGTTTATGCTGATCCCCTGAGATGACACCCTGGGAGCAGGTGGGTCACATTAGCCTCCTCCATTATGGAAGGGCAATGCTCTGCCCTCATAGAGTCAGACACATTCCCGGTAGAGATCATCCTCTCAGCCTTAACAATTCTGTCCACACACCACTCACAGAGCACCTTATCAATCTCCGTGGTATCCTGCACACCATCACCTCTGTCCAAAGGCACATTTTTTAGCAAAGGAAGTGAGCAGGGGACTCACACTTGCAGAATTCACAGGTCTCAACATGTGACCTGTGACCCAGGGTCAGTTGGCTTGATAGACTGCTGCAGCACTGGCTTTACCAGCTGTGTGATGGTCCCACAGCAGGTGGTGTACTCTTTAAACCAGCAGGCAGTGTATGATGGCATCACCCCATTAGAGAGCATGGGTCTGGGAGCCAAGTAGGGGAGGTAGAAGTTGACACCTCTTACTATTGCACTCAATAACCACTTGAAGAGTTTTTGCTTCCCATTAATCTGCTGCTACCAGCACTGTTCAACAGCTCTGGATAATACTTGTGGATCTTGATGCTAAGGAGCCTGCTCCTTATGCATCAAGAAACACATAACCAGGTACAGAAACTCTGCAGAGTACTCATGAGTGGCAGGAGGAGCTGTACCACAAGAAGGAAGGGCTCAGGGAAGGGGACATGTCTTACTCACTTGTTAGCTTCCACGGATGGGATGTGGCAGTGCTCATGAAAGGATCTTGGACAAGTGTCGCAGCAGAACAGCCGTCCCCATTTGTTGCACACCTCACATATATTTGAGTTTTCCGGCTAGAAGGGGAGATGTAGACATCACCGGGATCAGTGAGACCCTTGGACCCTAGAATATGTGACCTTTTTATGTATCAAGGGCACACTTGTAAATTTCTGTCCTCAAAATATTAAAGATTGCTGAGTGGAGATCTCAGAAGACATTTTGGTCTGCGGCAAAGTTCAGTAGATAGTGGCTGTGTGTCAGGCCAGAAAAGTTTTCTTTATGAAACCAGAGATTCTGACATGATGACTAGTGACAAAAATAGGATGAATTAGAGATTTTTTGAGCAATTTATTAAACAGCTGGGAAAACCTGGCCCAGAAATAGTGTCTTTTCTAGCTGTCTACATCGTATCCTTTAAACTGACTTGCCAAAGGGTGATTTACTGAGAATTTAATATGATGGAATAAACTTCTGAGATATCACTGCAACCCACACTCTTGTCATAGCAAGAATGAGTTGAAGAAAGGGCTTGGGGGAGGAGTTCCTAGATGTCAGTTCTTTTCCTGGAGGGCTCTGGGCCTGCAGCAGTACCTCTGGGATGGAAAAACCGTGGGCAAGATGACCAGGTGGGCACCAGGGAGTACAGGGCTTTTTGCTTTTTGCTCTGGGAACCTGGAGGAAGAGTCCCCATGACTTAGGCATGTAAGGTGTTGTAATTTCTCTTCCTCTACAAAGTCACTATACAAAGAAGAGACTAAAGTCACATAAATAAAAACAATTCTAGGCTGCAAGATATATCTTGCCCATGTGTTCCCTTTCAATGGCAGAATTTGAGTGGCCTATTAGGAGCCATTTCTTGGGCACATCTCCAAGGGGGGTGCCTGAGCTTCCCCTGGAGTGGGGCCTTGTAACTGTTTTTCCTTTTTGTTGTAACAGATGAGACTCATCGATGCTGACCACTATTTTTAGGCTGCTGGGTCAAGGTTTCTGATACATCATCCTATAAAGTACACTGCAAGTGGGCCCCAAGAAAGAATAAATACCACAGGCAAATCCTATGTTTGAAGTTCCATTGTCTAGAAAGCCTGCAAACTTGGTGTATGTCTCTTTAACCTTTTTAGTAAGAATTTTTTTCTTTTGCTTACAAGTGGTTCTCAACTTGCTCTACAGTAGAATCCCCTGGGAGCATTAAAAAACATCTCTGGAGCCCCATTACCAGAGATTTTGATTCAGTTAGTCTGGGTTGGTGTATAGGCATCAGTATGTCTTAAATATTGTCCAGATGGTTCTAATGTGCAGTCAATAGTTGAGAACTCTGGCCTCTAATGCAGTGGTCTCTGGACCAGCAGCAGCAGCACCTGGAACTTGTTAGAAATATACAGCCTTGGGCTCTGCCTCTCACTTGCTGAATCAGAAGCCTAGGGGTAGCTCCTAGCCAGCTGTGGTCTATGAAGCCCTTCAGGTGGTTCTGATGGACCCTACACAATTGTGGCAATTGTGATCGAACTGTATTGCACTACAGTGACTCACAACTTTTCTTGTGCTAGAAAAACACAAAACACCAGAGGAGCTTTGGAAACACCAATTCTCAGGCAGCACCTCAGACCAATAACATCAGAATCTTTGTCAGGCGGTTGCGGGGGATCCCCAGGTGATTGCAACGTGCAGCCAAGGTTGAAAACCCACATTACAAAGTGGTTTCTCCTGAGTAAGGGCTGGGAGGTCATAACTAGAGTCATTAACAGCCTACAAGTTTGTCTAGGAAAGTTTTTGAAAAGGGGTGAGGACTTCCTTGCTGGAAGAGTTGCCTTTTCCTCTTCACAGAGGGCTTGGCTGTGGGCTGTAAGAAATGGCCCTATGGGTCTCCCTTAGTCATCAAACAAGTTATGCAGACCCCAGAGATGAGAGCTGTTTGACTACTGAAGGGTCTCACCTCCAGCAAAGAAACAGAAACAGTGTGGATTGATCTAGATCTTGCTAGGGAAGAGCATTGGCTAAGAAAATAGAGGGCATGGCAACTTCTTTTCTATCCCCTCTCAATTAGTGTCCTGTACCAGTCCAGCTGCATGGCATTTTTGTTTTGAGACAGGGTCTCACTCTGTCACCTCGGCTGGAGTGCAGTGGTGCGATCACAGCTCACTGCAGCCTCAACTTCCTGGACTTAAGTAATCCTACCACCTCAGCCCCTGGAGTAGCTGGGACTACAGGTGTGTCCCACCATGCCTGACTAATTTTTGGTATTTTTTGTGGAGGTGGGGTTTTGCCATGTTGCCCAGGCTGGTCTCAAACTCATGGGTTCAAGTGATCCTCTTGCCTCAGCCTCCCAAAGTGCTAGGATTGCAGGCATGAATCACTGTGCCTAGCTTACATGGCATTCTTACAGCAAAAGGTGCTCCTTGCAGTTGTGCAAAAGGCTGACCCTGCCTAAAATGCTCATCTCATTGCAATGAAAAGAATCAAAATGTGACTTTGTTTAGACAGGGAAGTCACCCATGATTTTGTTATTGAAATACCAGGGGTTCAGTTTAGGTCCTGCTGCTTGCCACGCAGAAAGCCAATCACTGAGACAATGAGTATTGCCAAGCAAGAAGGCTTTAGTCGGGTGCTGCAGCCAAGGGGATGAGAGATCAGTCTGAAATCTGTCTCCCTGACTCACTAAAGTTAGGGGTTTATATAGCAGAAATGTATCTATATTCAGGGAAGCAGGAATTAGGGAGTGGTAAGGAGGAATTGGTTAACAGGAAGGAGATTATTGGTTAGGCAGTCATAAGGGGTGAGGAGTTTGGCATCTCATTGTCCAAATACAGTAATCTGGTGAGTTTCAGTCCCTTGATGTTATGTGGGGGTCTGACGGTTGGTTTCCTGAGAAAGAACTCAGATAAGACAAATGTAACTCTCTCAAGTTTTAAGACTGAGAGGGTCAATTTCTATGTTTATTCAAAATAAACTGTAAAAATCAGATTTATGGGACAATTGGGTTCATTTCAGTGCCCCTTTTCTGTTTATCAATTCCTCAATCATGGGGAACTGGTTGTCAATCTTTCTGGCTGTTTCATGCTGATGAGGAGTGTCGTGGGCAAATCCATACCATGGGTGACCCACATAGCCACCCAAAAATCAAAAGTTAACTGAATACTATAGGTTTCTTCTGAAACACACTCTTTTTCTCTCCAGTCTCCCACTTCCACTAAAGACAAATCACAGCAGGACCAACCTACCTGCCAAATAAGCTTCAGTCCCATATACTTGGCTTATTTGCCCACACAAAGTGCAGCAAGAACCATTGTCCATGTAGGCTATCTTAAACTGGCTTTGCTGGAACCTCTCACAAGGCCATTTCAGTCAAAGCCCTGGGAAAATGACCAGTTCCTCCAACTGTGTCTCATTATAAAAGAAAACATATTCTTTTTTTTTTTTTTTTTTTTTTTTTTTTTGAGATGGAGTCTTGCTCTGTCACCCAGGCTGGAGTGGAGTGGCATGATCTTGGCTCCCTGCAGCCTCCACCTCCCAGGTTCAAGTGATCCTCCTGCCTCAGCCTCCCGAGTAGCTGGGACGACAGGCATGCACCACCACTCCTGGCTAATTTTTGTATTTTTAGTAGAGACGGGGTTTCACCATGTTGGCAGGCTGGACTCAAACCCCTGACCTCAAGTGATCCACCTGCCTTGGCCTCCCAAAGTGCTAGGATTACAGGCATGAGCCAACACACCCAGCAGAAAACAGATTCTTATTAAACATACGCAAACACATTGCCATGAATTAATAATATTCACAAATAGTTTATGAATTCTGGAGAAATTAGGCAGAGAGAGAGAGAAATATGCCTCAAACTTAGTTTACAAGAGTAATGCTCCTCTCAATTGTTAAAGGCAGCAATGTTTCAAACAAAAAAAATCCATAAGAAATTATTTCTGGCCTCCATTTGTTCAGTGTAGGCAACTAACTCCTGCTCTGCTTCATATTAGGTTAGTAAATTTTATGAATGTATCAGTTTTTCAGTTAGTTTCTTGGACGTTTTCTCTCTCTAATCTAATGAAACAACCTCCAAAGTCATCAGAAACCTACATTCAAAAGTCCTTTTCATGAACTCCCCCAAAGAAGCAAACCATGGACTGTAGCTGATTATAAGATACTTTTTTTTTTTTGAGATGGAGTCTCACTCTGTCGCCCAGGCTAGAGTGCAGTGGCACAATCTCGGCTCACTGCAACCTCCACCTCCCAGGTTCAAGGAATTCTCCTGCCTCAGACTCCCGAGTAGCTGGGACTACAGGTGCCTGCCACCATGCCCGGCTAATTTTTTTTATTTTTAGTAGAGACGGGGTTTCACCATCTTGGCCAGGGTGGTCTCGAACTCCTGACCTTGTGATCCACCCGTCTTGGCCTCCCAAAGTGCTGGGATTACAGGCGTGAGCCACCATGCCCGGCTGATTATATGTTACTTTTTGAGAAGAATCAATGCAAAATAACAATAGTGGATGTCAAAACTCTTAAGCAAGCCATAGTTAAAGACACAGTTGATGAGGAAATTTGGTTATTTCTGTGACATATAACAATTCAACATAATAAGCATAATTATTACTGATGGCATATATTAAAACATGCAAGAATCATACAATCCTGGAACACATATTAACAACACATCTATATAAATATAACCCAAAAGAAGTTGACCACCACCTCAGATGTGACAACGCTTTCTGCATAATTCTAATGTAACAAATAAGTCAATAAGTCTAGTATGTCTCTCTTGAACTTCAGGGAACCTAATGTGCAAATAAGTTAGTTTGAGGTCAAAAAGGCCGAATTTAGAACTTGAAATTTTTACTCTTGGAAAGTCTGTCAAATATCAAAGTTTTAAGACATTTGATATTACAAAATAGGATCACAGGTCACTGTAAAGTAGTCATTGATTTAGCTAAGACTTCTCTTTTTTTTGAGACGGAGTCTCGCTCTGTCACCCAGGCTGGAATGCACTGGTGCAATCTCAGCTCACTGCAACCTCCGCCTCCTGGGTTCATGCCATTCTCCTGCCTCAGCCTCCCGAGTAGCTGGGACTACAGGTGCCCACCACCACGCCCGGCTAATTTTTTGTATTTCAGTAGAGATGGAGTTTCACCATGTTAGCCAGGATGGTCTCAATCTCCTGACCTCCTGATCCACCCACCTCAGCCTCCCAAAGTGCTGGGATTACAGGCGTGAGCCACCGCACCCGCTGACATTTACCCTTTTCTAGGGAGTAGACTCAGTTTCCCAAACAATGAAACCTAATAAAGACAGCATGAGGCCACCTAAATGTCTTTTTCCTCCTTTTTTTGCACCCTGTAGTTATTCAAAAGGTAAATAAAAATATTTCATTAGCTCTCATATGAAAATTTTGTTCAAAAGAGAAAACCAAATTTCACCTTTGTATAGTGTATTACTAATATTAAAAGTAATTTTTAAAACCTTATAAACAATTTTAATTTTATCAGTTTGTTTGTAGAGTAAGATCTCCATAAACCTTTTACAATCTTCTATTAAAGAGCCGATTAATGCTCCAGGAAAATGCTGTTATTCTGACACATGGGCCTAGACTCTGGCCTTGAATCAGTGTGCTTTTGATATTAATATTTAATTTATAGAAAACCCTCAAATCTCACATGTCCACATCTGCCATGACAGTCCCTTGGCCTAGACAGATTGAATAGTTTTAATTTCTGGCCCAGTGTCTCATGAAAGCAGTTCATTTTGACTGTCATTTTCTCCCAGGTCTGAAGATGAGGCTTAAACTAGGGTAATGTTCAAGATTTAGCAGAAGTAGGTGCCTTTTTCAGACCCAGAAGTTAAAGCCCTGTAACTTAACAGCACAAGGATTGGTTAAGAGGACATTTATGCTGCAGAAAGTCCTATCATTTTCTGTGACATGTCACAAACACTGTGATTTAGTGTCCAGTAGTTATTACTTCCTATAGCACTTCAAACCATTGTATTAAAGTATTTAGGTTACTCCTCGCATATATCTAATTGCTAGCATTCTGGTGACAGAACTGTGACTAAAAGTGTAAAAAATGGGATAGGTCCTATTTTAAACTTATCAAAATAAAGACAATTAACTTTTCTCTCCATCATTAAAAAATGGTAAATGTAAATATCAGTTTTGGAAATTTAGCATGAGGATAAATAATCTCCTTTCATTTAGATACTATGCAACAAAACAGGGACAAAATGAGATTAAGCACACACACAGTAATTTCTTTTTAGCTATTTTAAAAGAGCATCAGGGCCGGGCACGGTGGCTTATGCCTGTAATCCCAGCACTTTGGGAGGCCGGGGCAGGTGGATCACATAAGGTTAGGCGTTCGACACCAGCCTGGCCAACATGATGAAACCTCGTCTCTACTAAAAATACAAAAATTAGCCAGGCGTGGTGGTGGGCGCCTGTAATCCCAGCTACTGGGGAGGCTGAGGCAGGAGAGTTGCTTGAACCCAGGAGGCAGAGGTTGCAGTAAGCCAAGATCGCGACACTGCACTCCAGCCTGGGTGAAAGAGCGAGACTACGTCTCAAAAATAAATAAATAAATAAAAATAAAAATAAAAGAGCACTAGCACACATTTCCATGATTGGTAATATAGTACTGACAACTAATTAGGTAACTTTCTAATCAGTTACAATACTGACAACTGATTAGGTAACTTTCACCACTAGACTCTTCAAACCAGTGAAACACTTGTGGATATTTTGTTTTCAAGTACACACATGAAAGACTCAACAGTGATAGAAGGCTTGGGATCAAAACTCACTAGTCTCACATCTTTTTTTTTTTTATTACTACTTAATCTAAGTGAATGTCACTTAATTTTAATAATGGTAAAGATAACTAAAGTAATTTGAGAGAAATCCCAATTAGTATAATTTCCTTAAGGATAGGCCAATATTTTCTGAACATTAAAACTTTGTACCTATATCACAGTTTTTCCTCATTAAAGGAAAAGATCTGAAACTAACTCAAATTATTGATTGAATTGAATTACCTTGGAAAAAAACATCATTTAAACATTTCTATTCTCACCTACTTTTCAAATAACAAAATAAAAAAGTGCTATTACTTTTCAGAACTTATGTCTTTTATTTATTTATTTTTTTCTAGGAACCGTAAAGCTCTTACAGCTCTCTAGATCGTTAGAAGTAAGAAAAACCATCAAATTTTAAGTGGTCGGTGTCCTCTATTAATTTTTGGAGACCTGACAAAGGTAGATTAGGAAGTTTAGAGAAATAGAGAAAATAATGAATTGTTGGAAACACATAGGAAACAAAATGACTATTCATAGAACCAAATAAAAGCCTTCCATTAGAAACTAAAAAACATAAATTCATATATGTATATATAAGGAAAATCCAAAGGAGAACAAACAGCAAATACATGAAAATTAGGAGCAAAAACAAATAAATAGGAAACCAACCTCCAATTATTCTTCTACTCAGTTTACCTTGGAGGCTATAGTATTATTCAGAGCCTAAAAACATATGATGCATATTTTGTTCCTGATACACAATTAAATGTCCTTAGGTCCACCACACCCACTATACATTTTGTACAATTTAGAAACTCACTTTAGGTATGTAACTAGGAAGTACTTTAGTGCTAGTACTATCTATGCACAATTGCAGATAGAATGTGAAGCAATGCAAGCATGTATGTGAAATTTGGCTCCACACTACATCTGGCTTCATGCTTAATTATATTAAAAAAAAGAAATGCCAAACTGCCAATGTATTTCTTTTTTTAAATTAATTAATTTATTTTTCTTTTTTCTTTTTTTAAATATACTTTAAATTCTAGGGTACATGTGCACAACGTGCAGGTTTGTTATATAGGTATACATGTGCCATGTTGGTTTTAGCATTTCTCCTAATGCTATCCCTCCCCCAGCCCCTCAACCCCCCAACAGGCCCCGGTGTGTGATGTTCCCCGCCCTGTGTCCATGTGTTCTCATTATTCAACTCCACCTATGAGTGAGAACATGCGGTGTTTGGTTTTCTGTCCTTGTGATAGTTTGCTTAGAATGATGGTTTCCAGCTTCATCCATGTCCCTGCAAAGGACACAAACTCATCCTTTTTTATGGCTGCATAGTATTCCATGGTGTATATGTGCCACATTTTCTTAATCCAGTCTATCATTGATGGACATTTGGGTTGGTTCCAAGTCTTTGCTATTGTGAATAGTGTTGCAGTAAACATACGTGTGCATGTGTCTTTATAGTAGCATGATTTATAATCCTTTGGGTAGATACCCAGTAATGGGATCGCTGGGTCAAATAGTATTTCTAGCTCTAGATCCTTGAGGAATTGCCACACTGTCTTCCACAACGGTTGAACTAATTTACACTCCTGCCAACAGTGTAAAAGCATTCCTATTTTTCCACATCCTTTCCAGCATCTGTTGTTTCCTGACTTTTTAATGATCGCCATTCTACCTGGCGTGAGATGGTATCTCATTGTGGTTTTCATTTGCATTTTTCTGATGACCAGAGATGATGAGCATTTTTTCATGTTTGTTGGCTGCATAAATGTCTTCTTTTGAAAAGTGTCTGTTCATATCCTTTGCCCACTTTTTGATGGGGTTGTTTTTTCTTGTAAAGTTAAGTTCTTAGTAGATTCTTGATATTAGCCCTTTCTCAGATGGGTAGATTGCAAAGATATTCTCCCATTCTGTAGGTTGCCTGTTCACTCTGATGATAGGTTCTTTTGCTGTGCAGAAGCTCTTTATTTAATTAGAACCCATTTGTCTATTTTGGCTTTTGTTGCAATTGCTTTTGGTGTTTTAGTCATGAAGTCTTTGCCCATGCCTATATCCTGAATGGTATTGCCTAGGTTTTCTTCTAGGGTTTTTATGGTTTTAGGTCTAACATTTAAGTCTTTAATCTGTGTTGAGTTAATTTTTGTGTAAGGTGTAAGGAAGGTGTCCAGTTTCAGCTTTCTACATATGGCTAGCCAGTTTTCCCAGCACGATTTATTAAATAGGAAATCCTTTCCCCATTTCTTGTTTTTGTCAGGTTTGTCAAAGATCAGATGGTTGTAGATGTGTGATGTTATTTCTGAGGCCTCTGTTCTGTTCCATTGGTCTATATATCTGTTTTGGTACCAGTACCATGCTGTTTTGGTTACTGTAGTCTTGTATTATAGTTTGAAGTCAGGTAGCATGATACCTCTAGCTTTGTTCTTTTTGCTTAGGATTGTTCTGGCTATGTGGGCTCATTTTTGGTTCCATATGAACTTTAAAGTAGTTTTTTCCAATTCTGTGAAGAAAGTCAGTGGTAGCTTGATGGGGATAGCATTGAATCTATAAATTACCTTGGGCAGTATGGCCATTTTCATGATATTGATTCTTCCTATCCATGAGCATGGAATGTTCTTCCATTTGTTTGGGTCCTCTTTTATTTTGTTGAGCAGTGGTTTGTAGTTCTCCTTGAAGAGGTCCTTCACATCCCTTGCAAGTTGGATTCCTAGGTATTTTATTCTCTTTGTAGTAATTGTGAATGGGAGTTCACTCATGATTTGGCTCTCTGTTTGTCTGTTATTAGTGTATAGGAATGCTTGTGATTTTTGCACATTGATTTTGTATCCTGAGACTTTGCTAAATTTGCTTATCAGCTTAAGGAGATTTTGGGCTGAGACGATGGGATTTTCTAAATATACAATCATGCCATCTGCAAACAGAGACAATTTGACTTCCTGTTTTCCTAAATGAATGCCGTTTATTTCTTTCTCTTGCCTGACTGCCCTAGCCAGAACTTCCAACACTATGTTGAATAAGAGTCGTGAGAGAGGGCATCCTTGTCTTGTGCCGGTTTTCAAAGGGAATGCTTCCAGTTTTTGCCCATTCAGCATGATATTGGCTGTGGGTTTGTCATAAATAGCTCTTATTATTTTGAGATACATTCCATCAATACCTAGTTTATTGAGAGAGTTTTTAGCATGAAAGGCGTTGAATTTTGTCAAAGGCCTTTTCTGCATCTATTGAGATAATCATGTGGTTTTTGTCATTGGTTCTGTTTACGTGATGGGTTACGTTTATTGATTTGCGTATGTTGAACCAGCCTTGAATCCCAGGGATGAAGGTGACTTGATCATGGTGGATAAGCTTTTGGATGTGTTGCTGGATTTGGTTTACCAGTATTTTTTTGAGGAGTTTCGCATTGATGTTCATCAGGGATATTGGCCCAAAATTCTCTTTTTTTGTTGTGTCTCTACCAGCCTTTGGTATCAGGATGATGCTAGCCTCATAAAATAAGTTAGGGAGGATTCCCTCTTTTTCTACTGATTGAAATAGTTTCAGAAGGAATGGGACCAGCTCCTCTTTGTACCTCTGGTAGAATTGGGCTGTGAATCTGTCTGGTCCTGGACTTTTTTGGTTGGTAGGCTGTTAATTATTGCCTCAATTTCAGAACCTGTTATTGGTCTATGCAGAGATTCAACTTTTTCCTGGTTTAGTCTTTGGAGGGTGTATGTGTCCAGAAATTTATCCATTTCTTCTAGATATTCTAGTTTATTTGCATAGAGGCATTTATAGTATTCTCTGATGGTAGTTTGTATTTCTGTGGGATCTGTGGTGATATCCCCTGTATCATTTTTTATTGCATCTATTTGATTCTTCTCCCTTTTCTTCTTTACTAGTCTTGCTAGTGGTCTATCTATTTTGTTGGTCTTTTCAAAAAACAAGCTCCTGGATTCATTGATTTTTTGATGGGTTTTTTGTGTCTCTATCTCCTTCAGTTCTGCTCTGATCTTAGTTGTTTCTTGCTTTCTGTTAGCTTTTGAATTTGTTTTCTCTTGCTTCTCTAGTTCTTTTAATTGTGATGTTAGGGTGTTCATTGCAGATCTTTCCTGCTTTCTCTTGTGGGCATTTAGTGCTATAAATTTCCCTCTACACACTGCCTTAAATGTGTCCCAGAGATTCTGGTACACTGTGTATTTGTTCTCATTGGTTTCAAAGAACATATTTATTTCTGCCTTCATTTCGTTATTTACCCATACTCATTCAAGAGCAGGTTGTTCAGTTTCCATGTAGTTGTGCAGTTTTGAGTAGTTTATTAATCTTGAGTTCTAATTTAATTACACTGTGGTCTGAGAGACAGTTTATTGTGATTTCTATTCTTTTACATTTGCTGAGGAGCGTTTTACTACAAATTACGTGGTCACTTCTAGAATAGGTGTGATGTGGTGGTGAGAAGAATGTATATTCTGTTGATTTGGGGTGTAGAGTTCTGTAGATGTCTATTAGGTCTGCTTGGTCCAGAGCTGAGTTCAAGTCCTGGATATCCTTGTTAACCTTCTGTCTCATTGATATGTCTAATATTGACAGTGGGGTGTTAAAGTCTCCCATTTTTATTGTGTGGGAGTCTCAGTCTCTTTGTAGGTCTGTAAGGACTTGCTTTATGAATCTGGGTGCTCCTGTATTGGGTGCATGTATTTAGGATAGCTAGCTCTTCTTGTTGAACTGATTCCTTTACCATTATATAATGGCCTTCTTTGTCTCTTTTGATCTTTGTTTTGGTTATGGTTAAAGTCTGTTTTATCAGAGACTAGGATTGCAACCCCTGCTTTTTTTTGCTTTCCATTTGCTTCGTAGATCTTCCTCCATCCCTTTATTTTGAGCCTATGTGTGTCTTTGCATGTGAGTTGGGTCTCCTGAATACAGCACACTGATGGATCTTGACTCTATCCAATTTGCCAGTCTATGTCTTTTAATTGGGTCATTTAGCCCTTTCACATTTGAGGTTAATACTGTTATGTTTGAGTTTGATCCTGTCATTATGATGTTAGCTGGTTATTTTGCCTGTTGATTGATGGAGTTTCTTCATAGCATCGATGGTCTTTAACATTTGGAATGTTTTTGCAGTGGCTGGTACTGGTTGTTCCTTTCCATGTTTAATGCTTCCTTCAGGAGCTCTTGTAAGGCTAGCCTGGTGGTGACAAAATCTCTCAGCATTTGCTTGTTTGTAAAGAATTTTATTTCTCCTTCACTTATGAAGTTTAGTTTGGCTGGATATGAGGTTCTGGGTAGAAAATTCTTTTCTTTATGAGTGTTGAATATTGGCTGCCACTGTCTTCTGGCTTGTAGAGTTTCTGCTGAGAGATCTGCTGTTAGTCTGATGGGCTTCCCTTTGTGGGTAACCCGACCTTTCTCTCTGGCTGCCCTTAACATTTTCCTCTTCATTTCAACCTCGGTGAATCTGACATTTACGTGTCTTCTGGTTGCTCTTCTCAAGGAGTATTTTTGTGGTGTGCTCTGTATTTCCTGGATTTGAATGTTGGTCTGTCTTGCTAGGTTAGGGAAGTTCTCCTGGATAATATCCTGAAGAGTGTTTTCTAACTTGGTTCCATTCTCCCCGTCACTTTCAGGTACACTAATCAAACGTAGGTTTGGTCTTTTCACATAGTCCCATATTTCTTGGAGGCTTTGTTCGTTTCTTTTCATTCTTTTTTCTCTAGTCTTGTCTTCTCACTTTATTTCATTAATTTGATCTTCAATCACTGATATCCTTTCTTCCACTTGATTGAATCGGCTATTGAAGCTTGTGCGTGCGTCATGAAGTTCTCGTGCCATGGTTTTCAGCTCCATCAGGTCATTTAAGTTCTTCTCCACACTGTTTATTCTAGTTTATTCTAATTAGCTATTCGTCTAACCTTTTTTCAAAGTTTTTAGCTTCCTTGTGGTGGGTTAGAACATGACCTTTTAGCTCGGAGAAGTTTGCTATTACTGACCTTCTGAAGCCTACTTCTGTGAACTTGTCAAACTCATTCTCCGTCCAGTTTTGTTCCCTTGCTGGTGAGGAGCTGCAATCCTTTGGAGGAGAAGAGGCGCTCTGTTTTTGGAATTTTCAGCTTTTCTGCTGTGGTTTCTCCCCATCTTTGTGGTTTTACCTACCTTTGATCTTTGATGTTGGTGACCTACAGATGGGGTTTTGGTGTGGATGTCCTTTTTGTTGATATTTTTGCTATTCCTTTCTGTTTGTTAGTTTTCCTTCTAACAGTCAGACCCCTCAGCTGCAGGTCTGTTGGAGTTTGCTGGAGGTCCACTCCAGACCCTGTTTGCCTGGGTATCACCACCAGAGGCTGCAAAACAGCAAATATTGCTGCCTGATCCTTCCTCTGGAAGGTTCATCCCGGAGGGGCACCTGCCTGTTTGAGGTGTCCGTGAGCCCCTACTGGCAGGGGTTTCCCAGTCAGGCTACCTGGGGGTCAGGGACCCGCTTGAGGAGGCAGTCTGTCCATTCTCAGGCTTCAAATGCCTTGCTGAGAGAACCACTGCTCTCTTCAGGGCTGTCAGACAGGGATGTTTAAGTCTGCAGAAGCTCTCTGCTGTCTTTTGTTCTACTATGCCCTGCCCCCATAGGTGGAATCTATAGAGGCAGTAGGCCTTGCTGAGCTGTGGTGGGCTCCGCCCAGTTCATGCTTCCCTGCCTTTTTGTTTACAGTGTGAGCTACTCAAGCCTTAGCAATGGTGGGTGCCCCTCCCCCCACCAATCTGCAGCATCACAGGTTGATCTCAGATTGATGTGCTAGCAGTGAGCAAGGCTCTGTGGGTGCGGGACCTGCTGAAGCAGGCATGGGAGGGTATCTCCTGGTCTGTCGGTTGCTAAGACTGCAGGAAAAGTCAGTGTTTGGTCAGGAGTATATTGTTTCTAGTATACTCCCTTGTCTAGGAAAGGGAAATCCCCCCACCCCTTGTGCTTCCTGGGTGAGGTGATGCCCTGCCCTGCTTCAGCTTGCCCTCTGTAGGCTGCAGCCAGAGTCCAACCAGTCCCAATGAGATGAACCAGGTACCTCTGTTGGAAATGCAGGAATCGCCTGTCTTCTTCTTCAGTCTCGCTGGGAGCTGCAGACCGGAGCTCTTCCTGTTTGGCCATCTTGGAGTGCCAATGTATTTCTTCACAAACTTTCTTAGTTTACTAATTCACCTTCATCAAGACTAAGAGCTTTAACTATGAGCAATGTTAATTAGTCAAGTTTCTCCAATTTTCTGTCAGGTTTTAAATAATATTATCTAAACTTTTCAACTTACTGTTTTTTCTGTACGCTCATGAAGATAGACACACAGGGAAACAGGGAAAAAAATTACCTATGGCTTACACAGACCATCTATGACATGGTTGAACTTTCTGTTTTGTCCTAAATTTTCTTTTTCTTTTTTTTAAAAAATAAGTCATTTTACTTTAGGACAAAAATTTACCATACAAAATCCTTTCTCATACAAAATTATTCTCCTTTCTATGTAACCTTCCTTACCAAAATTACATCTTGATATCCATAACTCTCTTTACACCTCTCTCCTTTACTTACTTGTTCCTTTTTACCTTGTTTCATAAATAACCTTTTCAAGCCCATAATTTGAAGTAACCTTCAGATAACCTCTGAATTAGACAAAATTATTCTTTTTCTCAATAAAAACACATCTTCTTGGCACATTTTATATACAGAATTACATATTAACTAGAATTCTTGTCCTTAGTAATGTTAAATTTTAGTGAAAACCTAGGAAGCAAGAAATCCTGAGTTGCCTATGAGATACTAGCATTTTATAGATGAGAAACATTCTGCAATTTTTAGAAACATGTTTCCCCATATCATAACCTTTTCTTAATTGGAAATTACCAGACAACCAATGAGCATCCAAAATGACTTTAAGATTTTAAATTACACAAAAACTTTATCTATAGCACTTATCCATTTATATTTTATTTATTTTTAGTAGTTTATAAGATTCTTTATGCATCATTTCCTTGTTAACCATTTTATAACCTGTGAATATCAAATGTTCACCTAAGTAAGAACTTTAAATTAACTGCATGGGTATTTTCACCAATAACTCAGAAGATTCAACTGTTTTGATTAAATAAACACATTAAATTAGTCTTGCTTATTAAAAGAATGATCATTTTGTTTTGGCTGGGTTTATACGTTTTTTTTCCTTTTCTTTTCTTTTTCTTTTTTTTTTTTTTTGAGATGGAATCTCACTCTTGTTGCCCAGGCTGAAGTGCAATGGTGCGATCTTTGCTAATTACAACTTCTGCCTCCCAGGTTCAACTGATTCTCCTGCCCCAGCCTCCTGAGTTGCTGGGATTACAGGCAACTGCCACCACGCCTGGCTAATTTTCTTTTTTTTTTTTTTTTTTTTTTGTATTTTTAGTATAGACAGGGTTTCACCATGTTGGTCAGGCTGGTCTCGAAATCCTGACCTCAGGTGATCCACCTGCCTCGGCCTCTCAAAGTGCTGGGATTACAGGCGTGAGCAACCACACCCAGCTGGTTTATAGTTTTATAACCTTCTGTGCCAAGCTCTGTCACCTCAAAATATCTAGCAGAGACAAATATAAAATCCAGACAGAAATATATGCTGACAATTCTAAAGACATTTATATTTTTATTTTACCAATAATTTTTTTTTTTGAGATGGAGTCTCACTCTTGTCACTTAGGCTACAGTGCAATGGCATGATCTCAGCTTACTGCAACCTCTACCTCCCAGATTCAAGCGATTCTTCTGCCTTAGCCTCCTGAGTAGCTGGGATTATAGGCACCCGCCACCATGCCTAGCTAATTTTTAAATTTTTAATAGAGACAAGGTTTCTCCATGTTGGCCAGGCTGGTCTCAAACTCCTGACCTCAGGCGATCTGCCTGCCTTGGCCCCGCAAAGTGCTGGGATAACAGGTGTGAGCAACCACATCCAGCCTATTTTACCAATAATTGTAAAGCCAGATTGTTTATTAAAGATGTTCTTAAGTCATATGAACTTGAAAAATACTTTGAACTTAATTAATGAATACTGTTTTGCTTTTATTTATTTTTATTTTTTATAGAGATGGGGTTCCACCATGTTGCCCAGGCTGGTCTCAAACGTCTAAACTCAAGTGATCCACCTGCCTTGGCCTCCCAAAGTGCTGGAATTATAGGCGTGAGTCACCATCCCTGGCCAGCACTTTTTTAAAATAAGCCAATTTGGTAGGCATAACATATAACATAATAAAGGTACATACACATAAACACATCTAAACGTGTATACACACAAACAAAGATCCAATTGCTTTTACTTCAGAATTATAGCCATGAGATAGCAATACAAATTCACTGGTCTACAAACATGTTCACATGGCTACACTTTGCCCGGATATGTTATCTGGTGAAGGCTGTGAACCAAAATTTTGGGTGAAGCAGTTTTCAAGGCAGTTTGATTTTTAAAGGCCAAATCTCCCCAGGCTCCAAAGAACACTGGGGCCAGCATTTTGGGAGGCTGAGGCAGGTGGATCATTTGAGATCGGGAGTTTGAGACCAGCCTGGGCAACATGATGAAACCCTGTCTCTGCTAAAAATACAAAAATTAGCCGGGCATGCTGGTGGGTGCCTGTAATCCTAGCTACTTGGGAGGCTGAGGCAGGAGAATCACTTGAACCTAGGAAATGGAGGTTTCAGTGAGCTGAAATGGCACCACTGCACTCCAACCTGGGCAACAGAGCGAGACTCTGCCTCAAAAAAATAAAGTAAAAAATATTTTTTAAAAAATAGAACACTGGGGCTGGGTGCCAGTGGCTCATGCCTGTAATCCCAGCACTTTGGGAGGCCGAGGCAGGCAGATCATGAGGTCAAGAGATTGAGACCATCCTGGTCAACACTGCAAAACCCTGTCCCTACTAAAAATACAAAAAATTAGCTGGGCGTGGTGGTGTGAACCTGTAGTCCCAGCTACTCGGGAGGCTGAGGCAGGAGAATCGCTTGAACCCAGGAGGCAGAGGTAGCAGTGAGCTGAGATCACACCATTCTACTCCAGCCTGGGTGACAGTGTGACAGTGCAAGACTCTGTCTCAAAAAAAAAAAAAAAAAAAAAAGAACACTGGGGCCAAAGAGCACTAAAGGAGAACATCACATACTAACCAGGCCCAACTCTGTTTAGAACAGCAGCTTAAAAGCCTGGATACATGGAACTCCATCCCACTTTCTCATTTAACAACAAACTCCAGATTCCAAAGAATATTGGGGCTAAACAGTATTATGAAAGAATATCAGTTTATCAAATTCTAATTTCCCATGACTGTATCAACACACACACAATCACCAAAACACAATGATCCATCTGCTGCCACAACAAACAAGCCCCAAGACTGTCCCAACTAAAACAGTCAAGAGTGTTTTCCTTTCTCCATCGGTTGGGCTTTTTCAGCCTGCAAACAGAAATTCCTTTGGAATTTCCCAAATCGATAGGAGCCAATCCCACTGTCTGGTACCTGCAATGAACACTCAGTTGCTGGAACACACACACAATTACAAACAATCCATCAAGAAAGTCCATATCAAAACAGTCAGGGTGTTTCCCTTTCTCAGCCATTTGGGTTTTTTCAACCTGCAAATGGAAATTCCTTTAAAATGTTCCCCAATAGAGAAGAGCAGATCTTGCTGTCTGGGCCCACAAAGGATACTCATCTATCCAGATGCAGATGTGGAATTTCAAAGGCTGTTCTTCCTAGGCAATCAGGAATGTGGTTTGGGCCCGTAGCAGCAGGGCCAGAGAGAATCCACAACTCACCTCCAGTCAAAACTGAGTGGGCAGCTGCTTAGGAGGGCTTCTGAGACTCGTGGCCCATGGCAGCCAAGCCACAAGCAACATGTTTACTGTCAGGAAACCAAAATCTGTTGTTGAAACACCCTGATCTAGGTCCAGCTGCTCACTGCACAGAAAGCCAATCACTGAGACAACAAGTATTGCCAAGGAAGAAGGCTTTAATCAGGTGCTGCAGCCAAGGAGATGGGAGATCAGTCTCAAATCCATCTCCATAACTGACTAAAATTAGGGGTTTATAGGGCAGAAATGTAACTACATGCAGCAAACTAGGAATTAGGGGTAAAGAAGAGGAATATGTCAACAAGAAGCAGATAGTCAGTTAGGCAGGCACCGGGGGTCAGTTACCTGGGTTGCATTGTCCAGATGCTGTGACCTGGTGTGTTTCAGCTCCTTGTTACAATCTTAGAGGCCTGATGGTTGGTTTCCTGAGAAACGGCCTCTGATAAGACAAATGGAGCTTTCTGAGATTTCAAAACTGGGGGGCTCAAGTTTCACATTTGTTCAAAAGAAACTATAAAGATCAGTTCTATGGGACAGTTGGGTAAGTTTCAAGTTTGGCAGACTCCCTTTTCTCTGCATCCACATGACAAGCAGAGAAAGGATGGTGAAAACCTACAGGCCACTTTTGACAGTTTAATTTAAAAGTAAACAGGCTTCCAGATTAACCTACCTTGGGAAGGTCTTGTGATTCATGGTGAAATCCTGTCCCTGAATCTCATGATGAGTTCCTCAAGTTGTTGACATACTGATTAATGCATACCCCACTGACCCTGAAAAGGGTGCTGACTTATTTCTGAATCATAAAGTTTTACTGATTGTTTTACATGAAGACATTTGAGCCTGTATGTTGCAATCTGTATCCAATGATTGTAACCTCTCTATTGTATCCTCCAATAAGAAAGGACAATTCTGGTGTGAAGAGTCCCTCTTCCTTCTCCTGACCCTACCTATAAAATCATTCCAACTTGTAACAGACTCTGGAACACTCTCAACTTTGTTGGTGTGTTTTCTTGGGTTGATCCTCACATTTGGCTTTCAATAAACTGTTATCAAATTATTTATTTCTCAACAGGCTAAATTTTCGTCAACATTCCGGTGTAGTTGGCAGAATTTTGGAGTGACCTCCCTGGACGACATATGCGGCCTCCGACCTTTGTGCAGGTACTGGCAATGAACACATTGTGTTCCTGAACTTGGATGCCCTGGCTGGGGGTTGCAGAGGAGTTCCTCCCAAAATCAATGAACCTCCCATCGTGGTGGAAGTTCTGGTTTTTTGAAGCTGGTTTTCTCCTTGGCTAGACAGGAGTTTTTGTTGAATCCTAGGGCGGTGTAAAATAGGAGCTCTGTGAATTATTTCTCTCAAGGTTTTGGATGGGACAACCTTTCCTTAGCTTTCTCATTTTTGAGTGCATGAGGGAGGGCAGTCTTGCTCTGAAGTTAAGAAACATTCTCTGTCTGTGACCAAATGGTTTTTAGGAAACCCACAATAGCGGAGGTGTCAGGGCATACCCCCAGCAACATGGAGCAGTCTCATAGGAAAATCCCCACACTGTTAACTTTTCGCTCAGCTGGCAAGCTTCATAAAAACTGATTATCTCTTGTCCATGAATACCCTGAAACTTCTTTGGAGGTGACTCTGGAATCAGAGACATGTAAGATAATCTTTTCAGCCTATTGAGTGAAATTTCGGGGAAGAAAAATTCAAAACCACCACACTTAATCCACTACATTACTTGTCTCATTCAAAACAACCAAGATGGGAAACATGTCTTCTAAGACTCAGGGTACACTGCCTCTATCAGCACCAGCTGGTTTGATGTGTAA